>NC_000010.11:91809761-92112792 GCF_000001405.40 Homo sapiens | reverse complement strand
TTCCTTTGAGGTTAGTAGCAGAGTTGGGAGTTGAGGAATGACAGCTGAGAGATTTAGCAAAGCTAGCAGGGTTGTAGAGAAGTTGAAAGCTTAGACTAGTTCATGACGGGCCTTTGCTCTGTCATCATTTATGAATGCCAGTGTGGCCACAAGTGCCACAGGTGGCCCCTTGAATATCTGTTGCTCTCTTTAAAGTCTTTGCTGATTCTCCCAAGTTGGGCCTTTGCTCCTTGTGATTTCAGTGACACATTTTGTCCCCACTTATCTCCCTCAGCTTTGTAGTGAGTAGTTAATTGTCTAAATGTTTGTTTCATCTACTTCATAAGTTTCTTTACAAGAGGAACCTGGGGCCGGGCGTGGTGGCTCACACCTGTAATCCCAGCACTTTGGGAGGCCGAGGCAGATGGATCACTTGAAGTCAGGAGTGTGAGACCAGCCTGGCCAACATGGTGAAACCCTGTCTCTACTAAAAATACAAAAATTAGACGGATGTGGTGGCGGGCGCCTGTAATCCCAGCTACTTGGGAGGCTGAGGCACACGAACTGCTTGAACCCGGGAGGCAGAAGTTGCAGTGAGCCGAGATCATACCACAGAGATTGTGCCACTGCACTGAGATTGGGTGACAGAGCAAGACTGCATCTCAAAAAAAAAAAAAAAAAAAAAAAGGAACGTGGTCTTGCTTATTTTAGTATTCTCATAAACCATGGATATGTCCCACTTGTATCAGTTACTCGGTAAATCTTATGGAATTAAACTGAAAAAAACTGGCTGTGTCTATGGAAATCCTGCAGCTAATGTCCATTTTTCTAGACCTACTGTACTCTGCCAAGAGGGTATCTCTTAGAGAAGCAGAGCACCATCATCAGAAATAGCAGGCAAAAGCACACCAGCTTATTGTTGGCCTTTTTAAAAACTTTTTTGAAGCTTTTTGTGTGTGTGTGTTTGTGTGTCAACAAAGCTTTGTTAAAATATCATTCACATACCATACAACTCACCAATGTGACATGTGCATGTCAGTGGTTTTCAGCATGTTTACAGAGTTGTGCAATCATCAGCACAATCAATTTTAGAAAATTTATCATCCCAAAAAGAAACTCAGTGCCTATTCCCTCCAGCTTCCCCATCCTAGGCAGCCACTAATCTATTTTTTGTCTTGATAGATTTGCTGGTTCTGGACATATTTTGTCTGGCTTCTTTCACTTAGCATAATATTTTCAAGGTTTATCCCTGTGGCATGTGGCCAGCCTAGAGCTTTGTAGAAATTGGAAAGCAGGTGGTGCTTGTTTCCTGGCTACTTGTTAGTTGTGGCTAAGGCCAATGGTGAGTCCACTTGCCCTCATTAAGGATAACCAGATGTATTTAGTGGAAATTCCATAGATGTGTTCTAAACTTGCTTCTGTGAGTAATTGTAAAAATTAAACAAGGTAATATCAATGAGCACCTAACTTAGTTCCTGGACAAAGTCCCTTTGTCCCACTTGAACTTCTTAGATTTTAGTAAGAATTTGCCAAAATGAAACAACAGATAATTTGTAATTGGTACTTTGAGTTTAATGTACTGATTCTTCCTCTACCCTTTTGTTTTTGCTCTCCCCAAGGCTATGCCTTTCTGCTGTTCCAAGAGGAAAGCTCAGTACAAGCTTTGATAGATGCCTGCCTAGAAGAAGATGGGAAACTCTACCTGTGTGTGTCAAGCCCCACCATCAAGGACAAGCCAGTAAGTAATACATGGCCAGCTGTTGCTTTTCCAGAGCACATATGCTATTGGAATAGCTGACCTCCTCTTTCTGATAATGGAAATGCTGGTAACTAGGATCCTCTTACCCAGCTTGGCCTTGCTATGCAGTAGAGTTGGACTTTCGTTGGTGATGGGAAACTAACAACAAATTACTCAGTATTCATTTTATACCTTTGGGACTGTGTGTAAACAAATATGTCCTTGTCTTTCACTTACAGCTCTTTTAAGCTAATTCCTATTCAGAAATTCTGAATCGAGGTAAATAATGCTCTTAGCGGTTTTGGCAGCTGGTTTCCGTCATTATTTCAGATCAAGAACGGAGTTATTTATTTTTGAAAAAGGTCATAATTGTTGATGTTTATGTGCCTCTGAATGCAAGGCATTGTGCTGGGTGGTACCCACAGCTAGTTAAATAGAGCCTTCTGGGTCAGGAGCTTACACTCTAAAATGGATAGTTTCAACAGAGCAGGAGAGGAGAAGGGCAGAGAACGTGGAGCTAAAACCATAATACAGAGTTTGTGGTTAAGAGTTTGTGGCTTCTGAGCCAGAGTATGAATGAGTAAGTCACTGGATAAGGGAGGAAGATTGTGTCCTTCCTCTGGCAGAAGAGCTATCAGTGGAGAAGGGGCAAGATCATGTTCAGAGCAGAATAAACGAACTTCATTTATGTGACAGAAGTAGGGATCTGTGGGAAGTTGGCAGGGGTAGGGTGAGGTGAGTTTGTGTGTCAAGGCTTGGTGCTAGATGTGGCAAATAGAGTAAAAATATGACACAGAGTGGGCAAGAGACCAGAGCTGTATATACCACAGGGCCTGCAGCGGCCTTTGTATGACTAGCACTGGAAATGTAGGGCCTACTTAGCAGCTAGGTTTATTTTCAGAAATGTGCATGGGGAAATAGTTGGATTGAATATAGAAGTTTGAGTGTTGACTCTTGTATTTAAATATCTGCTTGGCTTTGAATAAATCATCTAATCCTTGCTGAACTGTGGTTTCCTCACCTGGAAGATGGGAAGAATAATCATTCTTCCCTGGGTTGTTGAGAGGCTCAGATAAGAGGAAAATGAATGTGAAAGCATTTGGTAGAGGTCAGATACTTGTACAAATTTAACTGGCTAATGTTGTCAGTCCTACATAGGATTCAATAGAGCAAGATTAGAACTCAGCTATATGGCAATATCTGTTGAGAAGGATGATGACATCTTTAACAGGGTTTACAACTGTTTGCTAAAAAATGATGTTGAGACTTGGCCACCTATAAAGGGGAGAGTGCAGCACTTAAAGCAGAAGAAAGAACTACTAAAGAATGGGGATATTGAGAGTATTCATTGGAGAGTAAGCAAATGATGTGGAAAAAGAGGCAAGGATTTTAGCCAGTATAAAAGTGCCACTGTAATTTTCAAATTTGGAGGCTGTTGCCAAATTTTGGAGTAGTATGAGTTTGGAAAGTCTGTACCCAAAGAAGAAACAAGTCCCCCTCCACACACACAAAAAATCTGTACCTGGCCAGGTACAGTAGCTCACGCCTGTAATCCCAGCACTTTGGGAGGCCAAGGTGGGTGGATCACGAGGTCAGGAGATCAAGACCATCCTGGCTAACACGGTGAAACCCCTTCTCTACTAAAAATACAAAAAAATAGCTGGGGGTGGTGGCACGTGCCTGTAATCCCAGCTACTTGGGAGGCTGAGGCAGTAGAATCGCTTGAACCCAGGAGGCGGAGGTTGCAGTGAGCCGAGATCGCGTCATTGCATTCCAACCTGGGCGACAGAGTGAGACTGTCTCAAAAAAAAAAAAAAAATCTGTACCCAATTTGGTAGGATCAGATATCTGAGAGGTAAATTCTCAACCTCCAGAGAGCCTCTGCTACTGGCATGCCAGTTGGAGAGAAGCTGGAGTGAGCTGGGAAGGTTTAAGGTCACACACTGTAGGAGAGGATTAGAAATAAATTTTTCTACATAAAAAGGCAGAGGGATAGTAGTACATGTTGAAATAGTTATGTCCATGCAGGTTAAGAAGCTAGAGATGAACACGCAGAGTTTATATACTTTGGAAGAATCGTGTCACTGGCTCTGTAGGGAAGGAGAATAATATGCCTTGTGGGACAAGCCTTCAGCTGGACAGGATGTCTCTTGAGCAGGGAGTGAGCAGCAGTAGGGGTCAGATGGAGGTGTTGTGGTGACAATGCCATTACTCTTGAGTGTTTTCAGTAGAAACACATGTATTATCCTTGGATTGAAGGACTTTTGAAAATAATTAGTAGAATTAATCTGTTTTGGAAATGTTTATGGGGAAACTAGCTTTCACTGTTTGTGTTTTGGCAAATTCTGCCTTATTACAGTTTTCATTTTCTGAGCTCAAGTGCAGCAGTTTTATTGTAGCTTGGTGAATTCTGAATGGCGACTGCCAATCACACATTTCTTTGACCCAGGCATACTCAGAATTTCCAGCATAAACAGTTTTAGTAAAACTTAGGATAGGAAACTTAAAAGTCCCCAAACACCTGCAATTTTAATGAACTGGATCCTATTTTGGGTTCTACTCTTTTGGCTCTATTTTTGAAAACTTCTCTTACTTGGTTTTAGCTCCACATCTACCACCCCACCACCACCCCCTGCCTCATTTATGCATATGTCCCTACCTAGGTTCTGGTACATTCCACCTCATTGTGCATGCTCCCATGAGGGGAAAAAAAGTAAGAACTGTGTTGAACCTTTGGAAGTAAATGAGGACCTTGGCAGTAGCTCAAGGCAAAGTCAACCTTTGGTGCTCACTCACCAAACTTTTTTTGAGCCATGGTGCTTCCTTGCTCCCAGCTTTTGGCTTGGCTAGCCTTTATTTTCTACCTTTCAGGATCCCAGTGCCCTTGTTCTGTTGTTTCATTTTTTCTGACCCTCCCTGGATTTCTTCTTGGAAATACACCATGTTCTAAAATGACCTTGCAGATTTTCTACCCTTTATCTTTCTTTCTCATCGTTTCCCCTCAAACTCCTGTTCCCTTTGGAACAGATTAATCAGATTGTTTTTCTAATGCAGAACCTGATAGTGAGGTCTCCTTTCACCCATCTTGTCCAGGATCATACTTGCTTTTTTTAACTCAAATGAATTCCAAATTTGTGGATTTCAGGTTGTGTTAGGGAGATATTTTTCATCAGTGACTACTTCTTATTAAATTACTCAACTCAGACTATTCTGTGTATAGGTCTGGTCCTGAAAGATTGCAGAAGGAACTGTATTTATGGCCTAATTAGTTGACTTCCTCAGTTCCAAAGAATGGGAAGACAAATTGGCAAGAGCAAGAGGAGGTATTGAGGAGCTTCTAGATCTATGATTTTTTTTTTCCTTCTCCAGTAAGAGGAGTTTCATAGCTCAGGTATCCCAGGCATATCAGAAGACAGCTGTGTCCATGTGCAAGGGTTCCAGTGAAGCAGGCAGACATTGTGCACAGTGGTCCCTCTCATCAAAGTGACTCTATTTTTTGACTATATTAATAGATTGAACCTGAAGGTTCAAGACAGCAAGCTAATAGAGCAAGGGACCTAGAAGGTCTAGCAGAGATAGGGGCTGAAAAAGAGTAATCTTGAAAAGAAGGTGGAGAAGGAGCTATTTAAGGTTCTAGAACATGTTGGCCAGAGATGTGGGATAGCAAACACCTTGAAAGGATTATCAGAGGAGTTTCCTGCTTCCTGCTCCTTATGATTTATTTATAGCACGACTACAATTTCTCTATATCCTGAAATACAACAGAGTGATTTTGCTATAAATTTAAAAACCATATTACCAAACTAAAGTATGCTTATGTGGGGATCCATTCTTTACGTTATTGCTCAGGTAATGTGGTCATCCACTTAAAACTTGAAAAATGAAAATCGAAAAGAATGGTAAGAATAAGGAATCTGGAAATAAAGGCCAATTTAATTCTTCAGTTTTTAATTCTGTCCCATGTGTCTGTCATTCTGGTGTTTCCTCCTCCCCCTGTTTGTATATGAGTGGGATCTGTAGCACTTTTCATTCACACCTCTTTGGTTACAAAAGCAGTCCAGATCCTTTTCCCAGCTATTTAAGACCTTCCCAATCTGGCTTCAATTTTTTCCAACTTTGCTTTTTTCTGCTTTCCTTCTGAACCCCATATTTTAACCAAACAGAAATATCTATGCTCTCATCTTGATTCCTTTCTTCCTTCCTTCCTTTTTCTTTTTTTCTTTTTTCTTTCTTTCTTTTTTTTTTTTTTTTTTTTTTTTTTGAGACAGAGTCTTGCTCTTTTGCCTAGGCTGGAGTGCAGTGGTGCGATCTCAGCACACTGCAACCTCTGCCTTCTGAGTTCAAGTGATTCACCTGCCTTAGTCTCCCAGGTAGCTGGGATTACAGGCATGTGTCACCACACCTGGCTAATTTTTGTATTTTTAGTAGAGACGGGGTTTCACCATGTTGGCCAGGCTGGTCTCGAACTCCTCACCTCAGGTGATCCACCCGCCTTGGACTCCCAAAGTGCTAGGATTACAAGCGTGAGCCACCGCACCTGGCCTCCCATCTCAATTTCTAATTCCTACCCTTAAAGACTCCTTACAAATGCCATCTCTTTCATGAATCCTTCCCTGATCACCACATCATGTATCGTGAATGTTACCTATTATCGTAGCTATCTCCATCCCTATCTAGAGCCATCTTTTTAAAATGGTGTGCCTTCCTTCAGACCATGTTTGAGTACCTGCCGTGGTCAAGGCACAGTACTGGTTACTGTGAACCAGAACGTACTGTGAGTTGATATAAAATCTTGTGTCCAAAAGTTAATTAAATGGTAATGAGGGAATAGCCAAAAAAAAAAAAAAAGGTTAATAGTATAATGCATAGATAAAATAAGTATAGGCTGGGTGCAGTGGCTCATGCCTGTAATCCCAGCACTTTGGGAGGCTGAGCTGGGTGGATCACTTGAGGTCAGGAGTTCGAGACCAGCCTGGCCAACATGGTAAAATCCTGTCTCTATTAAAAATACAAAAATTAGCCGGATATGGTGGTGGGCGCCTCTAATTCCAGCTACTCGGGATGTTGAGGCACAAGAATCGCTTGAACCCAGGAGGCAGAGGTTGCAGTGAGCCGACATTGCGCCATCGCACTCTAGCCTGGGTGGCAGAGTGAGACTCCATCTCATAAATAAATAAAATAAAAATACAAAAATTAGCCAGGCATGGTGGCGGACGCCTGTAATCCCAGCTACTGGTGGGCTGTGGCAGAATTGCTTGAACCCGGGAGGCAGAGGTTGCAGTGAGCTGATATTGGGCTGCTGCACTCCAGCCTGGGAGACAGAGCAGGACTCAGTCTCAGAAAAAAAAAAAAAAAAAAAACCCACAAAACAAGTATATAAATACACAGTATCTATAGAACCTAGCACATAAAAGGTTCCCAAATATTTGCCAAAGTAACAAAGATAAAACAAAAGAATAAGATACAGATTATGTACTTTGGAGAGTTCATCTATACCTAGAATGATGAAAGAAAACTTCCTGGATGAAGTGTCATTTGAATTAGGCTTGAAGGATGAGGAGAATGTGGAGTTGGCCAAGAGAAGGGTGGAAGTATAGGGAATAAAAATTTCAGAGAAAGGCAAAAACATGAACACAAAAATGGGAAATGGTGTGACATGAATGGAGAATATTTAGGTTGGTTAGATGGAGCACAAATATGTGAAAGGGAATAGAGAGAAATTAAATTGGGCAAAATAGATAGAGACTAAGTTATAGAACACCTTGATTGTCTCAGTCCTTCATTTGTGATGTGTTTACTACAGGTATTTCATTCTTTGCTTAGTACCTCTTAACACATAACTATAATTTTATCTTGGCCCATTCGAATCTGGTTTTGTATGTCCACATCTTAGAATTCACGGCTAAGCCATATCAGCATGTGTGTCATATCCCACCTCGGAAATCTTTAGCATTTCTGATCTTGATTTATTTATTTGTTTCTTGAATTCTTGGTCTAAATTGTGGTTTGGGGCTGGGCACGGTGGCTCTTGCCTGTAATCTCAGCATTTTGGGAGGCTGAGGCAGGAGGATTGCTTGAGGTCAGGAGTCCGAGGCTGCAGTGAGCTGTGATCACACCAGTGCACTCCAGCATAGGCAACAGCGAGACCCCTGTCTCTCTAAAAAAAAGAAAAGAAAAGAAATCATGGTTCGGACACCTTCCATCATAGGAATTTCTTCAAAGAAGGAATTTCTTTTCCAAAGTGAGAGACATATCTCCTATTCATTATACATTTGATTTTTTTTTTGCCCTGGGTGTCTGAATCTGCAAATTGGTCCAGAATTTCTTAGTGCTTGAATCTTTGGAAGCTGTATTTTCTTTTCAGGGAGGTCTAAAAAACGTTGCATTTCCAGCCGGGCGTGGTGCCTCACGACTATAATCCCAGCATTTTGGGAGCCAAGGCGGGCGGATTATGAGGTCAGGAGATCGAGACCGTCCTGGCTAACACGGTGAAACCCCGTCTCTACTAGAAATACAAAAAAATTAGCTGGGCGTGGTGGCAGGTGCCTGTAGTCCCAGCTACTCAGGAGGCTGAGGCAGGAGAATGGTGTGAACCTGGGAGGTGGGGCTTGCAGTGAGCCGAGATCGTGCCAGCCACTGCACTCCAGCCTGGGTGACAGAATAAGACTCCGTCTCAAAAAAAAAAAAAAAAAAAAAGTTGCATTTCCATTGTACTAAATGGTAGCTAGTGGACAAAATAGCCAACGCCACCCCTTAAGGGATAATGTTCAGTGTTTTCCAGAGTGTGTTCTGAAGAATACTTGTCCCATCAAAGACTAATCTCTTGAGAGGATCTTCGACAAAAGGTTTCCTCATAATGGTAATAGGTGTCATTTTTTGAGCACTTACTTTGTGCATTGTATATCCATTTTGTCTTTTAATTAAAGTTTCCTTAGCCAAAATCATTTGAGAAACATTGATATATTAAGGTTCTGAGAAGTCTTACAATATATACATTTGTGTAAAATTGTTTAATCCAGCATTTTACATTCCTGCTTTGGGGATGATACTCGTGCAGATTCCTGTGGAATTAGTATTCCATGAAGCTCATTCAAAGAATAGGCATCTTCCCAGGAAAAACTTAGGTAACCTGAACTTTTATGTGTACATTCCTCTCAAGAGTTTTAGTAATCAGCATGCCAGTAACAACATCCTTGTCCTAGTACCATGGAGCTGAAAGTTCACATTTATATAGACATTGGACAAAGTTGTCTGGCTGGAGTACAAGATTGCCTGAGACTGTGAACCTGAAAGTTAAAATAGCTGGATACAGTGCTAGTTTCACTGCTAACTCATTTTTCTCAAGCTTTGCTAACTGCTAGTTTTGTTAGTAGGTCCAACAAATGTCCATTGGTCATTTCTTGATGCATTGCAAACAGGCATAAAGAGTGGAGAAAAAAGAGTGGTTAGTCACTCACTAGTAAAAATTCATGTTGACTTGTTCAGGAGCCTATCTGGAAGCTGTGACTGGTGGCCAGTAGCCTGGAGGACAGGGAGCCTTGTAGGCACACAACATGATTGTAGTAGAAAGAGTACGTGTAGACTGTTTTATAAACCTGGAGTTCAGTTCCAAGATGACTTCACTCTTCTGATCCTTAGCTTCCTTAGCTCTAAAGTAGGGATAATTTTTAGAGCATATGGTGTGGTGCTGTTTAAGTGTGACTGTAAAATGCCTAGCACAGTAGTGCAATATAAGTGCTCAAAAGTGCTTTTTCTTTCAAAAGGGAATCAGCTATTATGTTTATGCTTTCTGAGTGACGAAGCAGCATCAACAGTCATGATGAACACTAGATAATTCTGATCATTGAGTGGGTCTCACCTAGTGGCATCAGAAATTTGCATTCATTAAGCCCAAGACCTTGGGCATCCACTGGTGACCAAAATATACCCTATTTTCCTACCCCTGGAAGGTAACTTTCAGTGGAGTGAGGAGAGTGATCTGGGAGCTGTAGAAGAGCAGCTGCTGGACATGTTTTGTGACACCAGTGTCAGCACCTCAGGAAAACATTTGTTTACACACCAAACGTGCACAGAGCACTCACTAATGGTTAGGCACTGTGCTGGGCAGTTGGGATCCACACAAATATATGGTTTCAGCCTTAGAGGATCTTAGAGTCCAATAGAGGGAAATAGACATATGACCAGTAAATGACCTAAGGAGCCACAGATGCTCTGAAAACCTGAAAGTTAAAATAGCTGGATAGAAGTATTAGAGGGAGTAGTTGTGACGGGGAGAGCGCTCAAAGGGCAGAGTACGCAGATGTTTCTGAGGCAGTCAGAAAAGCCTTTAGAGAGGTGTTGACTTGAGTCTTCTGAGCATAATATTTAATTGATAATGGCTTTATTAAATCAAATATAGTGCAAAGATATACATAACCATTTTCATGGGGCAGTTTATGCATGCTGTATTTCTGCACTGAGTGCCCTTATGAAACAGTATACCGAATTGTTCGAATTGTTCATCAGTAACTGAAGTTCCCAAAGGAGTTGTAAAGCCTGTAGCTTCCTTGCATCAGATAATAGGCTCTGCAGCCTGGTGATGGGGGCAGGAGTTTCCTTTTTGTACCTGGACTGTTTCCTAAACCTGAGGGTGGACTTGGAGCATCCAAGGAGGATGTGAAAGAATTTCCTAGGGTTACTTTTGGCTCCCTGTCTAGGAAGAATCCTGGCTATTTTGATGAAGATTTTCTATTTCTACTTGGAGACTACTTGTATCTAGGGAATGGGAGGAATAGTCTGAATGTGAGAGTTACAGCTTTTTGCCTTGAGGCCTGACGGAGGTCTGACTGAAGCCCCCAGAGCTACCCAGGATATAGTCTTACTAAGGCTAAAGACTCCTTTCTCTCCACTACCCCCAGAAGATGCAGGGAAGGCATCTCTTCCTCTTCAGCACTTGAGAATAATAGATAGCATCTAAACTCCTGAAACTGGCTGACCTATTTGTTAGGGAGCTATGTGGTCAAAATTACGTTGAAATGAGATGCCAATATCAGTGTGCTGTAAAGAGTCTAAACCACAATTATTGTTGTGGCTCTTAGTTTTGGTGATTAATAATAAACCAACTCCTTATGCCATGGAAGAGATAAAGATGCCTCACAAACCACAAACTAGTTTGTTTGTTTATTTATTGAGACAGAGTCTCTCTCTGTCACCCAGGCTGGAATGCAGTGGCATAATCTCGGCTCACTGCAACCTCTGCCTTCCAGGTTCAAGCGATTCTCCTGCCTCAGCATCCTAAGTAGCTGGGATTTCAGGCACATACCACCACGCCCAGCTAATTTTTGTATTTTTAGTAGAGATGGGGGTTTCACCAAGTTGGCCAGGCTGGTCTCGAACTCCTGACCTCAAGTGATCTGCCTGCCTTGGCCTCCCAAAGTGCTGGGATTACAGGTGTGAGCCATCACACCCGGCCACAAACTAGTTTATTTCTGATATTGCTGGGGCAATCCAGTCATTTTGTGAAGTCTGTGATGCTTAAAATAGAATTGCTGACAGCTGGGGTGGGTCTGAGTTCATCACCACTACAACTGAGCTGTTGCAGCTGTATGTCAGCAGACCTAGGTTTAGCTGACTCATCCTGGCTATTAGGATGAGCTGGGGTGCTGCTTCTTGTTGGGGAGAGCAGTCCTGATGGTTCTGCAGTATTGTTTTTCCAATTTATGTAGACTAAAAGGATTGTAGGATTGGGGAGAGAAAAATGGAGACTTTTTTCCTAAAGAGCTTGAGTTTGAACGGTACTGAAAAGAGGAAAAGGAAAAAAGAAATCAGAGTATGGGGGAAGTAGCTGAGCTCTGAACCAGGTCCTTTTTGGGAAAAAGAACATACGGCTTTGAGGGGGTCTTTGGTCAGATGGTTTCCCGAGCTGGCCACCTGATTGCACTGTTGACACCGAATGGTTTGCCATTTGGAACTGCCTTGAGATGAACAGATGAAAATGAAATCCTATGCAGTAGGATGTTCATGTGATGGGTGTTGTAACCTAAAGAAGGGACCATACAGAGTGAGATGTTAAAAATGAGCTTGACGATATGTATAGGTAGATGAATATCTAAATACTAAATTGTAACTGAGAGAACTCTAGCTGTAGGGATATGTGGTTATGTTGAGAAATTTGAAGTCTTGAGGTTTGTGTTAAAAACTGTTCTTGGCCGGGCACGGTGGCTCACGCCTGTAATCCCAGCACTTTGGGAAGCCGAGGCGGGTGGATCACGAGGTTAGGAGATCGAGACCATCCTGGCTAACAGGGAGAAACCCCTTCTCTACTAAAAATACAAAAAATTAGCTGGGCGTGGTGGCGGGCACCTGTAGTCCCAGCTACTTGGGAGGCTGAGGCAGGAGAATGGTGTGAACCCGGGAGGCGAAGCTTGCAGTGAGCCGAGATCGTGCCACTGCACTCTAGCCTGGGCTACAGAGCGAGACTCTGTCTCAAAACAAAACAAAAAAACAAAAACCATTCTTATTGGCTGGGCGTGGTGGCTCATGCCTGTAATCCCAGCACTTTGTGAGGCTGAGGTGGGCGGATCACCTGAGGTCAGGAGTTCGAGACCAGCCTGACCAACATGGAGAAACCCAGTCTCTACTAAAAATACAAAAAAATTAGTGGGGCGTGGTGGCGCATGCCGGTAATCTCAGCTACTTGAGAGACTGAGGCACGAGAATCACTTGAACCTGGGAGGCAGAGGTTGCAGTGAGCAGAGATCGTGCCATTGCACTCCAGCCTGGGCAACAAGAGTGAAACTCTGTCTCAAAAAACAAACAAACAAAAAAAAACCTATGTTTTCTCCTTGCTGCTGGGGGGAAACAAATATGTTTTCTCCCTGTGGCAAGGGGGGAAAACAAAAACAAAAAATTGTGTTTTCTCTTATCCTGTAATTAAATTAGATACAACAAAAATGTTTTCCTGAGACAAGGGCTGGTTCTGTCGCCCAGGCTGGAGTGCAGTGGCTTAATCATAGCTCGCTGCAACCTCAAACTCCTGGGCCTAAACGATCTTCCCACCTTAGCCACCACATCTAGCTAATTTTGAAAAGGTTTTCATAGAGACAGGGTCTCACTATGCTGCCCAGGCTGGTCTCGAACTCTTGGCCTCAAGTAGTCCTTCAGCCTTGGCCTTCCAAAATGCTGAGATTATATAGGCATGAGCCACCATGCCTGGCCAGAAATGCTTCTTTTTTTTTTGAGACGGAGTTTCACTGCCCAGGCTGGAGTGCAATGGCGTGATCTCAGTTCCCTGCAACCTCTGCCTCCCAGATTCAGGCAATTCTCCTGCCTCAGCCTCCCGAGAAGCTGGGATTTTAGGCACCTGCCACCACATCCAGCTAATTTTTTGTATTTTTTTTTTTTTTAGTAGAAATGGGGTTTCACCATGTTGGCTAGACTGGTCTGGAACTCCTGACCTCAGGTGATCCACCTGCCTTGGCCTCCCAAAGTGCTGAGATTACAGGCATGAGCCACCACGCCTGGCCAAAAATGCATTTTATATTTAATTTTAACTAAGAGGTTCTGGTCAATTGTCAATGAAATTTTCATTTTAGGAAATGATGTTATCATATAGCATTCTGTTTAAAGAAATAATGCATAGTAGAGGTCAGGCACGGTGGCTCATGCCTATAATCCTAGCACTTTGGGAGGCTGAGGTGGGCAGATTGCTTGGGCCCCTAAGTTCAAGATCAGCCTGGGCAACATGGCAAAACCCTGTCTCTACAAAAAATACAAAAATTAACTGGGCATGGTGGCGCATGCCTGTACTCCATGTACTACTGTACTCTAGCCTGGGTGACAGACTGAGACCCTGTCTCAAAAAAAAAAAAAAAGACGAAAAGACCCATATTGCATGTCTTGTTTTTCCTAGCCCTTGACCTAATCGTATCCCTATTAATGACCTTTAGTTTTAAGTAGGATGAAACTTTAGTTTTTATATGGAGCTATAATTATTTTGCTCTTTATTGATAAAAATTTCAAACTGGGCTAGGCATGGTGGCTCACGCCTGTAATCCCAGCACTTTGGGAGGCTGAGGCGGGCAGATCACTTGAGGTTAGGAGTCTGAGACCAGCCTGGCCAACATGGTGAAACCCTGTCTCTACTAAAAATACAAAAATTAACTGGGCATTGGGGCAGGCGCCTGTAATCCCAGCTACTCGGGAGACCAAGGCAGGAGAATTGCTTGAACCCGGGAGATGGAGGTTGCAGTGAGCTGAGATTGCACCACTGCACTCCAGCCTGCTTGACAGAGCCAGACTCCATCTCAAAAAAAAAAAAAAAAAAAGAAAAAAAGAAAAATAGTTAAACTGGTTTGGTAACATATCTTTTATACAGTTTAGCCAGAAAACTTTCAGTTCTTTGAACAGCTATCTAATGTTTCAGTTTAGTATACTCTTAATCATTTAAAGTTAAACTCTATAGAAGCGAACTTTTCAGAGCAATAGCAAGAAATAAGTGAGGAAAAGGCCTGGGATGGAGTGAAGTTTCTGAAAACTTCACACTGAGGTGGTTGAATCACCTGATTTTGAGACCATCCCGACCAACATGGAGAAACCCCGTCTCTACTAAAAATACAAAATTAGCCAGGCGTGGTGGTGCATGCCTTGTAATCCCAGCTACTTGGGAGGCTGAGGCAGGAGAATCTCTTGAACCTGGGAGGCAGAGGTTGTGGTGAGCCAAGATCGTGCCTTTGCACTCCAGCCTGGGCAACAAGAGCGAAACTCCGTCTCAAAAAAAGAGTAAGGTATAGTAGGGCAGAATTATTGGAAGTGTAGGTATTAATAGGTGTCATGCAAAAAATGGGGTCTATGGAAATAATTTTAGAAATGCTGTGAGTTAAACAACATTGAACAGATTTTTTTTTTTTTTTTTTTTTTTTTTTTTTTTTTTTTTTTAGGCAGAGTGTCACTCTTGTTGCCCAGGATGGAGTGCAATGGCGCGATCTTGGCTCACCGTAGCATCCACTTCCTGGGTTCAAGCGATTCTCCTGCCTCAGCCTCCCAAGTAGCTGGGATTACAGGCATGCACCACCATGCCTGACTGATTCTGTATTTTTAGTAGATACGGGGTTTCACCATATTGGTCAGGCTGGTCTCAAACTCCTGACCTCAGGTGATCCACCCACCTCGGCCTCCCAAAGTGCTGGGATTACAGGTGTGAGCCACTGTGCCTGGCTGAACAGATTTCTATAGAATTTCTTAGAGCCTTTAATTAAGTACGCTAATGGGTGCCATGAAACTCCAAGAAGGAGAAGATAATCTATAGTTTTTCCCCAACACTGCTTATCTGGCAGACCAACCCTAGGGACCCATGTTCCACAGAACACACTTTGGGAAACCTTGAAAAGGAATATTAGTGATTTCACTACTAACTGTTGATATTATTAATGTTAAGTTCTTTTAGATTTCTTGAAGGCTGATGTTAAAGTCACTATATGGTATAAATTATTATATTTATACCACTCAGCACTGTGTTTGGTTTTTGTCTTTATTCCTAAAAAGATTTTGCCTTTGGAGATAAGCAGTTATATGAAACAGAAGATAAGAATTTAGAAGATATGTAATTCAGCCAAAAGTAGTCCTCAGGAGAGCTTCCATAGGAATACGTGCTTTAGAGAGAAACTAAAGAAAAATGATTTTTGTATTTTCTCTCATATGTGCTAATGGAACAAAACATTCCATCACTGTAAGCTGTGTGGTAACTAAACTCTTCAAGCCAAAGATCATGGACTGGGTGGGGCCCATGGCATAGATCTGGTCCGCAGATAATTTTATTTAGCCTGTATAGTGACTTTTAACATTTGAATTAGTTCCTATTTTAGAATATTGAAGTTTCACTTAAAAATCTGAATTTCTAGCCACTCTTGAAAAATGGAAAAAGTCTGACAATACTTAGGCAAGTGGTAACTACTTGCTGGAGCTGAGAAGTAGTTTACTCCAGTGTGTTACTGCCTGCCTGCTAACCCAAATGTGGCTTGACATTTGCACTACCTGTCTGACCCTATGGTCATTTGAGTTTGTGTGACCCCTACCATAAGGACATGGCATGGCCCAAAAGCTGGTGCTTCCCAAAGGATACTGCAGCCCCTTTTTAAATTTTTATTTTATTTTGAGACAGGGTCTCACTCTGTCACCCAGGCTGGAGTACAGTGGCACGATCTTTGCTCACTGCAACCTCTGCCTCCCAGATTCAAGTGATTATTCTCCTGCCTCAGCTTCCTGAGTAGCTGGGATTACCGGTGCCTGCCACCACGCCCAGCTAACTTTTGTATTTTTAGTAGAGACAGGTTTTACCGTGTTGGCCAAGCTGGTGTCGAACTCCTGACCTCAAATGATCTGCCCACCTTGGCCTCCCAAAGTGCTGGGATTACAGAAATGAGCGACTGCACCTGGCCAGCAACCTTTTTTTAGAGTCACCTTTACCAGAAAATGTGGTCAGGCTGCTCCAGGAAGAAGTGCTGGAATCATGTCAGGATAATTTCAGGGAATCTTCACTATTTCTGGGTGGCATCCTTATACTTGTCCTCAGGATGCTGAGGCTTTTACTGCCCCTATAGTGCCTACTTGACAACATACTGGAAGAATTGTTTCACTCACACACCTTCTTTCTCACACACAGTCACAGAGTTAGCCCTATACAGTTGTTCCTAGGTTTGCATAAGGGATTGGTTCTAGGACCCCCCTCAGATACCAAAATCCATGGATGCTCAAGTCCCTTACATAAAATGACGTAACCTATGTGCATCCTCCCATATACTTTGAATTGTCTCTAGATTACTTATAATACCTAATACAATGTAAATGCTATATAAATAGTCGTTCTACTATAGTTTTAAAATTTGTATTATTGTTACTGTTATTTTTGTTTTAAAATATATTCTAGGCTGGGCATGGTGGCTCACGCCTGTAATCCCAGCACTTTGGGAGGCCGAGGCAGGTAGATCACCTGAGGTCAAGTTTGAGACCAGCCTGGCCAACGTGGTGAAACCCCATCTCTACTAAAAAAAAAAAAAAAAAAAAAAATCAGCCAGGTGTGGTGGCACACTCTAGCTACTCAGGAGGCTGAGGCAGGAAAATTGCTTGAACCTGGGAGGTGGAGGTTTCAGTGGACTGAGATTGTGCCACTGCACTCCAGCCTGGGCGACAGAGCAAGACTCCATCTCAAAAAAAAAAGTTTTCTATTTGAGATTGGCTGACCCTGCCTTGCAGACTCAGAACCCACAGATACGGAGGACCAGTTTTGTATATAGAGAGGAAATTTATTGAATTAGGACAGAATTCTAATTTCATCTATTCTCAAAAATAATTATTAAAGAAACAAAGATAATTAAAAAGTGGTTATTTTATTTATACTCTCCACAAAATATTTGAATTAGCTTATAAAGTATGATATTACAATGAAGTATATATATTATATATATACGCAATATATATATACACAATGAAAAAAAAAAAATATATATATATATATATAAATCAGGACCAGAAAATATATCCAAACAAAGAGTAAGTCCAGAAGGATAGAACATGGATATCAGGACCTGAGGTCTGGAGAAACAGGCCTTGTGTGAGAATGGGCTTAGATTTAAGAGAGAAACCAGAGTGTGAGTGCAACTTTTCATACAGATAGTACCACAATATTATTTTTTGCTTAGTATATAGAGTGTGTTGATATTGTTCTATGTTGATTAATTCTGCATCTATGTTGATTAATTCTGCAGAGGTGACAGCTCTGAGCAACTGTTTTCTGGTGGCAGCTGGGAAATGTAGGTTTCGTGAATAGGGTTAATCAGCACTGTGTCTTGAGCCCTCTTCCTATATTTTTACCTAATCTGCAATGCCAAGAATAAAGGAATGGGTTGTGTGCAATGTGATGAAGTGAGATCGGGGGTTGGGGAGTGGGCAGAAAAGGCAGTAGGCAGTAATGAAAGCTCTCAGCAGGAAGGTTTGAGATCTTTTGCAGAGTTCTTTTGAGCAGTGGTAACCTACAGCTATTGATAAAAGGCTGTATTTCCTGTCTCAATTAATTGAACATGAAAGCAGACCATTGGATACTACACAAGAATAGTTTTCATTTTTAAAATAAAGTGATCTATGATCAAACGCAATTAACATAAAGTGATTGGAATTACCTTACCAGGTCCCGAAGCTGCCTTAACTGCTTTATTAGGAATGAGATTAGAAGAGAGATTATGTGTAGAAAAAGATACATCTCTGTGTGTGTGTGTGTGTGTGTGTGTGTGTGTGTCATTAGAATCTTTGTTCTCACAGTGTCAGGAAATTATTGTGTATTAAATGAAAAAATTAGTAAAAGGCAGTAGGTCCTCATGAAGGCATTTAAAAGTAATGCTTTATGGTATTAGTGAATCTGCCTTTGTAGTAAATGTCAAGGGAATGATAATTTAGTCAAACAGACCAAAATTTACATGGAAAGAACTGCATTTTTTTTTTTTTTGAAAGGGAGTTTCGCTCTACCGCCCAGGCTGGAGTGCAGTGACGTGATCTTGGCACACTGCAAGCTCCGCCTCCCAGGTTCACACCATTCTCCTGCCTCAGCCTCCTGAGTAGCTGGGACCACAGGCGCCCGCTACCACGCCCGGCTAATTTTTCGTATCTTTAGTAGAAACGGGGTTTCACCATGTTAGCCAGGATGGTCTCGATCTCCTGACCTCGTGATCCGCCTGCCTCGGCCTCCCAAAGTGCTGGGATTATAGGCTTGAGCCACAGCGCCCAGCCAGAACTGCATTTTTTTTCATGCAATAAAGGTGGAGCGAATGTCTACATGTGAACAATATTGTAAACAGGTCCAAGTTTTCAGGGTCTGGGGAAGAAATGGAGATTTTGTGATTTTGTGTCTCCTGGCTAACTGGTGAGGGCAACAGTGTCATAAAAGGCGAAAAGTGGCCGGGCACAGTGGCTCGCTCCCGTAATCCCAGCACTTTGGGAGGCCGAGGTGGGCGGATCCCTTGAGGTCAAGAGTTTGAGACCACCCTGGCCAACATGGCGAAGCCCCGTCTCTGCTAAAAATACAAAAATTACCCAGGTGTGGTGGCAGGTGCCGGTAATTCCAACTACTCAGGAGGCTGAGGCACGAGAATCACTTGAACCCAGGAGACGGAGGTTGCAGTGAGCCGAGATCATGCCACTGTACTCCAGCCTGGGCAATAAAGCAACACTCTGTCTCAAATAATAATAATAAAGGCAAAAAGTTAGGTGAGGGTGAAATTTGTAGCAGTCTTAAAGAATGTATAGACTGGCCAGGCGCGGTGGCTCGTGCCTATCATCCTAACACTTTGGGAGGCTGAAGTGGGTAGATCCCCTCAGGTCAAGAGTTTGAGACCAGCTGGCCAACATGGTGAAACCTTGTCTCTACTAAAAATACAAAAATTAACCGGGCATGATGGCGGGCACCTGTAATCCCAGCTACTTGGGAGGCCAAGGCAAGAGAATTCTCTTGAACCTGGGGGGTGGAGGTTGCATGAGCCGAGATTGTGCCACTTCACTCCAGCCTGGGCAAAAAGGGGAAACTCCATCTCCCAAAAAAAAAAAAGTGTAGACTGTTTCTAACTGAGCAATTCCAGTTTTAAAGTTAATTCAAAATGTTTTGAAAGTATAATTGCCACAGGTGCTACCTTTCAAGTGGAAGTACTCCTGGGTATAAGCCAAGCCACATAAGAAATTATCACATATGTTTCTTCGCATTAAGTATTGATTTCTGAGCAAGGGGGAAATGAACAATTCCATTAATACTAAGGAAATGAAAAGTCAACTTTTTTGTTTTCTATCTTAGTCATTCATTGGTGGAGGGGAGGGGGAATGGCATGTTCCTTGAGGACAGATACCAGGTTCCCTTTCTGCACCCAGCCCGCTTCTCAGAGCATATTGGCTACCTGCGTAACTGGTTGGTTTTGAGACCGTGCAAAATTTGCCTTCTGGTGTGGGAGGATGTTTTTGTGTTTTTGTTTTGTTTAAGCTATTCTTTGATAATATGTTTTAAGGTTTTGTATATAAAACCATGTACATAAAGGCTCATGTTTTAAGGTTAAAATTCTAAAGAAATACCTTATTTTTTGCTTGTGATAAAATAGTACAAACTATGGGCACTAAGTCAGAGTCCCAGTTAAGAAAAATGACCAAATAGAAATATGCCATAAAGATTTCTTTTTCTGCTTTTAAAAAAATTTACTTAAACTTTGAAGCTTGCCTTTATTTAACCAGCCTCATTTGTCAAAATCAGATAAATCCAAAAGAGGTAATTCTCTCTCTTTTTTTTTTTTCCTGAGACAGTCTTGCTCTGTCACCAGGCTGCAGTGCAGTGGCGTGATCTCGGCTCACTGCAACCTCTACCTGCTGGGTTCAAGCGATTCTCATGCCTCAGCCTCCTGAGTAGCTGGGACTACAGGCGTGAGCCACTACACCCAGCTAATTTTTGTATTTTCAGTAGAGACAGGGTTTCACCATGTTGGCCAGGCTGATCTCGAACTCCTGACCTTAAGGGATCCACCTGCCTCAGCCTCCCAAAGTGCTGGAATTACAGGTGTGAGCCACCATGCCCAGCCAGAGAGTACTCTTTGTGCTTTATTGTTATCTTTGGTAATTCTATGCTAACTTGCTGCATGTTCGTCTGTATTAAATCATATTGCTGAAAGATATGTTTGAATTTTGGAGGGTGATGAGAATTAAAAAGTCAGACATGGAGAATTTTTAGAAAATACTCCTGATGTACTTTAGATGAACTCTTAAAACAAAGTGGTGTACTGTGACACGTTGTAAACAGTCTCTATCATGTGTTAAGATGAATCTGATTCAAAATGCAGACTCTGTCTCTAAAAGCCTGCCTTAAAATAAAAAAACCACAGGCAGAGGTGGTTTCTGATGGTTTCATGGTATATGTCATATGTCTAGAGTGCTGAGTACAGTACCTGTAAGTAGATTCCCCAAGAGTTCTATTGAAAGGTACTTAATGCAGATTACGTTAACTAATTAACTGGATTTTGTTTGGGTCATGTTCATTGTGAAATGCACAAATCAGTGGGTTTGTCTTTAGTCATCTTATTCTCATTTGGGGTTGATGGAAATGAAGTAAGGACCAAGTAAACAACTTTTTTTCAGGTGCAAATTCGACCATGGAACCTAAGTGACAGTGACTTTGTAATGGATGGTTCTCAGCCTTTGGACCCCAGAAAAACTATCTTTGTTGGGGGAGTTCCACGACCCCTTCGAGCTGGTGAGTGGAAATAGTAATACCACAACAACAAAACCAACAACAACAAAATCCCCAATGCCTTTAGTCTTAAATATTTTCTAGGTTTCCAGTCAGCTATACATAGTCTCCAAAAAGAAGGCTGTCATCATTTTCACTGAGCTTTTTCAGGATTAAAGGTTTTCTCCCAAAATGCTCTATTTTGTTATGGTGCAAAAGTGAATTTCATTAAACAGTTATGTTGACAAAATGAATTCTATTTAGTGCTTTCCTATTTAATTGCTTATATAAAAAATAATAACACATTTGGCAATGTGCATTCTTATGCCAGTCAGCATTGTTATGTATGACAGAAATCTTTTTTAAAGCTTCCCTGTTGGTTTTTTTTTTTAAGTTCCTTTCCAGTGATGAAATAATTGTGCTGCTGGATTTGAGCAGAATCATAATTGACTGGAGAGTTTGAAGTGTTGTTGAACTGATGGCTTCAATACATATTTAAATCCAAAGACAAATCCAATCAGCTGTACATCAGCCTCCTAATAACCACTATTAATGCCAGTGGAGTATAACAAAATCATTTCTAAGATCTAAGTTTTTGAAGCACTTAGAATAATTAAGTTTATTTTTTTAAAGTAAGACAAAAAAAGTTACTGTTGCCACTGTGAAAGTACATTTCTTTTGTGTTATTTATATGCACATAGACTTAGTTCTACCTAAAATTAAAACAAAAAGCAGAGATCATTAAAATCATGTTGTGAAATGGAATTATAAAATGTAACCTAACGTTATTTAGCTGTATTACTTTCAAAACTTAATTCTGAAAGTTCCTCAACATTTGTAACATACTCATCCAAATCCCAACTCCAGCCTACACCTAAAAGATAACTTTAGACCTATATAAAGACACTCATAATTTCATTTTGAAGAACTTTTAAACATATTTGTTCTGATTGGGTCTTATTTTCTTCATTCGAATGGAAAACTGTCAAATGAAAGATAGAAAGCAAAACAGCAGAGATGCTCCCCTTTTATCTGCAGTCGGAGAATAAAGTCTAAGAAGGGCTAATTCAAACGTGAAAAGCATTATGAGATGGGGGCAAATGCAGCCCTTTGTAAACTGTGCTTTAAAAAAAATGGTGGAGGTGTTGTGAAATATTTCTGACTTTTTCTAACTAGTGTTATATTTAGGAGTGGAGAGGGACAGAAATCCTTTTCCTTATTTTACAAATGGACAATCATTGCTAGTATTCTAGCTATTCCTTTTGCAACTAACTGCAAGCACAAATTAGTTTTTTTGTTTGTTTGTTTGTTTGAGATGGAGTCTCGCTCTGTTGCCCAGGCTGGAGTGCAGTGGCATGATCTCGGCTCACTGCAACCTCCGCCTCCTGGGTTCAAGTGATTCTCCAGCCTCAGTCCCCCAAGTAGTTGGGACTACAGGTGTGTGCCACCACACCTGGCTAATTTTTGTATTTCTAGTAGAAACAGGGTTTTGCCATGTTGGCCAGGTTGGTCTTGAACTCCTGACCTCAGGTGATCCACCCACCTCAGCCTCCCAAAGTAGTTGGGATTACAGGCGTGAGCCACCACGCCCAGCCACAAATTAGTTTTTATGTTCTAGCCCCTTTCCTTTTTTTCCTAGATAGGAATCTGAAAAAATATTCTGAAAAAGCCCTATAGTTATAAAAATAACAGAATTGGCTGTAACTTCTTATGTCTATCTAAGTCACAGACATACAAGTTTATACATTAAACTTCAATTTGTATTATTCACTCTTTATTCTTCCTGTTTTAATGATTTGGAAGGATAGGTAAGGGCCTATGTATCATTTTTCTTCTGTAAATCCTGTGAAGATACCTTTTCCAAAAGGTTGCTGTATGATCACACCAACACTGCAAGAAGTGAACCCCTGGGCATGAAATTATATTCTTTAACATTTGGTATCTGCAAGATGCCACAAATTCTAGGATTAAACAAGAATTATATTTAGTTGTCTAGTAAGAAATGGGATTTTGTGTTCCCTGACTAGATACTATATTATACCTTTCATAATTTGAAGTTCCTTTTTTTTTTGAGACGGAGTCTCACTCTGTCACCTGGGCTGGAGTGCAATGGCCCGATCTCAGCTCACTGCAACCTCCACCTCCCGGGTTCAAGAGATTCTCCTGCCTCAGCTTCACGAGTAGTTGGGACTACAGGCGCACACCACCATGCCTGGCTGTTTTGTATTTTTGGTAGAGACAGTGTTTCACCATGTTGGCCAGGCTGGTTTCAAACTCCTGACCTCATGATTCACCCGCCTCGGCCTCCCAAAGTGCTGGGATTACAGGTGTGAGCCACCGTGCCCAGCCGAAGTTCTCTTTTTTTTCAACTAAGCTAAAATTTTTTGTTTTAAAATGTTTTGTTTTTATAGTTATGTGGATAGTAATCTAAAATCACTTGAATTATTGATAGGGTTCCTCCCATGCCAACACTTCCCTTAAGCATAGCTAGTTTCTAGGTGGCAAAGTAATCTATATTATTGTCTTAGAATTTTACCATTCATCCCAAGACTTCTAGTTTAGAGGGCCATGTTATCAAGACAAAAAGTTAACATCTGCAACTTTTATGTATAATCCTAGGGATTGGGTTTCTTTGAAACACACTGAGCTTTGGGAACTGATGTATACCTTGGAATAGAAGACGTTTTTTAAAGGAATTCATTGTGACTTTGCTAGACAAGCTGAAGTTGAATACAGTACAGTTCACTTGAATGATAAACATTTATTGAGCATCTACTGTATTACTGGCACTGAGAAAATATGTGTCATGCAAAACTGAATATCCCACTATCATGTTAAAGAGGTAATCATTTACAGACAGTCAAAAGATTTCAGAAGAAAACAAATGTGTTTATAGAATGTGAACTCAGAATTAACTGGAGACCAGATTATATTCTTTAACATGATTTTCAAATTTGGTTTTGAAATGCTTTAGAGCATTTTTTATTATTTCCAAGGGATATTCTAGTTATGGAATTTTGGAAAGTCTAAAACTATTTTAAGCATTTTATGTAGACTGATCCTGGACTAGATATGGGTGTCCCTACTCAACAGGTGTGATTTTAGATGTCCAGGTGGATTTTTACCTTATTCAGGGCCAAAAAGTATCCCTTAATATGTCACAGTGACTAAAATGTTATCACTGAAGTGTTATTCCTTTGGATCTTGTGAGTTTTTTTTTTTTAATCTTTGATATTTCCTCATTGTAAGACAAGGACCAATATCACTGATAGTTATTCTGAATACAGGCCTTATCCCTTTAAACAGAAATATACAAACACCTCTTAAAGAAAAAAGGCAACCTATTTTAAGCAGTATTGTCCTGAGTTTCTGGTTCTTTGATAAACCTTCCTTTTAAAAACTCAGGTTGGACCAGCCTGGGCAACATGGTGAAACCCTGTCTCTACAATAAATACAAAAATTAGCCAGGCATGATGGCACACTCCTGTAGTTCCAGCTACTTGGGGGGCTGAGGCAGGAGAACCACTTGAGCCCAGGGAGCTCGGGGCTGCAGTGAGCTGAGATTGCATCAGTGCACTCCAGCCTGGGTGACAGTAAGACCTTATCTCAAAAAAAAAAAAAAAAAAAATTAGGTTGGAAAAAAATCACAGTCCTAGAAAGGAAAAGAAAAGCAAAGCTGAAAATGGGAAAATATCAGTGGAAAATTTAGATGAGCTTACTCATTGCCTGATTGTGGGTTTTTCTATGTCAAATAATACACATTATTACTGTCTCTTCCTTTCATCATTCCCATCGGTGACAATAGCAAGCCAACGATGGTTTGCCTGAAGTCTCCTGGTGTTTATCAGATCTTGTTTTCTTTCTACTCCCCACCTCACCCTGCCCTCACATTAGGAAAGCCTGTAAGTAGACTCACCGTGCCACCATGTGGCTAAAGCTCGCATATTCTTTAGAGTCAGTACAGGGTAATAATGGGCAGTTTGATTCTCCTCCTGCTGCCACCTGGAAGTACAACACGTTGCCACTCTGCTTCATTCACGTAATGTGAATCTCCATACAGAAATAGCCCTGTTGCATATCTCTGTGGCATTAGGACCTCTCCAGAATGCATATCTCTTCACTCTGACAGAAAATAAGTGCCAGACTTGGGGGTTATGATATCACCAGGAAAAAGTAGAGAGTGAGGTATGTGGTCTCTGTACTCTTCCCCAGTTGATTAACATGAGTATTCCTCTGATCCCAAATTTCTTGGTTTTGGCATCTGATGGGAGGACTGCCCCAGTGACCAAGCTTTTGGATCCATTCATTCCCAACCTTGATCAGGCTGGAAAAACTTTCAGTCTTTCTCATTAGAAGCATATAAACTGTTCTTGACTTCATGACTTCCTTAGGCCCTGCAAACAGATCAATCTTGAGAGAGTGCTCATCTGAATCCCCACAACCTACTGTTTTCTCGTTCATCTTTTGGTTCTATCTTTCCTAACAATTGCTGTGATAATTCCTTCCTTTCTTTTTTTCCCCTACCAATATTCTGTGGTGAATCCTGAAATTTCTTTCTCTGCCTTCCCCACCTGCCCTGACTGTTGTGAGGATGGTTTTTCTGTGGGAGGTAAAAATTTGTGAAGTAAATATTCAGAGATATGTGGCATATATCTAGAGAACATATATCCTGAATTTTTCTAAGATCATTTATTTCAGACATTTTATATAAACATTTGATAGTTCACATGTATTAGAAACCATGTCCTGATTTGTGACTTAGGAAACAGGAGTATATTATAACCCTATCCTTTATTGTTGTTTTATGATATGGTTGCAGGCAGAAACCATCCTGTATCAAGTTTTTCAACAGTAGAAGCTTTTTCACCATGTCCTAAGTTCAGTATGGGTTGTCCCGGATAAACTCCAGATTTGGCATACTGACTTGATTAACTGTATTACCTTTAGGGATAAGGGTTTTCCTAATGTTAGTATGTGTTTGTGTCCTCCCTCTGCACCAAAAGCAAACCCTCATCCAAAGCTGATGTCAAACTTTGCCATATCAGTGGCAGGCTGTGTGATATTAGCATAAAACCAAAATAACACTGCAATGAATTGATACTTATAGAGCATAAAACCAGGCCAACTTAAATGTTAAGCAGAGATTCACAGGGTGGGAGAGGGGCAAGAACCCTGGACAAAACTAAACATTTGAATACCACTCTGTCCTCAGCAGTGTGCCCAGAGCTCTCATGGATGTTTAATTCTCACAATGACCCTGTGAGATTGTAAGTGGTAGACTGCGCTTTCGAGATGATGAAGCAGAGTTCAGATAGAGTAACTGGTCTTTCTCAGGTCGAAAGAAAGATACTTTATTAAGCTGAGATCTGAGATGTTGTCTCAGTAACAGTAGTAACAGTCTACTTGGTACCAGTGTACTCTGTCTGATTTAATTCATTGTTCATACCATCTATTTGAAAATATTCTTAACTTCCCAACATATCTGATGCAGAGCAGAAGCTTATGAGCACATTTCTTCCACTTGAAGTGTGTGAATTGCCCTTGAACCAACTTGACAATTGTGGTAAACCTAGAAAGTCCTCCTCAAGTTTAATCTTCCTTTCTTTCAGAAGTCAAGACCTCTTTGATATCTTAAGGTGCCCTATGCCTCTTGCCTATCTGTTTTGTCCTTATTTCCAAAGAGAAGAAATATGGATTATAGATTCGCAGTTTAGAATCTGTAGAGACGAATGTGTTATTTTCCTCTGGAATCCTCATTTCTACTCTATCTCGTTTGGCTCTCCAGTATCTCAGACTCACATGTTGCCTTAGCTGGCTTTGAAATGTATTATAATTAAATGATATAAATAGGGCCCTAAGGTGAACCCATGAAGAAGGAGTCATCATGGGTTTCCTCTCTGGTGAACTAAAGACCCTTTCACATCTTTGTAAAGAATTGGGAGCAGGCCAAGCACGGTGGCTCACGCCTGTAATCCCAGCACTTTGGGAGGCCAAGGCAGGTGGATTACCTGATGTCAGGAGTTCAAGACCAGCCTGGCCAATATGGCAAAACCCCATCTCTACTAAAAATATAAAAATGAGTTGGGCGTGGTGACTGCACTCCTATAATCCCAGCTACTTGGGAGGCGGAGGCAGGAGAATCGCTTGAACCCTGGAGGCGGAGGTTGCAGTGAGCCGAGATCGTGTCACTGCACTCCAGCCTGAGCGATAGAGCGAGATTCCATCTCAAAAAAAGAAAAAGAAAAAAGAAAAAAGAATCAGGAGCAAATCCAAGGAACCATAATTGAAGCTTATATTCAGATTCAGAGATGTAGTCATCACAATCCAAAGGAATCCATGGGGATGCTATGCTCCATATTGCTGCAGTATTCTAGTTTGCCCCTCCAGTCTGTGGCACAGTGACGCTCATCACAAGAGCCAGCATGTGGATTAGACTCATTGTGTTGCTGCTACCATGGAAGTTGTTCATGAGACAACTTAAGTTGTCTTAGGATCACAGAGCATCTTGTCCAAAGTATGGTATACCCTTGAACCATAGCTATTAGACCGCCATCTTCCCACCATGACCAGACAGACCAATGAGCACTGTCTGGATGGGAAAGAAAATAAAAAGTAGTTTGGAAAGTCTCGACTTCCTCGTGAACTATATACCTATTTTCACCTCTGTGTGAACTCTGGATTCCTTCGCCTCTATGCCCTGCTCTGCTACCCTCATTTTCCTCAGGTTAAATGTTAAGAACATCCTCCTGGGAGCTACTTTGTCTCTGCCCTCTGCAGAGGATGGTTTCAAATGAGGACTAGAAATTCTGTTTAGTACTTAAATGAGTTCATTTAAGTATGCTTAATAAAGTATGCTGAATGAAGACTCACTGGTTGAGCAAAAGACCAAATATGAACAGCAGTTGTTTGACTATTGTTTACTTCCCTTCAAGGGTGGTCATAGTATTAGACTTTCTGTAGTTAAAATACAGATGAGGCCGGGCACGGTGGCTCACACCTGTAATCTCAGCACTTTGGGAGGCCGAGGCAGGCGGATCATGAGGTCAGGAGATCGAGACCATCCTGACTAACACGGTGAAACCCAGTCTCTACTAAAAATACAAAAAATTAGCCAGGCGTGGTGGCGGGCGCCTGTAGTCCCAGCTGCTCGGGAGGCTGAGGCAGAAGAATGGTGTGAACCCAGGAGGCAGAGCTTGCAGTGAGCCAAGATTGCACCACTGCACTCCAGCCTGGGCAACAGAGTGAGACTCCGTCTCAAAAATAAGTAAATAAATAAATAAATAATAAAATACAGATGAGGGTAGAGAGGGAGATGGGAAATTTTCATACTCTTCTCCCAAAAACCTCTTCTTAAGTCACCTTGGTTTCTTCTAGCTTCTCAACAAATTGCCCTTCACTTAAGTGAGACCTAATCAACTCAAATGTCTGCAGACTTTTTGGTGGCCAAAAAAGCAACTACATATAAGTTCATAAATGGAAATTATTTATTTATAATTGGTTGTCATAAGAGCATAAGCAGATGAGGGTTTCTGTTTCCTATCAAAAGTACTTAACTGCCAGCAACATCAGTCACGATCTAATCCTTGGAATGTGCAGATGATTTCAAGCAGATAGATTCACAAAGTAATGGAATGTTTGTGCTTCTCTGGCATCAGGAGATCCTGAAGATTTTTTTTTTTTTTTTTTTTTGAGACAGAGTCTTGCTCTTTCGCCTGTGCTGGAGTGCAGTGGCGTGATCTCGGCTCACTGCAAGGTCCAGCTCCCAGGTTCATGCCATTCTCTTCCCTCAGCCTCCCGGCGTCTGCCACCACGCCCGGCTAATTTTTTGTATTTTAGTAGAGACGGGGTTTCACCGTGTTAGCCAGGATGGTCTCCATCTCCTGACCTCAAGATCCGCCCACCTTGGCCTCCCAAAGTGCTGGGATTATAGCCGTGAGCCACCGTGCCCGGCGATCCTGAAGATTTTTTGGAGACCACTGTGGTGTAGAAAAATCTGTGGTTACAGTAACTCTCCTGCTTAGCTGGAGTTTCAAGCTTACCACTCATGTGCCTTCTTTCTAAATCAGGCACTTTATTGAGTCCTTCCTATCGTGGAAGACAAGTGCCATTCAATTCCTTGCCAGCATTCTTTTCCTGGCCATTCACCAGGCTTAGAGATTGTTCCCTCTCTTATTTCACTACAGAGGAAGCCTTGTCTTTTGAAAATTAGTATTTAATTTACAGGGTCCTGAGGTTACTTATTTCATTAAACCCATTCAACCAATAAGGGAAATTCATTAATGACTGCAATTAACAATTAATTTTGCCTTCAGTTTCTTGATCTCTGTTACTGCAGTAACATTAGCCGTATGAGGAGATTCTCAAACCATCAGAGGTTGTTGGGATGAAGTATAAGGACCTCTAATATTTAGGGTTATGCACACAATTCCTGTTACATTGTTTGAATGAATGTGATTCCTGGATCCTGCCCCAAGACTGCAGTCAGCATCAACTTGGCTTTAACGGACAATTCTCCCTTGGCTGATATGGCTTAGTAATTCTGACCATAGTGGTATAATTGAGATAACTTTTTGCTGCTCTGTCTTTAATAGCACTTACTCTTAGGCTTACTTATTACTAGCTTATTTTCTCACCTTCTGAAAATTACTAGTTGGTTGTAGGTTGTCCTTCCTGTTAAAAATAGGCACTTAGAAAACAGTCACCAATAGGCAATCTGGTATGTAAAGAACTTTTGGAGAAGTGTAAACATAGCCTCTCTGATGTAGCAACACAGTTTTTCTTACTGCCTCAGCAGTTTCATAGTACAGAAACCAGTAATGCTTGGCTTTCCTTTTGTTCATAGACATCTAGTGGAGTTCTTATACTATTCAGCCCTTCACCCTTTGTACATTCTGCAGAACTCTTCTCCTAGAAGAGAAGAGTTGTGCTGCTCTCCATCTCCCCAGATACTGATTCCTGTGGAGATCTACTATGTGATGATCTTTGCACATTGGCTGTGGCCCAGGTCATTGTCTGTCTTCCCTGTCTTCTCCTTTCCAAATACTATATATAGGTGTTGAAACAGGTTCTTGGGTCACTTCCCAGGGGTAGTGCTGAGTCTTTTGGACTTATATTATGTGAGTAGCCTAAAAGGAATGGTCATACCTGGAGAAGGTGCTGTCCACTATCAAGTAAACAATTACCTTCAGACAATCTGGTATGCAGGTAAGTGCTACATGTTTTTCTAATGGTACCTTTATTGTTTTGTAACTATACCAATATAAAGGCATACTTAGGCCAGGCATGGTGGCTCATGCCTGTAATCCCAGCACTTTGGGAGGCCAAGGCTGGAGGATCACTTGAGGTCAGGAGTTCAAGACCAGCCTGGCCAACATGGTGAAACCCCATCTCTACTAAAAATACAAAAAATTAGCCAAGTGTGGTGGTGCATGCCTGTAATCCCAGCTACTCGGGAGGCTGAGGCAGGAGAATCACTTGAACCGGGGAGGTTGTAGTGAGCTGAGATCACACCACTGCACTCCAGCCTGGGCAACAGAGCGAGACTCTGTCTCAGTAAACAAACAAACAAACAAACAAACAAACAAACAAAGGCATATTTAGAAGAAATGTGACAAGGAGTACAGGCCAGACCTCTGGATCTGTAGCAAGGTACAACATGGGTATGTTTTTACTATTTGTGTGGCACCTTAGTGCTCTGTGGTAGGTTGTAAGTGCTCAGTAAATGTTTATTGTGGCTATTATCATTACTAGTATTATTTAGAATTCAATGGGAAAGGTTAGTATGGAGAGTTCACAGTTGGGTTAGAATATACTCTAAAATCTTTATTTTTTTAAATTGTGGAGATTTACTTTAAGGCTATAAACAAATTGTCTCTAGTTAAAACAAGCAGTTAGTTAATCCTTTCTATAGCTTAGTCCTAATATAGTAGTGTGACACTAGTAATTGCTTTTAGTCTTAGAGGTTAGTAAGTAGGACTGTTTCTTATTAACTTGTTAGGGCAGCATGAAATGCCTTGCCTACCCAGGGTGCATTCCATTGGACTAAGCAATTAGAAATTAGAACAGGATTACTGGTAGTTCATTTCTTCTATACTACTGCTAAAGTTCTGATTATATAAATTCTTGTGTGTATGTTGTAAATTCCTAATTTTTTTTCCATTTTATTTCAAAACACCCAGTGAGGACCTTCCCTACTTGAGTTGTAAGACTGGTGTGGACATTCTTCATGATACTTAACATGGGTTTTCCTTTTCTTAATTACATTGCATGATCTCTAAATAATTCTTCCTTCTCCTGGGCAAGAGTACCTCCCAGATATTTATACACATCCATGTTTTGTTTTTTTTTTGCAGTTGAACTGGCAATGATCATGGACCGTTTGTACGGTGGTGTCTGCTATGCTGGCATTGATACGGACCCAGAGCTGAAGTACCCCAAAGGTGCTGGCCGCGTGGCATTCTCCAATCAGCAGAGTTACATTGCAGCCATCAGCGCTCGTTTTGTGCAGCTTCAGCACAATGACATTGACAAACGGGTAAGCACCTACTTAGGGTGAAACTGCTATGGGAGAGAAAAGAAGTTTGTTCTGTAGTTTCCTGGGAAGAAAGGCACCTTATGATCATAAGTGACCAGCTCTACCTTGCATGGCATTAGTCCATGAATTCATCTAGGCTGCCTGAAAAAGAGAGCACTGTTGATATTTAAGGCATTAAGGAATCTTCTGCCTCACCCATCCCCAGAGTGATGTTACACTTATGAAAATAATCCTGCAAAATTTAGCATACCAAACTAGTGCTGTTCAGAAGATGACACTGACAGTATGTTAGCAGAGGTGGAGAGCTAGTGACCTGCTTGACCTACACAGTGCTCTTAAACAACAAAGAAACTTAGATTAACATTTAAACATTCAGGAGTATGTATGAGATGTTGAACTTCTGGTTTGAAAATTGCCAAATGACCGGGCGCGGTGGCTCACACCTGTAATCCCAGCACTCTGGGAGGCCGAGGCGGGTGGATCATGAATCAGGAGATCGAGACCAAACCATCCTGGCTAACACGGTGAAACCCCGTCTCTACTAAAAACACAAAAAAAATTAGCTGGGAGTAGTGGCAGACACCTGTAGTCCCAGCTACTCAGGAGGCTGAGGCAGGAGAATGGCGTGAACCTGGGAGGTGGAGCTTGGAGTGAGCCGAGATCGTGCTACTGCACTCCAGCCTGGGCGACAGAGCGAGGCTCCGTCTAAAAAAAAAAAAAGAAAATTGCAAGATCATACATTGTGGCAATCATTGGAGTCAAATAGCTGCTTTTCCCTTCAGTCTCCTCTTCAACTCATTCTGTTTCTCCTGCTTCCACCATATATGCACATGCCTTACCTGCCACACTGTTCATTGGTGTTACCTGCCTGCCCTCTAGAGACATTAAGAGTGCTACCTCTGATGTAAAGAGGGGGCATGAAGTAGAGTTTTAGGCAGTTGGTGTACTTAATAGTTTTGCAGATTGGCATGAGTTTAAATTCCTTGAATCCCAGCTTTGCCACTGTTTGCAATCTTAGGGGTATGGAAGGCAGTAAGAGCCAATCTGGACCCTGTATTAATAAATGAAAAGAGCATGTAGGAGAATAGCACCAAGTCTTTTTTTTTTTTTTTTGAGACGGAGTCTTGCTCAGTCACCCAGGCTGGAGTGCAGTGGCGCAATCTTGGCTCACTGCAACCTCCGCCTCCCGGGTTCACGCCATTCTCCTGCCTCAGCCTCCCGAGTAACTGGGACTACAGACGCCCGCCATGATGCCCGGCTAATTTTTTTTTTTTTGTATTTTTAGTAGAGACGGGGTTTCACCATGTTAGCCAGGATGGTCTCGATCTCCTGACCTCGTGATCCACCTGCCTCGGCCTCCCAAAGTGCTGGGATTACAGGCATGAGCCACCGCGCCTGGCCGAGCACCAAGTCTTGAACACCTGCCTGTGCAACTGTGCAGTGACTATTAATTCTTCTAGTAAAGAATGTTCTTGGGGCATCACTGGACTATAATTAATAAAGTAGTAAATCTGTTCTATATGAAGTTTCACTAAATATCCTCTACAGTCAACTTTGACTAATTTTGTGTAGCAGGCAAGTTTCTTAGGTAAAAATTTTAACTGGTGATGGATTTTTCATATTCAGGATTATATTTTGTTAAGACATGTATCCGATCAAAAACTACAAGAGCCAGGGCTTAGAATAAATATTCTATTTGCTACTTCACTGAGCTTCTTAAGAGTAAGTGGTAGTGGTTTGCTTTTTAATTAAAATGAATAAAATAATTTAGAATTTTGAAACATTCTTTAAATTCATGGAGATTCAAAAGTGTAATAAAGATTCAACTCCATTCCTGGTTTTTAAGTACCCATAGCAATCTGAGCATGGGTACCAAACTGAACTCCATGCATTTTTAAGTATCCATAGCAATCTGAGCATGCCCTTTTGTAACTGTAAACCCCCACAAGACTGTAAGCTCCACAAAGATGGGCATGCTGTCTCATTCTCTGCCTGATCTCCAGTATTTACCCATTGCTCGATTTAGTCATTGATGCTTGATAAACCTTTGTTGAATTAACACATGGTGCTACTTGGAGGGTTCTTTTAACTTCTGCTGCTGTTGCTGGTAGACGTGCTTGTGCCTGTACATTTGCGAGTCATATACCAGATTCCATTACATCGAGACCTCTATCGCAACCATCACTGGCGAACCTAGGCAATGAACTTAACCTGAAGAGCTTTGGGTTCTTATTTATATGGAAGTAGCTTTCTTTTTTCTCCTCTAAAGCCAGAACTAGTGACTGTACAGGAAGTAGGTCCTGGAAATAATAAAACCTGGAGGAGGCCTCCATTTCTCCATGTTTCTACCTTCCCTTTGCCTCCATTCTACGGACCTCCTGGCCTATTTCTTAGTAGAGGGAGATATGCTTGCCCCAGGGATTTATAGTAGTCATTGAGCCCCTGTAAGAATCATAATAAATTCAGATATATTTGTTTTGTTGCCTACCGCTATTCTCACAGCTACTGCGAGGCTCAGGTCCTCAGTATTTCTTCCCACAAGATTAGAACTAAGTTAAAAAGGAGAGAAATGGCTTTGCTTTTGTTAGCATGATTGTAGAACATGCTATGAAAATGTGTTTGGAACATCAGACTTCTCAGGGCTCAGGAAAGCCATTGACTTTTCTGCTTGCTATAATTGGGTTAACCATATACTGTTTATATCTCAGAGTAGTCCTTGGTAAACATTTAAGGTAGCAGCCAGTTGTAGTGGAAAGAGTAGGGAATTTGGAGCAAGAACAGATTCCAATACATTTAAACCTTTGCTGCTTCAATCAGTCACTGTCAAGTCCAAGCAAGTTACTTAAGGCCAGAAGCCTCAGGTCCTCATCTGTAACTCCTTCCTGGGGATGGTCTGAAGATTAAATGAAATTTTACTTCTCTTAAGGCAGGTCGAAAGGTATTTAACCAGCAAGTATTCATCTTGCTACAAATGTACTTAATATTTATTTTTGTTAATATTATATAGCTTGAGTTTTAAAAGTTGCTCTGTTGAAGAAGTAGCAAAAAGGTACACTGGTTAGTGAAAACAGCACTGGTCCCGAGTCAGATGGCCTGGGTCTAGATCTGGTCTTGTTCTCCTTGGGGTTATATGACCTTGGGCGGGTCACTTAAATTCTGAGCTTCGGTGTACAGTGAAGGCAATAGTAATAGCCTTGGGCATCCCATGAGATTGGTGAGAAGCCTGGAAGAGAGATTATTCAAGAAAGCAGTATGTACACTGTGTATGTGTATGGTGGGACTGTTGCAGTGGGCACAAGAATGCTACTTCCATGTGATATTGGAAAAGGACCCAACAGTTTCTTCAGTGCCCTGGGGTGAGAGTCATCTGAGTGGGAATACTGGAAGTCATTGAAAGTGGCAAAGTCCCTACTCTCCCTTTTTCCCCTCAGGGACCAGCTCCATCTTCTTCGTTTGCCCTGACCAATATGGAGATCTTTTCCCCTCCCCTTCACTCCCCTCCCCTCTCCTCCCATTTTCTTCCCCTCCTCTCCCCTCCCTTCTCCTCCCATCCTCTCTCCTCTTCTTCCCTTTTCTTCTCTTTTTGTGACAGGGTCTCACCCTGTCACCCAGGCTGGAGTGCAGCTTCAACCTCCTGGGCTCAAGTGATTTTCCCACCTCAACCACTCCAATAGCTGGGATCACAGGTGCATACCACCATGCATGGCTAATTTTTTTGTATTTTTGGTAGAAATAAGGTTTCACCATATTGCCCAGGCTGGGCTCAAATTCCTGGGCTTAAGTGATCTACCTGCCTCAGCCTCCCAAAGTGCTGGAATTACAGGCTTGAACCACTGTGCTCGGCCCAACATCCTTTCTTTATTATGAGAGACGCAAGCCAACTTCCATCTTGAGTTGGGCTCTTTTTCACTGTTCATCTGTGAACATTACATTCCCTTCCCCAGAACTGTTACTCTGTCCCCTTCGTTTTCTTCTTGCTTAGAATATAGCCAGTAGTACTTTATTTTATTGCCTCTGGCATTTTGAGCTTCTGTTAACTACACCTTTCATAGGTACATTTTTAGGTTCATTCATGGTTTTATTTTTATTCATCTTTCTCCTAAAGCTTACATTTAAGCTTTCCAGAGAGCTCCCATTTCATATAAGCACTTTTGTATTTCCTTAGGTAATGCCCTTTTTCTTTTTCAGAAAAAATGATCATCCATGATTGTCTACAGAGAATTTCTATCACTAGGCAAACCTTGTTTCCTGAATAACCTCTCCAAGTTTTTAGTAGTAGTCTCATATCTCATAGAAAGGTTCTGAAACTTGCAGTGCTAAAAGTCAGGAGCACATGTCCACCTGTGTAAACAGTCCCTTTTCCTTGCTATTACAGATTCCAAGGTGCCACAGTCATTTCCTTCCTCCCTCCCTTCTTCCTTCCTTCCTCTTCCTTCCTTTCCCTTCCCCCTTTCCTCCTCCTCCTTTCTTCTCTCTCTTTCTTTCCTCCTCCTCCTCTTTCTCCCCTCCTCCTCCTCTTTCTCCTTCTTTTTCTTCCTTCCTCCTTCTTCTTCCTTCTTCTACTTTGAAACCTTTATTTACTTTCCCATATCAACAAACATGAGTAGGCCAGGCACAGTGGCTCATGTGTATAATCCAAGCATTTTGGGAGGCCAAAGTGGGAGGAGCACTTGAGCCCAGAAGTTCGAGACCAACCTGGGCAACATACGGAGACCCCATCTCTACACACACAGAGTTTTTTTAAATTAGCCAAGTATGGTGGCACATGCCTGTGTGATTCCAGCTATAGGGAGAGGCTGAGGAGGGAGGATTGCTTGAGCCCAAGAGGTCAAAGCTACAATGAGCTTTGATCATGCCACTGTACTCCAGCCTGGGCAACAGAACAAGACCTTGTCTCAAAAAAATAATAATAATAAATCATGGATTATTATGTGATGATTATGTAGTGGCTAAGTCTTATATCTCCTCAGGAAAATACAGTACTATTGAGTGCTGTGGACTCTATAGAGAACTTCAGTCTTTGGTCATAGCATTCATCTCCTTCCTTCTGATGGGAGCCCAGAGTTGGCTTTAAACCAATACCTTGACTATTTTAAGTAGCATCAACCTTTATTACCTTTTTACTCAAAGCATCTCCTTTGCTGTCTGCATCATTATAAATATAGATGCAGTGAATTTTTAAAACTAGAGATGGCATTTAAGGGTCACTTACTTCCTGTTTGCAGCCCTTATCCCTTAAGGAGAGTGGGAGTGGGCCACCTGCAGAGCAGCAATGCCTGACCATCAAGTGAGACAATTCATTAAGTGTTGGAACAATGAAAGCAGTAGGGCCATATGAGGTGTGTCCCCTCAGGTTGCAACTTTCTTGTGTACAGTGTGGAAGGTACATGAAGAAGAAATTAACTGGTATATCTCCTTTATCTCTTTTATATCCAACCAACTTTTTCCAAAAAAGATATCTCTTTTGAGAGTTTATATGTTTATTATTGTTGTTGTTGATCTTTGGCGAAGCTTTTATATGGAGTGTTTCATGGGAGAAATACAAGCTTTATAGATTTGATTTCTTCTCACCATCTTAGAGACTTTTTGGCTTGCTTGTGAATAGAAAATATGTCAGTAGGCAACATTTATATTATTTAATTTATCTTTGTTATCCTGTAGATTTGGTACTTTTATCTCTGCTGTCATTTCACTCATCCATAATCTCATGGTCTTTAAGGAAGAGGTGTTTTTGTTGTTGTTTGTAACAGCTTTATTGAGCTGTTTTATGCTATTCACATAGCATACAATTCACCCAGTTAAAGTGTACAATTACATGTTTTTTCGTATATTTACATAACTGTGTAGCCATCACTATCTGTTTTAGAACACAGAGGTATTTTTTTAATCATCCCGTATTTCATGTCTTAAGAAACATAGAGGTGTTTTAATGTACAGCCTTTAAGTCTGCAATAAGATCAACTGCATAATAACAATAGCGGAATGGTGGTAGGGGATACACTTTATTCTCTGTAATTATTCAGCTCATAATATAGAGAGGATCCTACTTATTTAACCTGTGCTCTTCAAAGTTACAGGAACAAAGTAGCCCAGGCTCTTGGGGGAAACTTCTGAACCCTGCTATTACTGTGATTAGAGTCCCTCTTGTTGGAGTAAGTTGATAAATCTACACATCAGCAACGTTTTGCTGTGGCATGTCCAGCCACGGGAGGACTAAGAGAAGTGGAAGAGGCTTCTTCTACTAGGAGTTCCTCACAGAGCTGCTATGATCTTAATTCTGTCACTTTTGCTCAGGAGTCTGAATGGAAGTGCTTGGCACACAGCAGGCACTCACTAATGTGCAGAATCAAGTAGGAGGATATATAGGAGGGTAAGGACTGGAAGCAGCCATGGAAGCCTGGATACTAGACATCTAGAGTCATCTCTCAACTGGACATCTAGCATATCTTCCCCTATGGCTCCCCAATTCACTTTTATCCCATCTCCAAGTCATTTTTTACACAGCAACGAGAGCGAGCTTTTTATACTCATAATTTAATCATGTCTTTTCACTCCTTTAAACCTTTTGATTATGTTCCACTGCCCTTGGGATAAAGGTCAAAGTCCTTAAAATTGCCTAAATGACCCTTCATGTACTATGTACTTCTGCCTTACCACTCACTTCTCCCTTCCTTATCTTGAGCCAGCCACAGCTGGCCTTTTCCCCTATTTCTCAGGGTCATTATACATACGTTGCCTGGCTAATACCCACTTTTCCTTCAGGTCTCAGCTGAATTGTGATATTTTTAAGAATCCTTTCTTCATTGGAGCTTATACGTCCCCAATAGATTGTTGTCATAATACATGTCTACCATTCATTTGTAGCATTAAATGCCAGTATAATGAAATAATGCTTTGTTTAGTGTCCATCTACTCTGTTAGATGATACAAATTCAGGAGGGTAATAACTGTCTTTCAGTGTAACTACAGTATACACAATGCCTGACACCTAGTGGACACACATTAATTATTTTTGAATTAATGCGTGAATGAGTTATTATAGTGAATGAATGAAGATTGAGAGGTGACCCAAGAGGCCAGACACAGTGGCTCATGCCTGTAATCCCAGAACTTTGGAAGGCTGAGCTGGGAGGACTGCTTGAGGCCAGGAGTTTGAGACCAGCCTGGGCAATGTAGCGAGATCTCATTCTCTTAAAAAAAAACCATTTTTTTAATTAAAAAAAAATAGTTAAAAAGAGAGGTGGCTCAGATGGGAAGACCTTTTAAACCATTCTTTCACATATCCAACTGTCCACCAGAGAGCACTTTGCACAGCTTTCTTTTTCTACTTAGTTAAGGACACTCTAAAGAAATTTAGATTTCGCTGTTCAGAATATCAAAAGTGTTTTTTGGCACTTATAATACACCCAAGTTGGACTTAACTTTAGGCATGACCTGGTCCAACCCTCTTTGTTTTGCACACAGGAGAATCTAAGAGAGGTTTGGAAACTTTCTCAAGATCCTTGACAACTGAGGGCAGAGCTGTCTTTTTTGGACGCCCTTCCTGAGCCTTGCTGCTCATCCAGGGCCTCGCACCTATAATCCTAATGTTTTGGGAGGCTGAGGTAGGAGGATAGCTTGAGGCCAGGAGTTCAGCTTGAGGCCAGGTGTTCAAGACCAGCCTGGGCAACATAACAAGACCCTCATCTCGCCAAAAAAAAATTTTTTTTTTAAATTAGCCAGGTGTGGTGACACATGCCAGTAGTCCTAGCTACTTGGGAGGCTGAGGCAGGAGGATCTATTAAGCCCAGGAGCTTGAGGCTACAGTGAGCTATGACTGCACCACTGAACTCCAACCTGGGTTTTGCCACGTTGGCCAGGCTGGTCTCAAACTCCTAACCCTAGGTGATCCACCCACCTTGGCCTCCCAAAGTGCTGGGATTATAGGCATGAGTCACTGTGCCTGGCCTCTGAAACATTTTGTTGTAAATGACACAGATACGGCCAGGCGCACTGGCTCACACCTGTAATCTCAGAACTTTGGGAGGCCAAGGTGGAAGGATCACTTGAGGCCAGGAGTTCAAGACCAGCCTGGACAATATAGTGAGGCCCAGTCTCTACAAAAAATAAAAAAAATTAGCAGTGCATAGTGGCACATGCCTGTAGTCACAGCTACCCGGGAGACTGGGATGGGAGGATTCCTTGAGCCCAGGAGTTTGAGGCTGCAGTGAGCTACGATTGTACCTGCCTGGGTGACACAGTGAGACCCTATCTCAAAAAAAAAAAAAAAAAAAAAAAAAAAGACAGAGATTCATGCCTTAGTTTTTACTTCTAAGGAAAAAAGTCATTAGCATCTTGAAATAAATAAATAAAGGCTTACCTTATGGCTCATGTTTACTAGTTATTGGCTGATTGGTAATTTGTCCCTGTGTTGACAATGTCAATGTTGTATGATACTCAGCACATAATTCTCAGCATTTCTTCTGCCTCCGCATACTTGAGGTGTATGTTACACTCGTGCGTAACAGAGGCTCCCTAGAACTCTAATAGAGTGGGGCAGTCACAGGCATGATCATTAGTATGTAAGTGGGGGATACATCCCATACTCAACTCTGTCCCCACCTCCTAGAGAACCATTGCTGTAGTTGAACAAAACAAAACAAACAAACAAACAAAAGTACTGGCTTAGGAATTCAGAGATCTGGGTCTATTCCTAGCTTTTTCCAATCGTGGTATGATCTTGGGCAAACTGCTTAACCTTTAGAGGCTTGATTTCATTATCCTGAGGTAATAAGAACACCAGCCTAACTACCTCACACTTTATTGCGCAGATAAACCATGACAGTTGAAGAAATGCTCTGGGAAGTTACTAGGCTGAACAGGCAGATGTTGATTTGTATTATTGCTGAGCCTGGCCTATTTAAATTGTGCTATGGCCTAATCATACGTCCAAAGGCTAATTGTTGGCTCTTTTTTTTTTCCTTTTAAAGTATTTATTCAGTTCCATTAAGTATCCTTGATATAAGGAAAATGAAATAGTTGAAGTTGATACTTTAAAAAAGGTTAACATAGGTGCCAATCTGTCAACATTCTGGTTGGATGTTAGTCAAGACATGCATGTAAAGACTTAAGTTCCTTTTATAGATGTAGACAACTGGGTATGTTTTTTCATTTAAAGGATCGAAGGCTTTTTTCATTTCAGTCTTGAAAGTGGTATTTTTACCAGTATCTTTTCGATACTGAAAAGATTTTGAACCTGAAATGAAATACAGGTTAGGATTAAATTTTGCTTATATTCCTTTGAATGGTGTTTCTATAAAAAACTGAGTTTAAAGTATTTAAACACAATAAGAGCCAAAGATGGCACCTGTACACATTCTTTCTGTTCTAGTGGTATTTTTAGAAGTGATGCCAAATGAACTCTTAAGATGTAAAAGCTTTGCTAAATCCAGTTTTTTAAATGTAATGGAAATCTAGGTCATTTACATATGAAAGATTTTTGTAGTATGAAAATGAGATCATTGAAAATGGGTAATTCTTTTATGTGGCTGGTTTTGTATTGTCTACTCTGTGTGGTCATGAGAAAAAAATTTTTTTTTTTTTTTTGAGATGGAGTCTTACTCTGTTGCCCAGGCTGGAGTGCAGTGGTGCGATCTTGGCTCACTGCAACCTCTGCTGCCTGGGTTCAAGCGATTCTCTTGCCTCAGCCTCCCGAGTAGCTGGGATTACAGGCGCCTGCCACCGTGCCCAGCTAATTTTTTTTTGTAGTTCTTAGTAGAGATGGAGTTTCACCATCTTGGCCAGGCTGGTTTTGAACTCCTGACCTCGTGATCCACCTGCCTCTGCCTCCCAAAGTGCTGGGATTACAGGTGTGAGCCACCGCTCCCGGACAGTCATGAGAAAATTTTTAAAGTGTAGAATCAGTTGAATATCCCTTAGCCTAGCAAAAACATATGACTTGATAGATATGAAAAATTTGTTTATAAAAATCTGGGGCAACTCCTGCTGCCCCCCAACACAACCATTGTCTAGCTCAGCTTGGTCATGTTGTCCGCTAGAAATTTGTAAATCAGATCTTTACAACTTTAAATGCATCATGCAGTAGACATTGGTTATAGTTTCCCAATACATCCCATAGAAATATTTTTACTAGTAGAAAGGATACTAGACTAGAATCAGCCAATCTGGGGTTTTAGTCTTGACTGTATCACTTATTATATAGCTTGAAGGAAGTGTGTGTGTGTGTGTGTGTGTGTGTGTGTGTGTGTGTAAATGAAAGTGTTTTTGAAAACTGTAAAGCACTCTGTCAATATACGATAGCACTGATAACACATTATGTCAAACCATGGATGACTAATATTTGAACTCTTCTGGAAGATGCTTATTAAAAACAATCTAATTGGAATTTCAGGTGATAAAGGGAGTTAAATATTTCAGGCAAAATCGGGGTAAAGTTGGTTGATTATTTGAGTTTTTTTTTTTTTTTTAAACCTGTCACTGACTTGAAGCTTATATATGAGTTTTTTATTTTTATTTTTATTTTTGTTGTTGCTCTTGTTGTTTTGAGATGGAATCTCATTTTGTTGTCCAGGCTGGAGTACAGTGGCACAATCTTGGCTCACTGCAATCTCCACCTCCTGGGTTCAAGTGATTCTCCCACCTCAGCCTCCGGAGTAGCTGGGATTACAGGCACCCACCACCAAGCCCAGCTAATTTTTGTATTTTTAATGGAGACAGGGTTTCTCCATGTTGACCAGGCTGTCCTTGAACTCCTGATCCCAGGTAATCCACCCTCCTAGGCCTCCCAAAGTGCTGGGATTACAGGTGTGAGCCACTGTGTCCGGCCATATCTGAATTTTTTAAACAGAGGAAGAGATCTCAGCAGGCAGGTCTTCTCTACCCATATTCTAGGGAAAAAGTCCCTACAATTAGTTCCTCTGTGTTTCTTAAAGTATGCTCCATAAAACATGAGTCTCCTGGGATTTTATTATCTATTTTATTTAAAAAATTTTGCTGAGTCAAATGAGTTTGGAAATGCTTGTTTAAAGAAAGGCTGGTTTATTCTATGACATATTATAATCTTTCATATACTAATCTTCATTGTGAAGACCCAAGAAGGAGGCAATATGCAGTTTTTCACAAATTTGTTTCGATCATGGAAAAATGTGTCATTTCTTGGAAATAATGTTTTAGAGAACCCAGTTGAGAAAAACACTGTGTTTGCAGCTTCTTTCCTTCTTTCATGCTCAAATGCAGAAGCTTAATAAGCAGTTGATTGTTTTTCCCTTTCTCTTAGTCCCTTTTTTTCCAAATGTGTCCCATCTACCATGTATTTTATATCTACAGAGGGTTTCGGACAGGGCAAGGAAATAGCAACTGCATGTCCATGTAGTAGTGGGGCATTGACATTGTGGTTGATATTCCCTTTAGTATTTGTAATTCTTTATCTTTTGATTATTTGAGATTATCTGTCATATCTAAAATGTCTCCATATAAGAAGGAAAAATCGTTGTTGAAATCAGTATACCATTGACAAAGTGTTCCCGTGACTCTATTTTAGCTTCATGTTGGGAACCAGAGCGACTTTTAGTTTGCCAATTTTGGACTTTCTAATACTTTTTATTTAAAGAACATTGTAGCTGGCACAGTGGCTCATGCCTGTAATCCCAGCACTTTGGGAGGCCAAGGCGGGTGGATCATTTGAGGTCAGGAGTTCGAGACCAGCCTGGCCAACATGGTGAAACCTCATCTCTACTAAAAGTACAAAAATTAGCTGGACGGTAGTGGTACGTGCCTATAATGCTAACTACTCAGGAGGCTACGGCAGGAGAATCACTTGAGCCTGGGAAGCGGAGGTTGCAGTGAGCCGAGATCACACCATTGCACTCCAGCCTGCGTGACAGAGTGAGACCCTGTCTCAAAAAAGGCATTGTGATAGCTAAGCACAAAATATTTGCTTTGAGTAGCATGTTCTTTAGAATAGTCAATTTTTTATTTAATGACCTTTTATCCATTGTACCATTCTTTGCAAGTACCTTAAGTACTTAATATATTTAATCTTTTTTTCTCTCTCTGTTTAGTTGACACATGTTGGGCATTTACTAGACTACCAAAGGGTGTATATTTTTAGCCTACACGAAGACTAATATGACCCATATTTCCATTAGGAACCATACTAACAGAAATGCTGATAATACTGTACTTTGTTCCTGACCACAGCAGGAATATATACAATGACTCAATAGCAAAAGAAGTAAGGATGAGATGACCTGTTCTCAGACTATTTCTACTCCTATCCTTAGTTGGGATTCATACAACCCAGCCTTTATCTTGCTGCTCTTAGTGGTCCCTGCCTGACCTGGCTTGAAAGCTTCCTAGCTGTGTCTATAGCTATGTTTGACTTGACCCTAGAGGAAACAACACTCAGAAGTGAGTTCAAGTATCATCTGAACTAATCCTACCTGGGCTTATTTTGAAGTACTGGGAGTCCCAGAGCCCTTGACTAGAAATAGTTTTTTAAAGGGAGTTTGGGTTATCTAAAGGAAGGTAAAGATCTTTGAATGGAATAGAACCTTTTGTCCATGCTCTCCTTCCACGTCCTGACTTCTGACTCTCCTGTCCTCCTCTGTTCTTTCATGTCTCCTCCCTTGGACTTGTGATCATTTTTAATATGAAAACTCTTTACAGTGATTTAAATATTCATCTTTCCTGCTCATAGTTGAGTGTAGAGGTTGTTTATGAGATAAAGAATTGGAAAAAAGTCCATTGCCTTTTTTCTAAATACTTATCTCAGTAGAACATTCAGATTCAACTCTAGAAGTCAGGTGTTAGAAGTAAGTTAGCAGTCTTTTGGTGAGTGCTTATTCCTACTTGTTGAAACCCCTCATAGGCTAGGGGAAACAGAGGCCCGTGAGGTTGTGTTATAGCCAGGGTGCTCTGCATCTCTATACCCTGAGGGGGTGATACCATGATAGTTACTCATTTCACATTTTTAACGATTTTCTTGCCCTTTGTTCACTATATGACACTAGCACTTGGTTTTGGACTGATTTATACCCATACCTCCAGCCCCATTTCCAAGCAGCATAGCAGGAAACCAGACTGTGCCAGATACTGTCAGCCCACCCCTCTGTGTTTCATGAAAACATTATCTTAAGGCTAAACAGAGCAGCCCTCATAGAACTCTTTGCACTCCATAAACATATGGCAGAGGCATTGACACAGAAGCCCTGCTATGGGAAAATAAGTAAGTTCTTAAACTGTGGGAAGGGCACAAAGGTAATTTTAAAATCTTTCATAACCCTAGCACTTGAGAATGTGAAAAATGGTAAGTCTCATCCTTTGTAAGGTAAAAACAAAATAAAATCCCAACTGTTTCCCCTCTGATTTTTAAAAATCTACCCTAGATTGCTTCTAAAATTAATAACTGTGGGTTTGCTATATCTGAGACATTTGTTGGTGTGGAAAAGCTGTTTTCACATTGCCACTTTAATTTTATCTATTTTTATTTATTTATTTTTTCGAGATGGAGTTTTGCTCTTGTTGCCCAGGCTGGAGTGCAATGGTGTGATCTTGGCTCACCGCAACCTCCGCCTCCCAGGTTCAAGCAGTTCTCCTGCCTCAGCCTCCTGAGTAGCTGGGATTACAGGCACGTGCCACCACGCCCAGCTAATTTTGTATTTTTAGTAGAGACGGGGTTTCTCCGTGTTGGTCAGGCTGGTCTTGAACTCCTGACCTCAGGTGATCCGCCTGCCTCGGCCTCCCAAAGTGCAGGGATTACAGGCATGCGCCACTGCGCCCAGCCTGCCACTTTAATTTTCTTTCTTTTTTTTATTTCTTTGAGACGGAGTTTCACTCTTGTTGCCTGGGCTGGAGTGCAGTGGTGCTATCTTGGCTCACTGCAACCTCCGCCTCCCAGGTTCAAGAGATTCTCCTGCCTCAGCCTCCCAAGTAGCTGGGACTACAGGCATGCGCCACCATGCCTGGCTAATTTTGTATTTTTAGTAGAGATGGGGTTTCTCCATGTTGGTCAGGCTGGTCTCGAACTCCTGACCTCAGGTGATCCACCCACCTCGGCCTCTCAAAGTGCTGTGATTACAGGCGTGTGCCACTGCGCCTGGCCACCACTTTAATTTTCTAGGCATCTGTCATCTGCTTTCTAAACAACAGCATTCCAGCTCATAGTTGAAAAACTAAAAATTTATTTATTATTTTTAGTTTTTTTATTAATAAAATATTTTTATTTATAAAAAAATAAATTTATTTATTATTTTTATTTTTATTTATTTTTTGAGATGGAGTCTCGGCTGTGTCACCCAGGCTGGAGTGCAGTGGCGTGATCTCGACTCACTGCAATCTCCACCTCCCAGGTTCAAGCAATTCTCCTGCCTCAGCCTCCCAAGTAGCTGGGATTACAGGCACCTACCATCATGCCCGGCTAATGTTTTTTTGTATTTTTAGTATAGATGGGGTTTCACCATGTTGGCCAGGCTGGTTTCTAACTACTGACTTCAAGTGATCCGCCCGCTTCGGCCTCCCAAAGTGCTAGAATTACAGGTGTGAGCTATCGCGCCCAGCCAAAATTTATGTTTAGACATTCTTTGTATTGTCTGTTGGTGGAGGCCCTGCTTTAGCGACCAGAAAGACACCATATTTAGTGGGAATATTAATGAGGTTACGGTGGTTTTTAGGCCTGGCTAGATGTACTGTATGACACATGCCAAGAAGATTATGATCACATTATGTTTAAAACCTTTTAGCACACCAGATAAATGGGCTTTCCAAGAAGCTATGTTGCTCCAGATGTTAGGAAATGGCCTAAGTCAGCCAGGGCCCTTTCATGGGGTGCCCAGGTTCACATTAAGGCCAGATCTGAAAACAGGGACATTTATACTCAACCCTTAATTTTATTTATTTACTTATTTATTTATCTATCTATCTGTCTATCTATTTATTTTTGGAGATGCTGTTCAGGCTAGACTTGAACTCCTGGGCTCAAGTGCATCAGCCTCCCAAGTAGCTGGGATTACAGGCACACCTCACCATACCCAGACAACCCTTAATTTTTTAAACATTTTTCCCTTAAATAGTTCTAAAACCAAGTTTTTAGTGCTGCTCTTTTCCTAGCCATTGCATAGTATATTTTTTAAAAAGGAGAACTTTGATACATTATTACTGATCTCTGCTTGATTTGACTCTAAAGAGTCATAGTTTCAGGATTTTGGCTGAGCTGACTTTTTTTTTTGAGACGAGGTCTCACTCTGTCACCCAGTTTGGAGTGCAGTGGTGCAGTCTTAGCTCACAGCAACTCCTGCCTTCCAGACTCAAGTGATTCTCACACCTCAGCCTCCCGAGTAGCTGGAACCACAGGAGTGCACCACCACGCCTGGCCAATTTTTTGTGTTTTTGATAGAGAGGGGGGGTCTCAGCATGTTGCCCAGGCTGGTCTCGAGCTCCTGAGCTCAAATGATCTCTGCGCCTCAGCCTCCCAATGTGCTGGAATTATAGGTGTGAGCCACTGCACCTGGCCGAGCTGACTTTTTAAAGGACAGGCAAAACCCAGGTGTGAGTTCAAATTATGACTTGAACTGATTCTAAAAGGGCTCATGTTAAAGCACTGAGTCCCAGATGTACTCTTTAAATGAAGCTATTGTAGTTTAAATGTAATTTATTAAACTTATTTGAGGTGCTATGTTCCCTTAGATTTTCTCAGACCTCAGGAATGTGTCTAAAAAAAACAGTGAACTGGGGTTGAAATTTTCCTGGGGTTGAAATTTTCCTCTATCGGTCAGAAATAATACTCATTTTAGAAATGCTCTTTAGCCAGGTGTGGTGGCTCATGCCTGTAATCCTAGCACTTTGGGAGGCCAAAGCGGGCAGATCACTTGAGGCCAGGAGTTCAAGAACAGCCTGGCCAACATGGTGAAACCCCATCTCTACTAAAAATACAAAAATTAGCCAGGCATGGTGGCACATGCCTGTAATTCCAGCTACTCGGGCGGCTGATGCACGAGAATCACTTGAATCCAGGAGATGGAGGTTGCAGTGAGCCAAGATCATGCCACTGCACTCCAACCTGGGTGACAGAGCGAGTGACCCTGTCTCAAAAGTAAAATTAAAAATTAAAAAGTAAAGAAATTCTCTTCTCTTGATTGAGTCATATATTTGCAACCTTCTTAACTAATACATTGATTACCCAATATGGGGGACATTATCTATCATGGCAGTGAGCTCTGGTTATCTTGTGTCTAGACTTAGCTCTGTTGTGTTGCCTTTAACAATTGAAAATGTTGTATCAACAGCTTGCTTATGTTATCAGTTGATTTCTCACTTCTCTTTATCATTGATAACTACTTTGTATGGTCTGATTTCTCGAAGTAACCTAGTGAGTTAAAAAAGAAAAGTTCAAAGAAACTAAATTCCTCATTACTGAGGTATACCTCTTTAATGAATATAATTCATTCCTAAGAGGTATCAGAGTATTTCTGAAACACACGGTATATTGAGCTCACATTAAACAGTGACCACGGGACAGCCTCTAGTTGGTGGAGTTTCTACTTCTGATCCTGGAAATGCTGTGGATGTCTATGGCCATATTATAGATGTCTCTATTGTGAATCATGGCCTCCTTTCAGCCAGCATAGTGTAGGATCTCCAAGTGAGTCAGGTCCTTCTGACAATGTCATGTCCTTCTAAAGTGAGGTGCTCAAAATGGAAAGCCAGAGTTGAGGTTTCTTACCCAGAGTACAGCTGGCTATTCCTTTCAGTGGTCTAAATATTTTGCCTCTGTTGATAAAGCCTGACAATGCAATGGCCCCTTGTAGCATTTGGCCTAAATCTCTGGGTAGTCTGGAGAGAGACAGAAGGTACTCACTCAAGTCCCTGTGTCCAGTAGTTTACCCCAACAATGTGATTATGAGAGCCTCTCCTTTGAAGCCAGAAGAGGAACCCAACCTCAGAGCTAATGTTTTCCATTCAAGTAGCCCCCATACTACTTCTCACCTACTCTATCTTCTGGGTTCTCTGAAATCACCACTGGAGCCAGTATTCTCTGGATTGACCTCTGTTTGCTAGATTTCTCTTAAGCACAGAGGTGCTCATGTCATTATCTCTTTCCTCTGATATAGTATGGCAACTCTACACATCTCTTCTGCCCTTCACACCCATGACCTCAAGTTCATTGTTTTCCTTCTTATGACCTGCAACAGATCCTTAGATTAGGTTTGTTCTGTTGTCAGCCTCTTCATATTCCTGATTCTTTGAGTTAAAGCCTTGCTTGATGTGCTGCTTAACTACATCTTCTTTACACTTTGACTTACCAATTTTTTGCCAATTTTTTTCTTTCTTTCTTTTTTTGACCCAATACTACACTTTGGCTGTGTGCTGCCAATTTTTCTGACTAGATACCAGCCTTAGATTTATTCCTATTAAATTATATCGCTTCACTGCTTCTTTTTCCAGCTTGTCTACTTTGATTCTGTTATCTGAAATCCTTGTTTCTACTTGCCTTCTAGTCACTCATAAGCATGCTTTACGTGCCTTAGGATAACTAGATATCTGACTGATTTTTTTTTTTTTGGATACTGAGTCTCGCTCTGTCACCAGGCTGGAGTGCAGTGGTGTGATCTTGGCTCACTGCAACCTCTGCCTCCTGGGTTCAAGCTATTCTCCTGCCTCAGTCTCCCAAGTAGCTGAGACTATAGGTGCGCGCCACCACACCTGGCTAATTTTTGTATTTTTAGTAGAGACGGGGGTTTCACCATGTTGGCCAGGATGGTCTCAATCTCTTGACCTCATGATCTGCCTGCCTTGGCCTCCCAAAGTGCTGGGATTACAGGCGTGAGCCACTGGGCCCGGCTGGTGTCTGACTGATTTATTTGGTTGTTCCCACCACCAAAGACAGACTGTAACAGAGGCCAGTCTTTGGCTGTCCTTAATAGAACTTTTAGTACATAACTCAAACTTAGCCTGACCTTGGCCAATGCCTCCTTTCTATTACTACAGCTTTTGAGGTCTGAGAAGGAATTCTGCACCTGCGAATAGTTTACGGTCTCCCTAGTGTCTATTCTCTGCCACTAAGAGTTGTTTAGCCATTGCTTTATTTACTTCAGGAGGTCAGTTTTTTGAGTAATAACAAAATGACTGCAGACGGAAATATTTTCTCTAGCTTGTTAGAAACAAAGCAATTAAGCATTGAGATCAGTTTGTTAAAAAGTATGGCTTTCTCTTTGTCTGTAGCATTCTAAATATATTATTCCCTTTACCAACTTCTCTAGCCACTCATCTAAGGCTCCATATCAATCCATCTTATCCTTAGTGGTTACAAGCTCATCAGTAAATTACATGTATTCTTCAGCATCTTTGGGTATAGTCATCTCCATTAGGCTTATGAGTAGGAATCTAAATGTCTCTCCATAGGTAGTTCTCATCTCCTTTGCCTGCAAGGCCCTTTGAAACAGAGGTTCAGCTTAACGATCTGATCAGCTCTGCATGGGACTCTAATATTTGAGCTTTAATGGTAATATAGATCAGTAACGTGATCTCACCAGACTGGTATGTCCAAAGTATCATAGGTTAATGATATTCCAGGTAATCGTAGTGGTTAACAGATAAGCCGGTTTTTATTTTGTTATATATTTGTTTGTTGGGAAAAATAGAGTTAATTTGGATAATCTACTAAAATATTAGGTAATAGTATAGATGGGACTGGGATATGGCAAAAACCACAAATGGTTTGGGAATGCTTTTCAGAAACTGTTTTATAGAGCATAAGTTATTTTAGGAAAGAACTTTGTATTGGTCTACAATTCATTTCAGTTTTAATAAGGTGGCTGACAAGGAACAGGCACTCCATAAATACTAGTCATGTGGGTGAATCCACTTGACCCAAAATAATCACCCTTCAATACGAGCCAACCTAAACACCCATCTCCTTCATGCAGCTACTTCTCTTTTGTTTTTTTGTTTGTTTGTTTTTGGTTCCTTATGTCCTTTTATTCTTTAACAATTTATTTTATTTTCTATTTTTGTTGGCAATTTTAGCTGGGATTATAGGTGTGTGCCACCATGCCTGGCTAATTTTTTTTTTTTTTTTTTTGAGACAGGGTCTCACTCTGTTGCTCAGGCTGGAGTGCAGTGGTGTGATCTCAGCTCACTGCAACCTCTGCTTCCCAGGTTCAAGTGATTTTCTTGCCTCACTCAGCCTCTGGAGTAGCTGGAATTACAGGCGCCACCACCACACCTGGCTAATTTTTGTATTTTCAGTAGAGATTGGGTTTCACCATGTTAACCAGACTGGTCTCAAACTCCTGACCTCAAGTGATCCACCTGCTTCCACTTCCCAAAGTGTTGGGATTACAGATGTGCACCACTGTGCCAAGCCAAATTTTTATACATAGTGGGTGTAGATAGTAGATATTTTGATATAGGTATGCAATGTGAAATAAGCACATCATGGAGAATGGGGTATCCATCCCCTCAAACATTTATCCTTTGACTTACAAACAATCCAATTACACTCCTTATTTTAATATACAATTAAGTTATTATTGACTATAGTCACCCTGTTGTGATATGAAATAGTAGGTCTTATTCATTCTTTCTGATTTTTTTGTACCCATTATCCATCTCCATCTCCTGCCCCACCATAGCTTCCCACTACGTTTCCCAGCCTATCCTTCTACTCTCTATGTACATGAGTTCAATTGTTTTGATTTTTAGATCCCACAAATAAGTGAGAACATGTGATGTTTGTCTTTCTGTGTCTAGCTTATTTCACTTAACATAGTGATCTCCAGTTCTATCCATGTTGTTGCAAATGGCTGGATCTTATTCTTTTTTATGGCTGAATGGAACTCCATTGTGTATATGTTCCACATTTGCTTTATCTATTCATATGTTTTTTTTTTTTTTTTTTTTTTTTGAGACAGAATTTCGCTCTTTTCACCCAGGCTGGAGTGCAGTGGCGCGATCTTGGCTCACTGCAACCTCCACCTCCCGGGTTCAAGCGATTCTTCTGCCTCAGTGTCCCTAGTAGTTGGGATTACAGGCACCCGCCACCACACCCAGCTAATTTTTGTATTTTTAGTAGAAACAGGGTTTTACCATGTTGTCTAGGCTGATCTCAAACTCCTGACCTCAGGTGATCCACTTGCCCTGGCCTCCCAAAGTGCTGGGATTACAGGTATGAGCCATCGTACTCGGCCCATTCATCTGTTGATGGACACTTAGGTTGCTTCCAAATTTTAGCTATTGTGAACAGTGCTGCAACAAACATAGGAGTGCAGATATCTCTTCGATAGACTGATGTCCTTTCTTTTGGGTATATACCCAGCAGTGGGATTGCTGAATCATATGGTAGCTCAATTTTTACTTTTCTAAGGAAACTCCAAACTGTTCTCCGTGGTGGTTGTACTAATTTTCATTCCAACCAACAGTGTACAAGGGTTCCCTTTTCTCTACATCCTTACCAGCATTTGCTATTGCCTGTCTTTTGGATATAAACCATTTTAACTGAGGTGAGATGATATCTCATTGTGGTTTTGATTTGCATTGCCCTGATGATCAGTGATGTTGAGCACCTTTTCATATTCCGTTTGCCATCTGTATGTCTTCTTTTGAGAAATGTCTGTTCAAATCTTTTGCCCATATCTGATTGGTTTATTAGATTTTTTTCCTATAGAGTTGTTTGAGCTCCTTACATATTCTGGTTATGAATCCCTTGTCAGATGGGTAGTTTGCAAATATTTTCTCCCATTCAGTGGGTTGTCTCTTTGTTGATTTTATCCTTTGCTGTGCAGAAGTTTTTTAACTTGATGTGATCCTATTTGTCCATTTTTGCTTTGGTTGTCTGTTTGTTGGGGGGTTTTGCTCAAGAAATTTTTGCCAAGACCAATGTCCTAAAGATTTTTCCCAGTGTTTTCCTTTAGTAGCTTCATAGTTTGAGGTCTTAGATTTAAGATTTTAATCTATTTTGATTTATATATATATTTTTAGACAAGGTCTTCCTCTGTCACCCAGGCTAGAGTGCGGTGGCATGATCTTGGCTCACTGCAACCTCCACCTCCTGGATTCTCATGCCTCAGTCTCCCAAGTAGCTGGGGTTACAGGTGTGCGCCACCACACCTGGCTAATTTTTTTATATTTTTGGTAGAGATGGGGTTTCACCATGTTGACCAGGCTGGTCTCAAATTCCTGACCTCAAGTGATTCACCCACCTCGGCCTCCCAAAGTGCTAGGATTACAGGAGTGAGCCACTGCATTCAGCTGAGGGTTTTTATCATGAAGGGATTTTGAATTTTATCAAATACTTTTTCTGCATCAATTAAAATGATAATATGGTTTTTATCCTCCATTCTGTTGATATGATTGATTTTTTTTTTTTTTTTTTGAGGAGTCTCGCTCTGTCGCCAGGCTGGATTACAGTGGCGCGATCTTGGCTCACTGCAACCTCCGCCTCCCGGGTTCAACTGATTCTCCTGCCTCAGACTCCCCAGTAGCTGGGAGTACAGGCGCATGCCACTATGCCCAGCTAATTTTTGTATTTTTAGTAGAGACAGGGTTTCACCATGTGGGTCAGGCTGGTCTCAAGTTCCTGACCTTGTGATTTCTGATTTTATTTATTTGAATCTTTTCTTTTTCTTAGTCTGGCTAAAAGTTTGTCAGTTTTGTTTAACTTTTCTATTGTCTTTTTCATTTCAATTGCATTTTATTTCTACTCTGATCTTTATTATTTCTTCTATTAATTTTGGGTTTCGTTCTCCCTTGTGTTTCTAGTTGTTTCATCATTAGATTGTTTTTTTGAAGTTTTTTCCCCGTTTTGATGTAGGCTTACACTATAAACTTTCCTCTTAGTACTGCTTTTGCTGTATCCATAGGTTTTGGTATGTTGTGTTTTCATTATCATTTGTTTCAAGAAAATTTTCAGTTTCCTTCTTAATTTCTTCATTGACCCACTGGTCATTCAGGAGCATGTTGCTTAATTTCCTTGTATTTGCTTTTTCTTTGTTTTTTTTTTGACAGAGTTTCACTTTTGTCACCCAGGCTGGAGTGCAATGGCGCAATATCTCGGCTCACTGTAACCTCCACCTCCCAGGTTCAAGCGATTCTCCTGCCTTAGCTTCCAGGTAGCTGGGATTACAGGCATGTGCTACCATGCCTGGCTAATTTTGTATTTTTAGTAGAGACGGGGTTTCACCATGTTAGTCAGGCTGGTCTCAAACTCCTGACCTCAAGCGATCCACCTGCCTTGGCCTCCCAAAGTGCTGGGATTACAGGCATGAGCCACTGTGCCCCACTCATGTATTTGTATAGTTTCCAAAATTCCTTTTGTTATTAATTTCCAGTTTTATTCCATTGTGGTTACAGAAGATGCTTGATATTATTTCAATTTTTTTGAATGTTTTAAGACTTACTTTGTGACCTAACATATGATCTATCCTTGAGGATGATCCATGTGCTGAGGAAAAGAACGTGTATTCTGTAGCTTTTGGATGAAATGTTCTATAAATATCTGTTAGATCCCTTTGTTCAATAGTGTAGATTAAATCTGCATCTTTCATCAATAAAGATGTTTCTTTATTGATTTTTGGTCTAGAAGATCTAGCCAGTGATGAAAGTAGGGTGTTAAAGTCTCCAGCTATTATTGTATCGGAGCCTATCTTTCTCTTTAGCACTAATATTTGCCTTCTATATCTGGGTGCTCCAGTGTTGGGTGTATATATATAATTAATTTATATATATATATATATGTATGTATGTATGTATGTATGTATGTATGTATGTATGTATTTTTGAGATGGAGTCTTGTTCTGTCGCCCAGGCCAGAGTGCAGTGGCACGATCTCAGCTCACTGCAACCTCCACCTCTGGGGTTTAAGTGATTTTCCTGCCTCAGCCTCCTGGGTAGCTGGGATTACAGTTACTTGCCACCATGCCTGCTAATTTTTTTTGTATTTTTTAGTAGAGACAGGGTTTTGCCATGTTGGCCAGGCTAGTCTCAAACTCCTGACCTCAGGTGATCCACCCACCTTGGCCTCCCAAAGTGCAGGTATTACAGGCGTGAGCCACTGTGCCCGGCCCGAATATATATTTAAAATTGTGATATCCTTTTGTTGAAGTGAGCCCTTTATCATTATATAGTGACCTTTGTCTCTTCTTTGAGTTTCCTCAGCACAACTATTTTGAATTCTCTGTCTGAAAGGTCACATATCTCTTTTTCTCCAGGATTGGTCCCTGGTGCCTTATTTAGTTTATTTGGTGAGGTCATGTTTTCCTGGATGGTGTTGATGCTAGTAAATGTTCTTTGGTGTCTGGGCATTGAAGAATTAGATATTCGTTGTAGTCTTCACTGTCTGGGCTTATTTATACCTGTCCTTCTTGGGAAGGTTTTCCAGATATGTGAAAGGACTTGGGTGTTGTATTCTAAGCTGTTTCTGCTTTAGGGGTCACCCATGCCCAGTAATGCTGTGGTTCCTGCAGACTCATAGACGTGCTGCCTTGATGGTCTTGGGCAAGATCTGGGAGAATTCTCTGCATTACCAGGCAGAGATTCTTGTTCTCTTCCCTTACTTTCCCAAACGAACAGTCTCTCTGTTCTCAGCCACCTAAAGCTGGGGGTGGAGTGACACAAGCACCCCTGTGGCCACCACCACTCTGACTGTGCTGTGTCCGACCTGAAGCCGGCACAGTACTGGCTTTTGCCTAAGACCTGCCATAACCACGCCCTGGTTACTGCCTGTGTTCGCTCAGGGCCCTGGGGCACTACTATCAGCAGGTGGCAAAGCCAGCCAGGCTTGTGGCTTTCCCTTTAGGGCAGCGAGATTCCCCAAGCCTCTGGGCAGACTCAGAGGTGCTCTCCGGGCATCATGTACTTAAGTGGAAAACCTTAGAAGTCTACCTGGTATTCTATTGTATTGTGACTGAGCTGGTACTCAAACCACAATTGCAGTCTTTCCCACTCTTCCCTCCCCTTTCCAAAGGCAGAGGAGTCTTACTTTTCAGCCACCGCCACCCCAAGCCATGAGAAGTACTGCCAGGCCGTTAAGGCCCTAGGGCTCTTAAGTCAGCTCGTGGTAAGTACTGCCTGGCCTGCAACCCATATTTCAGGGCACTAGGCTCCCCTCTGGCCCAGGGCAGGTCCAGAAATGCCATTCAAGAGTCAAGTCCTAGAGTTGGGGACCCCAGGAGGCTGCCCAGTGCTCTACCCAACTGTGGCCGTACTGGTACCTGAAGCCAGCAAGTCTCAGAGGCTCACCCAAGGTCCTGGGTGTCACTGCTGGCTATTCAGGGCCCAAGGGCTCTTCAGCTAGCAGGTAATGAATGCTGCCAGGACTGGGTCCTTCCTTCAAGGCAGCAGGTTCCCTTCTGGCCCAAGGTGTGTCTAGAAATGTCACCTGGGAGGTAGGGCCTGGAAAAGGGACTTCACAACTCTGACTGAGCCCTATCCTTCTGTGGCTGAGCTGGTATCCAAGATGCAAGACGAAGCTCTTCCCACTTTTTCTTCTCCTCTCTTCAAACTGAAGGAAGAGGTCTCTTTTGGAGCCATGAGCTGTGCAGCCTGGGGTTAGGGCAGGGGTGATGCCACCACTCCCTTGGCTGATGTCTCAGTAGTCCACGTGCCCCCCGAATCCACTGTCTCTGGGCCTAGTTCAGCACTAGGACTCACCTAAGTGTTGCAGTCCTTATGGCCTAGACGGACTTTCAAGCTGATTTAAAGACACAGAGCACTGTAGCCCACAGTGGCGAGGTTTGGGGGAACTCAATTTCCCACTGCTGGAATCAGAGATTCCCCTCAGGCTTGGGCTGGTTTAAATGTGTGGTGATTCGGGACTATTCTTCTGACTCCTCAGTGCTTCTTTCAGCAATATGAAGATAAAACCAGGTACTACGAGGGCCTACCTGATTTTTGGCTCTTCTAAAGGTATTTTTTTCTGTGTAGATAGTTATTAACTTCCTGTTCTTGTGGGGCATGGGTCGGGTGGAGGTTGATGGGTGGAGACTTCTATTCTTCCATCTTGCTCTGCCTGTCTTCTGTTGATTTCAGTCCAGAAATACTGTTTGACTGTTGCTGTTTGAGAGGTCGTAGTAGCTAACTTGCACATCTGTGTTTGTGGAGCATCGTGGTGTGTGTCTTGTTTTTGGGCAAGCCTCTGCTCTTCAGACAACACCTCATGAACAGGTGCAGGAGCAGCTCTGCAGGGACAGCACCCTCGCTCATCTGGAAGACTGCCCTCTGGAAGCTTTCAGGAAAGGCCTCTGAGAGCACAGTCACAATCCAAAAGCCACGTTCTTTGTTTATTTTTACTATTATTACATATATATTTTTGAGACAGGGTCTCACTGTGTCACCCAGGCTGGAGTACAATGACACAATCTTGGCTCACTGCAGCTTCTATCTCTTGGGCTCAAGGGATCTTCCCGCCTCAGCCTCCCAAGTAGCTGGGACTACAGGTGCATACCACAACACATGGCTAATTTTTTTGTTGTTGTTGCCCAGGCTAGTCTCGAACTCCTGGGCTCAAAGGATCCTCCTGCCTCACCCTTCCAAGGTGTTGGGATTACAGGTATGAGCCACTGCACCCAGCCTAATTTTTTTTTCACCATATTAAGAGTCATATCTATTGGCATTTAATGTTCAGCTCTTCACAAACTTGATTTTTCTAGCTTTCTAGGCAAAACGAAAATGATGGGAAATTGCAAACTTAAAAGAGGTGTTTGGAAGGTGTTTTAGATATGATAGCAGACCACCAGCTTTTGAAGGGGGCCGACAGAAAAAGTGAAAACTCTCTACTGCATTGTATTACTTGGCATTCCTTATGAAGAATGTTCGTAATGTCTCCTGCTTAAGAGGGGGTGGGGGACTAGTACATTTTAGCAAGATTTTCATCAAAAAACATCAACATTCAAGATATGTTGGCACCAAAAAGGAGAAGTGCCTGGTTTCTGGAAGAATAACTTGAGGTATATGTTATTCCCTAAGAAAGCTGGTAAATAAGGCATCACTTTGTGCCTCTGGCCTCGAGGCAGTTATGAAAACCTTCATGACACATCTGAAATACTGTGTAGACTAGATCCCTCAAAACCCTTCAGGCAGTAAGGAGCATTGTTACCAAGCTTAGTTGGAAGCCCAAATAGACAGAAGGTGCTGTTTTATTAATACTGCATTTTCAAATATCAGCACAAATGTATTACATGACCTTACATATGTTTGTTAAGCATTTTACAGCTTGCAGTAGGTATTTGTATCCATCATTCCACTTGGTCCTAATATCCCTGTGTAATGGAAATCTTTTCTCATCAACTGATGGAGCACTAATTAAGTCTTTTTCATGGCTGCATGATATTCCATGGGAATAGATAACCCACATTTTATTCAAGTGTTTCCCTGTAGGTAGACATTTACTTTGCTTCTGATTTTTTGCCATTGTGGACAAGTCTTGCAATGGATATACTTTACATAGGTCCTCACATCTGGTGGCTATATTTCCAAGCATTGGGATTACAGCAGGAACAATATCCAACTGTGGGATTCTTGGGTCAAAGGGTATACATATTTTTAATTTGAATAATTTGCTAGTTTGCTTTTCAAAAATGTTGTAGCAGGCCAGGTGTGGTGGCTCACTCCTGTAATCCCAGCACTTTGAGAGGCCAAGGCAGGTGGATCACCTGAGGTCAGGAATTTGAGACCAGCCTGGCCAACACGGTGAAACCCCATCTCTACTAAAAATATAAAAATTATATTTGGGTGTGGTGATGGGCGCCTGTAATCCCAGCTACTTGGGAGGCGGAGGCAGGGGAATCGCTTGAACCTGGGAGGTGGAGGTTGTGGGAGGTGGAGGTTGCAGTGAGCTGAGATTGCGCCATTGCACTCCAGCCTGGGCAACAAGAGTGAGACGCCGTCTCAAAAAAAAAAAGATGTAGCAATTCATATTTCTATCAGCAAATGATGAGAAATAGTTATCAGTCTTTTAAATGTTTGCCAGTCTGATGAGAATAAAATGGCATCAGTTTTTCTCCTGACTACGAGTAAATATGAACATCTTTTTTTTTTTCTTTAAGAGCCAGGGAAACAGTATGCTGCTCAGGCCAGGCTTGAACTCCTGGGCTCAAGTGATCCTCTCACCTCAGCCTCCTGAGTAGCTGGGATTGCAGCTGCTTCCCACCACAACCAGCTAATACAAATATTTTTATGTGAATTGTCTGTGAATTCTTATGTGAATTATTCTCTATGCATTTCCCCATTGAGTTGTATATCTCCAAAGAAGATATACAAATGGACAACAAGCACATGAAAAAAATGCTAAACATTGTCAGTCATTAGAAAAATGCAAATCAAAACCACAATAAGATACTATTTCGACCAGGCATGGTGGCTTACGCCTGTAATCCCAGTACTTTGGGAGGCTGAGGCAGGCAGATCACCTGAGGTCAGGAGTTTGAGACCAGCCTGGCTAACATGGTGAAACCCCGTTTCTACTAAAAATACAAAAAATAAGTCGAGTGTGCCAGGCATGGTGGCTCACGCCTGTAATCCCAGCACTTTGGGAGGCCGAGGCGGGTGGATCACGAGGTCAGGGGATCGAGACCATCCTGGCTAACACAGTGAAACCCCGTCTCTACTAAAAATACAAAAAATTAGCCAGGCGTGGTGGCGGGTGCCTGTAGTCCCAGCTACTCAGGAGGCTAAGGCAGGAGAATGGCGTGAACCTGGGAGGCGGAGCTTGCAGTGAGCCGAGATCGTGCCACTGCACTCCAGCCTGGGCGACAGAGCAAGACTCCATCTCAAAAAAAAAAAAAAAGAAAAAGAAAAAAATTAGCCGAGCGTGGTGGCGCACTCCTGTAATCCCAGCTACTCGCGAGGCTGAGGCAGGAGAATCACTTGAACCTGGGAGGCAGAGTTTGCAGTGAGCCGAGATCGCACCACTGCACTCCAGCCTGGCGACAGAGTGAGACTCCATCTCAAAAAATAATAATTAAAAAAAAAAATGATAAAGTTAATGATGTTTCTTTTCTAAAGTTTTAGGAAAGGAAAGTGGGTGAGAACGTGGTAACTTTTTTCTTTTTTTGGTTTTCAGTCATGCAGCTTTGCTTCGTTTAGATTTAAAAAGGTTCCCTAAAGGGCTATGATGAAAAGTTGTCGTCTATTGAAGTTTCCAGTGTTGGGGGGAGATTAAGTCAACAGAGAAAGTTCCAAAAATAAAAAAGCCCCAATTATTATAGTAGCTTCTTAACACCTCAGCTGTGAGTCCCTTTTCCTCTCCAGTCCATGGTATGCAATGTTGGGGTGTTAGTCTCAGGGAGCTGTGTCATTACGACACTGAGGTGCACAGCCTCACAGCAGCATCTCCCTTCAGCTCCTCCCATATTCATTGTGCCTCTTGCCCTCGGGCCTGGCTTCAGCTACAGCATCTCCCAAGGATGTGCCTGCCTCCTCCTGCTTATGGCCTTTGTCCTGGCTGCTTCCTCTCCCTGCAATGTTCTTCTTTGCCTGCATTGTCAGATGCTGCCCGGCTTTCAGGATTCAGCTCATGCGCTTTGACGTGCACAGCCCCTCTTAATCCTCCCCAGCACCCTTTGATGTAAACACTGTTATACCCATTTACAGATTACACAAATGTGTGTGTGTAATGTGTTTATGTGTGTGTAAACATACCCATTTTACAGATACAGTGATAGAGCAAACAGAGGCACAGAGATTTTAAGAATTTGTCTAATATCACGCAAGATGTAAATCAAGGAGCTTATTCCAAAGCCCATGCTCTCAACCACCATCCAGTATCAGCAGAGTTGAAAGCAGCGTCTGATTGAGACATACGTTGAAGCTATAGTGTAAACTCTCAAAAGCAAGACATGTAAGGAAGCTTTGCTAAATCATTTTTCTCTGTCTTTCCTCTTTGGGTCCAGGTTGAAGTAAAGCCATATGTGCTGGATGATCAGATGTGTGATGAGTGCCAGGGCACACGCTGTGGTGGGAAGTTTGCCCCGTTCTTCTGTGCCAACGTCACCTGTCTGCAGTATTACTGTGAATACTGCTGGGCGAGCATACATTCCCGAGCCGGGCGGGAGTTCCACAAACCGCTGGTGAAGGAGGGAGGCGACCGCCCTCGTCACGTCCCGTTCCGCTGGAGCTGAGCCACGGGCCGACCCAGCCACAAGTACTGGAGTAGATAACAAGGAGGGAAAAGAGAGGGCACTGCCTCAGGGCTTACAGTGTTCTGGAAATCTGTGCATTCGTTCTCGATTTTTAAAGAAGAATTGGGTCTTTTTATTATTATTATTATTATTTACAGTCATATTACTGAACTCAGTGTCCAGTATAATGCAGAATTGCAGAGTGTAGAATGGTACTGATTTGCACTTTGATTCACACCTTTGTCTGCTTGGTACCTTAATTTTTTATACCTGATTTGTCACTCGTGACAGTATGTAGACTGCCATTCTCATCAGCGGCCGTCAGGCTACTGTCTGTGATTCTTTTGTTTGTTGTTGTGGTGTTGTTCTGATTGTTTTGAACTGGAGCATGCACTTATTTTCAGAAACTTAGAGAGTTGCCCCTAGGACAAGACTTACCAAAGGTAATACTCGTGAGTAGGTGGCAGATGTAGCAAAAACTTCACAACAATTCAGCAATCATTAGCTCGGGTCACTTAGAGTAAGGATAACCCTTCATGAAAATAAGCCTTTAGTTGCTCTCTATTTTGACTTGTAAGGATACCTCATAAGCTGGATCTTTTATTTTTCCTTCATGTTTGATTTTTGTTTTGCCGAGGATTTTGGTTAGATCTTTTAGTATTATGTAAATTTATGCTGCAATAGCTTTTGCTGCTATTAAAATGGTATTATTAATACCATAATACTCTATTCAGGCTAGGATATCAATTAAACACAAAAACCCAACAACACACTTTTGTGATTTTAGGGATAGAGTCAGCTGCCGAACGGAGATCAGAATAGACTTCAGAAAGCTTCGGTGGAAGGTCACTATTTCTGACTGCATGTTTACTTAATCAGGTTGCTGCATGCAATAAATTTTATATCCAATGTCTAGTATAAAACGTTCCCACAATGCACAAATTAAGAATCTATATAAGCTATAAAAATACTCATTTTTTAAAAAAAGTTTTTTTCATTCAAAGAATTGGTAATTGACCGGAGGAAGGCATGCCTCAATAAATGGAATGCTCTGAATGGGAAGAGCCCATAACAGAATGACCTATATTACAACCGATATAAAACCTAGGTGTAGGATATTCTTCAAGCAAATTTGTGGATGGTAGATGAAGTACTTTGCGGTGCTCTGTTATATATTGTGAAATTTATTTTATATAGTAAAGTGATTATGTCTAACTGTGATCAAACTTAACTGTTTAAAGCCTCTGTCAGACATTAATGAACTTGACAGTTCATAACTGATATATTATAAACTAACACATGAGCTCTTAGTTACAATCTCTTAGTGCTTGCACCATTTTACATAGCTTCAGACCTTGTCCAGAAAACCAAAGAGCTCATCTTAGCTTACAAACACTAAGAATATATACAGGATATAGAGATAAGTTGTCAGATTGACAAACTAGGCACATTTTTAAGAAAGTTGTGTAATGGTGATGCTAAAGAAATGTCTGTACAAAATAAGATGGCCTGGGCAGAGTTGGTTGTCTGAGTGAGAAACTAACTACTTAATTCCCTGGATTTATCCTGTTAAGCTTGAGTAGAATGAAGGCCTGCTAGCACTAGCGTGGTCTAGAATGAAGGCCTGCTAGCACTAGCGTGGACATTTTTCTAGCATTCACCCTTGGGCTGCAGATAGTAATATATAAACACACACAATGATTGCAAGACTATGTAAATCTTTTTTTAATCTTCTTCCTATGTTTTGGAATTCTGGGGACAATCTGACTGGATATGACACTGCAGAATAGATTTAAGTCGCTGTGTTTTCTGTGCTGTGATGTCCTTGTACTGTCTTAAGTTAGTGTTGCTTGTTTTTGTTTTGTTCTCCCATGTTTAGTTGCAATTACTGGCTCTCAAGCTATAGTTTGTTTTCAAAAAGGAAAAACAAAATAGTTTTTTACTGGATTAAAAATGCTTATTTTAGAATCCTCCCCTTTTTGAGGCTTTTTGGTAATAATTGCTTTTTTCCAGCCCAGGTGTGGTTTTGTTTGTTTTTTTCTATGTTTGTGGGTTTTTTTTCATCTGTACAAGAAATTTTGTTATGCACTACTACTTTTTGTATTCTAGACAGTTTTCAAAAGTTGGCAGATTTTTTTTTTTGTTTTTAAGGAAAAAGGCATGCTTTCTGACTGACATGATCTTTTGCAATACCTCAATTTTGAAATATAGGAAAGAAAATGATATTTTCTAAGTAAGTTTATTCAGAAAAATATATATTAATTTAATTCTGCAAGAAAATGATTTAACAGATGGGTAACTTTATTTTTTTCATGCTTATTTGTGTTTTTTGAAAATGAAGAAGTTAGAGCTTTATAACTATAATATTAAAGATCATATCTAACCTACAGAAATCTACCTAATTATGTGAAAGAAGCAAAACTTTTTGAAGAAGCACCCCTCTTTCATGTATTAAAATAACACTGAGATTTTTTTAAAAGCTGGAAGATTGTACAGCATAAAGCTAAAGTGAAGGCAAAAAACATTGTCCTGAAGAATAGGTTACAAAAAATAAACTCCATTTGGTGCTGAAAGTTGTGAATAGATGGTGGAAACTACTTTCCCTTAATTTGTATATTTCTAATCAAGTGTTGATTGTGCGCGACTGACCAGGATTGTGAAAGAGTTCTTCTGTTTGTATTTTTTTAAAGAGAACTTTTTTAGTTTATTAAATTATAACATGTTCCCTTTTGTTTTGTAAATAAATGTGCCCCCAAGTTGTTAATGTTATATTAAAAGAGAGGGTCCTTCAAAAAAATTATTTTTTAAAACACAGAGGTGTTCTGACCTGCAACTTGACTGGGAAGCCCCTGGGTAACACAGGTCCTGCTGTGGCCTTTCCTTGGTGTGACACTTGAACTAGTCGATTTTTTGAAGGCTATAACCTAACCTCGACTATTTGTTGTTATGTGCAATACTGTTTGTACTGTTTGTATAAAAAATAGAAAAAAAAAAGAAAAGAAAAAAGGCATAAATCTTTATTGCAGATTTATTTTCATTGCAAACTTTAGACATTGTGATTCACTGAAATCATTTTTCTACTGTCAAATATGTACCTTTTCTTCATGCTGGTATTTTTTCAATAGTAATGTAGCCTTTGTACTGAGACAAATTTTCATTGTTATTTTTAGAAAGATTTTTTGCTAAGAAAAAAATTAAACATATTTACATATTTTTCATTTTATTTCGTATTTTCTTTAAGGAGTGCTTTCTCAATCATTAATAGAGTTGTTTCTGGGAGGGACTTTCATATCTGGTCAATGTCATAATATTATTTTGTATTTTTATTGGAATAAATTAATTTTATGATGCTAATTCTTTAAAAGTTTATTTTTTTCATTTTCAGTTATTTTTGAAGCTAAAACCTTTGTAATATTGTTACTAAAGTGTCTAGTTTTTTGAAATGCAAAGCTTTATGTATTAACTTGCTGATGTGGTTTACAATAGTGTGACAACGATGAAAATGCTTGGTTATGTAAAGTGATTGGAAATGTAATGGATAATTGGGTAATAAAATGACAGAATGAGCAGAACATGTGAGATTTTGAGAAGCCTTTTCCTTTATCACAGTGGTTTAGTGTAAGACTAGGGATGTCACAGTGCAGTTCTCTAGGGATGTCACGGTGGATTTATACAACACCAGGTGCAGCCAAACCTGTGGCCCTGAGAATGAAGTCACCCAACCGAAGTACCACTGGGTTTAAAATCTGGCTAAGTCAACAGAATGTTTCATTGCTTTTTCCCCTCTAACTCGTCATTATGTCGTGTGTGTGTGTGTGTGTGTGAGAGAGAGAGAGAGAGAGAGAGAGAAAAACTGCCACCAACTGCTGTCCTTGTGTGAGACAGTGCCTTTCTCCCAGGCCGAATCTTTTATGTGCACTGACAGTGGTGATATCGGAGTCATACAGGAAGTTGCTAAGAGGACACGGCTTTCGTGGTGTACTGCAGACCTCACCTGCAGGGTCTCACTCATGCTGCCTCCCTGTAAGGCTCAGTTGGTGGCACTGAGGAAGCACACTCGGATGTCACCACTGTCTGTGGACCCTGACTATGTGTCGGGTTGCATCTTCCTCCACACCCATGCCTGCTTCCTGTTCTGGTGCCCCTTGCCTTTCATTGTGGCAACTGCGTGCATGATCTGTCTGCCTTTCTGCTGCTGCTTTTCCAACACCCTCCTCACCTGGAAGCTGGGCAGTTAAGGCACAGTCATTAATGTGTCATTGCAATAGCACCTACAGTCAAAGCAAAAACTACAACTGCAAAACTGGTGTTGCGTAAACAGAACAGCCAATGACTTGATCCAGATAGATGATATGTTTCTACTAGTGGTTGATGGCCTCTTTCAGCTCCATCGCTATGGAGGCGAGGTTCATCAATAACTCAGAGAAACTTGTGTCCAGAGTTGGTCTTGGGTATGCTCTATGTATTCAGTTTTGTAAATAATATATAGATTAGATCAAGTTGTGATGTAAAATTTTAACTCAAATTGGGTACTACTGGTTGGAATTTTACATTAACTACAAATAAATGATTAGGAACAGAAGAAAAGTGGAAAATTCTTGCTTAGTGGTATAAAGATTATGCTTAGATTTCTGCCTATATCTTGTGTTTTATAGCTTGTTAGTGAGGCATGGGCTAATGCAGAATGTACTGCATTTATGCAATTAGCAAATAACTGCTAGTTTTCATTTTATCTATTATATTAGCAACAAAAATGGCATTTAACTGGGTAAAGCTCCTACCTAAATATTTGAGTATTGTGACATCTCTACTTGCAAGGTTTGAGTGAAAGATTAGTCACAGATTAGTGAAAAAAATGTATCTTTTTGTTAAAACTGGCTTATTTGAATGGATTGTTGCTTTTCACTAGCTTGTATGGTATGTCAGCTAACATTTGTTTTTTTTTTTCTTTTATAATAACCAAACTTCTCTATCTCAGCTGCAATAGTGTTCCATCTTACCACAGAGTGTTTTATAATTAATGCTGTTGACTTTATACCCCAAAATGGGTCAAGAAGTGGCTACATGATTAGGGGATGTTTAAATTTGTATGACGACAAAGTTAATTGCAACAAGTAGAAAACTTGGGTGCTAACACAGGATAACTTCTGCTCTTTTTCTTTCCTGGATATAGTTCTGTTGGGGTATAAAGTATTAGGTATTTGTATTTTTTGCTGTCAAAATAATGGACTTAACTTTTAGAGTGTTCACAGCTAGGATCTCTGTATTTGTTTTTCAACTAACAACTAATTTTAAATGTATTGTATCTTTTATTACCTGTTCTCTTAGATTGTTTTTTGCTAGTAACCCTTACTCAGCTTCTGCCTTTGGGGCTTGGACTAATATTGCTTGTATGGAACTACAGTACTGTGACTAAACATGGAGCTCAATGCAGCTACTGCTTACAACTGCTTAAACTTTGTAGTTTGGACTTCATTTTTTTCTGTAATAACAACTTATTAAATCTAGTTGTATGAAGTACTGACACTTGTCATCCGTTGCATTTGCTGAGGAATAACTTGGAGTATATGGTTCACATCTGGGAACATTGGTGCATTCCAATTTGCTTAACTCTTTTTTTTGACAAATCCCTTTAAAGCAGACTAAGTACAGCAGAATTCACCCTTTCTCTGACACAAGTAACACTCGTTTATGAAAAACATGCAAGTATATTTGCAACAAAGTATTTGTTGACACATGTGAACACACCTTTTTAGAGGTGCAGTTGGGTTTTTATGCCAGACTTGCTACATGAAACCAATTCTCAAAATCGCAACCAAAACAGTGGAAAGGTAGGTGTGCCACTTCGCTTTATCTTTCACACCTGGCTCTCCGATTTTTCAGAAAATGCGTCTTTTAAAAATCCCTATCGATTTTGGGTGTGCTAGAAGCCATGTACTGACTAATCCATTTAGAAAACGGATCACAAGTGGCTGCACCAGCGAATCCCCTGCGGGGCCTTCAGAACAAGCAGGGACCAGCGTCCCCCCAGCCCGGTCCCCGAGACAGATTCACTTGGGTTAGGCTGGGGTCTGGCCACAGGTATTTTTCAACTCCCCGGCGATCACCCCCATGATAGGAAACCGCTGTGTCGGTGCCTCAGGCCCATGCAGCGCCTTCCTACGGCGGTCGAGGCCAGGCGCGCCCAGTACGCCTGGAAGAGGACGGGGCCGCTGGAGAGCCGCTCTGCAGAGCGACGTGGAGCGGCTGGGGGCGTCGGGTCTTGTCTCAGGCTCCCTCCCAGGCCGCCCCACCCATAGTCTCCCGCCCGCACCCTTTCGGTCCCCGCTCCAGGTCCCACGTTCTGCCCCTCCCGCACCCAGGGGCCCTGGCCTGGGCGGTGGCGCATTTCCTCCTGGCCGCAGCCCTGCAGGTAAGCTCACCCGGGCCGGTGACCCGCGCCCCTCCGTGCCACCGGGCCTGAAGGGCAGCTCAGGGCCCACCCTGGGGGAGTCGCTCCTGGCTCTGCGCGAGGCTCAGCTTTGCACGTTGCTCTATTCAGCACCAGCTTTCACCTGGCAGGGAGCAGGTGCCCCCTATTCACCTAGGGAAACCAGGAGGCTCAGCCCTTGTGCCGCTGGGATCGGATGGAACGTTTGGAGCTCTCTGGTCCCTTTGGTCCCCCTCCCCTGGCCCAAATGGAGAGAAAAATGTGTTTGAGCCCCTTTTAAGTCTGCTTTTATTAGAAATAATAACATACATTAAGGCCACAATTGGAATCCTACTTTCAGACGGCCGGTCTGACTAGGAGCACACATTTGTCCCTTGATTTAAAAAAAAAAAGAAAAAAGGTTCCGATGTCCTAACTGTTGGTGTGAAGACGGACTAGGTAAGTAAATAGTGCCATTATGACTACTAGTGTTTATTTCTAGCGGGGAAAATCAGTCGGTAGTCCTGGCGTTCCCTGTGCCTGAAGTCTGCAGCAGCCCCGCTTGCTAATTGCATGGCTGTGCGCGACAGGCCCCATGAGGTGGCCAGAGGTTATGTCTAAGGTCCCGGCTTTACCAAAAAGAAAACTCATCACCAGCAGCGCGGATGGACATTAAGCTTTAACACTGGGCCGTGGTGATGTTTCACTAGACCTTTGGCACATGTATGTGAAGCGATATTCACATAAGCACTCTCACGCTGGAGTCAAATTTTAAATATATGATTTTAAAAATATTTTAACGAGAACTGTTCTATAAAGGGTATTGATTAACGGGGTGAGGAAAGCCCAAATTGGTGGGTCCTACTGCCATTCAAAGGATTGTCAGGAGGAAAAACTCTTTCCTCTACCAGCTAAGTTTGATTGGAGGTCTGCTAATTAACTAAAAATTAACAAAAGACGAAGTTGATCCATACGCACATGGAAGTGCACAAAAGTGGCTTCTTCCTCCATAATTAGAGATAGGGGTTTATATAACCAACAATAAGGGAAAGAGGGGGAGCTCTCTCATAGAAAAGGGCATCTATGGGAAGATCAAGTGGTTTCTTTAGGAAATACAAATGAGTTTTAGGAGATACGAAAGTTTCTGGCGATGTTTGTTTATGCAGTTGCCAATGGTCTCCATCCCTTTTCTGCCCACTAAAGCTCCCTGGGAGGGGATTTACGGCAGCTTCTCTCTCAGAAGTTTCTGCCTTTATTCAGATAAAGGAAGCTCTGAAAAAGCTCACTTTTGCATCTGTTGAATCTCAAATGTCTTTAGTTTAAAATAATCTTTGGCCGGTGCTGTGGCTCATGCCTGTAATCCCAGCACTTTGGAAGGCCGAGATGGGTGGATCACTTGAGGACGGGAGTTCAAGACCAGCCTGACCAACATGGTGAAACCCCGTCTCTACTAAAAATACAAAATTAGCTGGGCGTGGTGGCAGGCGCCTGTAATCCCAGCTACTTGGGAGGCTGAGACAGGAGAATTGCTTGAACCCGGAAGGCGAAGGTTGCAGTGAGCCAAGATGGCGCCATTGCACTACAGCCTGGGCAACAAGAGCTAAACTCCGTCTTCATCATCATCATCATCATCATCATCTTCATCTTCATATCAAGTCTGGGGTTCCAAGTGGGTCCCCACAAGCTGGAGTGCTGCTGGTCACTGAAACGTAACTGAAATTTATCTATATTCAGTCCCATTACATAGTAGTATGAAGGGAATAAAATTGAGGTTTGGGCATTGTTTGTATTTAGATAAAGAGGACTTTGCTGTAACTGCAAAAGCACTCATCTCAACATTTAATTCTGGCCCTCACGGGTCAGCCCAAGTCATGTCATTTTCTTCTTTGCTGTTACTGGTCAAACCTTTGGGTAAGCTGGTTTGGGCTCAGCTGTTAAGTTTGTTTGTTTGTTTTTTGAGATGAAGTCTCACTCTGTTGCCCAGGCTGGAGGCTGGAGTGCAGTGGCATGACCTTGAGTCACTCCAACCTCTGCCTCCAGGGTTCAAGCGATTCTCCTGCCTCAGCCTCCCAAGTAGCTGGGACTACAGGCACCCACCGCCATGCCCAGTTAGTTTTTGTATTTTTAGTAGAGACAGGGTTTCACCATGTTGGCCAGGCTGGCCTTGAACTCCTGACCTCAGGTAATCCACCCACCTCGGCCTCCCAAAGTGCTGGGATTACAGGTGTGAGCCACCGCACCTGGTCTCAACTGTTAAGCTTAAGGGAAACATTCAACTTGTCACCTTCAGTGCAGGCCTAAACCAAATGACTCCCTTTGTAAGTGGAAGAAAAACTCCCTTGGCAAGTCTTAGACCCTAAGGTGATGAGTTGTGCACCTGGTCTCTTTTTAAACAGACAGGGTCATTTTGCTCAATTTCATTACTTATCATTAAAACCAAAGTGCAGCCAGGCATGGTGGCTCACGCCTGTAATCCCAGCACTTTGGGAGGCAGAGGTGGGCAGATCACCTAAGGTCAGGAGTTCGAGACCAGCCTGACCAACATGGTGAAACCCCCTCTCTACTAAAAATACAAAAAAATTAGCTGGGTGTGGTGGCGCATGCCTGTGATCCTAGCTACTCGGGAGGCTGAGGCACAAGAATTGTTTGAACCCGGGAGGCAGAGGTTGCAGTGAGCCAAGATCGCGCCACTGCACTCCAGCCTGGACAGGAGCAAAACTCTGTCTCTAAATAAATAAATAAACCAAAGTGCAATTCCAGTACATCCCCCACTAGAATGACTAACATTTAAAAGACACAAAATGCCACGTGGTAGGGAGGATCTAGATAAGTACTGGTAAAAGTGGAAGGTGATATGTTTAGTCCATTTTCTGCTGCTGTAACAGAATACCAGAGACTGGGTAATTTATAAAGAAAATTGTTTCTCGCCGTTCTGGAGGTCAAAAAATCCAAGAGCATGGCCTTCTTTCTGTGTCATAACGTGGCAGAAGGGCAACTGAGCACTCGAGACAGGGAGAGGTACCAGCGGCCAGACTTGCTTTGTAACAACCCACTATCATGATAACTAAGCCACTCTCTAGATAACAACACTAATCCCTTTATGAGGGCTCTGCCCTCACAACCTCATCACCTCTTAGGTCCCATCTCCCAACACTGTTGCATTGGGGATTAAGTTTCCAACACATGAACTTCTGTGGGCACACATTCAAACCACAGCATGGTACAGCCATTTTGGAAAACATTTATAAAAACTGAATTTGTCTATATCCTGTGACCCACTTTTTCACTCATTGGTGTATGCCCACCAAAAATATGTAGTATGTTCAAAAGACATGTACGAGAATAATCACAGCAGCAGTATTTGTACAGCCCCAAACTGAACGCCATCCAAATGGCCTACAGTATTAGAATGGATACATTATAGCATATCCACATATGGAATCCTACCCAACAGGGAGAATGAAGATCTACAACATGCCACATTACAGAAAGATCTCACACATTTAATGTTGGTCAAAATAAGCCAGACACAAAAAGAGTACACAGTGTATGATTCCATTTATATAAATGTGCAAAGGAGTAACTGCGAGGGGGCTTGAAAGCAGCATCTAGAGTGCTGGTGAATTTCTTGATTTGGGTGTTGGATATACAAAGTGTGTTCACTTTGTGAATATTCATTGAGTTGTACACTATGATCTGTGTACTTGTCTGTAAGTTTCAATGGAGCACTAAAACCAAACAAAACAGGAGCCCTGTGAAAGTTAAAAGCAGATATTGGACAAAATGGAATTTTCTTCCAAGCAACCTTCATATAATTCACTTTTTATACTCCTGAAAACCAGATTTCCTTTCTGGCTTGTCATTGCCACCAGATGCCCACCCAGGCTGGCCTGTTTTCCCAATCACCCCAACTTCAATTTCCTTGCTCCCAGTTTTATTCTCTCCCCACCTTCAGGTTCCTTTCTGTTCTTCCTTAAGCCTACCAACATCCTAGAGGGGTTTTTGAAAAAAAAGTTTAGACAATCTGGGAGAAGGCATGGAGTAAAGAAATAAAGTTAAAAATTTCATCCATTAATCTCTGCAGTTGATTCTTGAGTAGTGAGCATCAAACACTGAAAGCTAATGACTCCTGCAGTACGTATACTGATTTGCCTACACAGCATTTTTTTTTTTTTTTTTGAGATGGAGTCTTGCACTTTCGCCCAGGATGGAGTGCAATGGTGTGATCTCGGCTCACTGCAACCTCTGCTACCTGCCCCCGCTCCCACCCCCTACCAAGGTTCAAGCCATTCTCCTGCCTCAGCCTCCCGAGTAGCTAGGATTATAGGTGCCCACCACCGTGCCTGGCTAATTTTTGTATTTTTAGTAGAGACAGGGTTTTGCCGTGTTGGTCAGGTTGGTCTTGAACTCCTGACCTCAGGTGATCCACCTGCCTCGGCCTCTCAAAGTGCTAGGATTACAGGCATGAGCTACCATGCCCAGCCTATACAGCCTTATTTAACATCCAAGATCTATGGGCCCCACTTCTACATTATAGTCTGAGTAAACATTAATTTTGAAATAGATTCATATACAGTTGTAAGAAATAAGAGCGATCCCATGTATTCTTTACCCAGTTTCCTTCTAAAACTTGCAAAACTGTATTACAGGATCACAACCAGAATATTAACATGGATCCAGTAAAGATACAGAACATTTTCATCACCTCAAGGAACACTCAGGTTTCCCTTTTACAGTTACACCCACTTCCCTCCCATTGCACCCTTCTTTACCCCCGGCAACCACGAATCTATTCTCCAGTTCTGTAACTTCCTTATTTCAAGAATATTAAATAAATGGAAATAGCAATATATAACCTTTTGGGACTTTCATTTTTGGGCATAATTATCTGGAGATTCATCCCATTTGTATGTATCAATAGTTCATCCCTTTTTTATTGCCAAGTGGTAGTCTGTGGTATGGATGCACCAGTTTGTTTAACGATTTACTTGCTGAAGGACATCTGGATTGTTTCTAGTTTTGGGCTATTAAATAAAGCTGCTATAAACTGTCATGTACAGGTGGTTGAGTGAACATCTCTTCATTTTTTTCTGGGATAAATGCCCAGGAGGGCAACTGCAGGGTCATATGGTAGTCTGAAGTTTAAGAAAGTACAAAACTCTTTTCTAGAGCAAATCTACCATTTCACACATCCACCAAAATATGAGTGATGCAGTTTCTCTGAGTCCTCATGATTTGGTATTGTCACTACTTTTTATTTTGGTCATTCTGATAGGTGTGTGGTAATATCCCAATGTGGTTTTAGCTTCTATTTCCCTAATGGCTAATACTGTGGAACATTTTTTCATGTGCATATCTGCCATTTTTTATATCCTCTTCAGCAAAATGTCTCTATATCTATTTTCTGACTGGATTGTTTTTATCATGTGTCTTTTTTTTTTTTTTTTTTTTTTTTGAGACTGTCGCTCAGGCTGGAGTGCAGTGGCATAATCTTGGCTCACTGCAACCTCACCTCCCGGGTTCAAGTGATTCTCCCACCCCAGCCTCCCCAGTAGCTGGGATTACGGGTCTGTGCCACAACACCCAACTAATTTTTTCTATTTTTAGTAGATACAGGGTTTCACCGAGTTGGCCAGGCTGGTCTCGAACTCCTGGCCTCAAGTGACCCACCTGCTTCAGCCTCCCAAAGTGCTGGGATTACAGGTATGAGCCACCGCGTCAGCCCCTGTGGCTATTCTTTTTTTGTTGGTTTTTTTTTTGAGACGGAGTCTCGCTCTGTCGCCCAGGCTGGAGTGCAGTGGCACGCACCCACTACCACGCCCGGCTAATTTTTTGTATTTTTAGTAGAGACGGGGTTTCACCGTGTTAGCCAGGATGGTCTCGATCTTCTGACCTCGTGATCCGCCTGCCTTGGCCTCCCAAAGTGCTGGGATTATAGGCGTGAGCCACTGCGCCCGGCCAATTCTTAAGTTATTTTACAGAGCAATTTAAAAGTGCTCAAATGGTACCGAAAATTGATCAGATAGTACAGAGTTCCCCCAGAGCCTCTCAACATCCTTCCCCCAGTTTCTCCTATTATTAACATCTTCTTGCGTTAGTGTGGTCTTTTTTTTTTTTTAAATATAGCTGTGCTTGGAAAAGTAACAGCTAAAATGTGGTACATTTTTAAGGATCAGCAATTGTTTCATATGGATACATTATTATTAACATCCACAGTTTACATTAGGGTTCACTCTTTGTGCTGTACATTGTTGAGTTTTGACAAATGCATAATTTAACCACCATTATATAGTGTCACACAGAAGAATTTAACTGCCCTGAAAACCCCATGTGTTCTAGCTGTTCATCCCTTCTCTCTCCTCTGGACCCCTGGACTTTTGACTGTCACTATAGTTTCAGCCTTTTCCAAAATGTCATGTAGTTGGAATCACACAATATGCAGCCTTTTCAAACTGGCTTCTTTCACACAGCAGATGCATGTAGGGTTCCTCCGTGTGTTTTCCTAGATTCATTACTCATTTCTTTTTAATCACTGTATAATATTTCATTATATGAATGTACCTTTTTTAAAAATCCATTTACCTACTGAAAGACATCTTGGTTGCTTCTTGTTTGGTGCAATTATGAATAAAGCTGCTATAAATAGCCATGTGCTCAAGTTCTTATGCTCTGACAAATATCCATGTGCAGGATTTTGTGTGGTTCTTCTGCTCTGACAAAATAAATATCCATGTGTAGGATTTTGTGTGGACATAAGTTTTCAATTCATTTGGGTAAATATCTATGAGTATGAGTGCTTGACTGTATAGTAAGACCTTGTATTGCTTTGTAAGAAACTGCCAAACTCTTCCAAAGTGGCTGTACCATTTTGCATGTTTCTACCAGCAATGGGTTCCTGTTGTTCTGTATCCTTTTCAGCATTTGGTATTGTGTTTTGCATTTTCACTGTTCTAAGAGGTGTTTAGTGGTATCTGGTGGTTTTAATTTGCAATTCCTTAATGATATGTGACATATAGCATCTTTTCATATGCTTATTTGCCATCTGTGTATCTTATTGGGTGAGGTGTCTGTTCAGACCTACTGCCAATTTTTTAACTGGGTTAATAGTTTTCTTTAGTTTTAAGACTAAACTCAAATTTTTGCAAAATTCGGATACAAGTCCTTTATGTGTTTTACAGATAGTTTTCTGTTTGTGGCTTTTCTTCTCATTCTAGTGACAGATTTTTTTTTTTTTTTTTTTGAGACGTAGTCTTGCTCTGTCGCCCAGGCTGGAGTGCAGTGGCATGATCATGGCTCACTGCAACCTCTACCTCCCGAGTAGCTGGGACTACAGGCATGTGCCACCATGCTCGCCTAATTTTTTTATTTTTTACTTTGTAGAGATGGGGTTTTGCCATGTTGGCCAGGTTGGTCTTGAACTCCTGCCCTCAAGTGATCCACCTGCCTTGGCCTTCCAAAGTGATGAGATTACAGACGTGAGCCACGGCACCCAGCTTAGCATCTTTCACTTAACAGTTATTTTCTTTCACAGATGGTGTCTTTGGTGTTGTATCTAAAAAGTCATCACTAAATTCTAGGTCATCTAGATTTTCTTGTATGTTATTTTCTGGAAGTTCTATAGTGAGGATTTTTGCATTTATGTTCATGAGAGATATTGGTGCATATTTTTCTTGTAATGTCTTTATCTGGTTTTATATTAGAGTACAGTAGTTCACAATAGTCCCCCCGCTTATCGGTGGTGAATATGTTGACCCCCAGTGGATGCCTGAAATCACATAATACTGAACCCTATATATACTATGTTTTCTCCTATACATACATGCCTATGATAAAGTTTTTTAATTAGGCACAGTAAGAGCTTAACAACTACTGATAAAATAGAAGAATTATATTGTTATGCAAATGTGGTCTCTCTCTAAATCTTTGCCATACCCACCCTTCTTGTGATGATGCAATGATAAAATTCAATGAGGGGAAGTGAGGTGAATGGTGTGGGCACTGTGATGTATGTAGCCTTAGGCCACTTTAACCTGATGATATTAATACCTCAGGGGGATCATCTGCTTCAGGTGATCCTGGATCGTCAAGCTGTAATGGTGTTGATGGCTGGATGTCAGGAGCAGACAATATCAGCCACCATGGGTGGTAATGTATACAGGTTATGAATATCCTAGACAGGATTATTCACACCCGGGTGAAATGGAGCAGGATGGCAAGAGATTTCATGAAGTTACCCAGGATGGTGCTTAAACTTACAAATTGTTTATTTCTGCAACTTTCTATTTAATACTTTCAGACCACAATTGACCACAGGTAACTGAACAAGAGGAGGCCAGGCACAGTGGCTCATGCCTGTAAACCCAGCACTTTGGGAGGCCGAGGCAGGTGGGTCACCTGAGGTCAGGAGTTTGAGACCAGCCTAGCCGACATGGTGAAACCCTGTCACTTCAAAAATTAAAAATACAAAATTAAAAAATACAGAAATTAGCTGGGCATGGTGGCACGCACCTGTAATCCCAGGTACTTGGGGGGCTGAGGCAGGAGAATCACTTGAACCCAGGAGGCGGAGGTTGCAGTGAGCCAAGATTGTGCCACTGCACTCCAGCCTGGGTGACAGAACGAGACTGTCTCAAAAAAAAAAAAAAAAAAAGAAGGAAAGAGCAACCATGGATTGGTGGTGAGGGAGATGCTTCTGTAATGCTGTTCTCATACAACGAGCAGGAAAGAATTCCTTTGGCGTCTATCTTCTGGAAGACACTATAGAGAATTGATATCATTTCTTCTTTAGATGTTTGGTAGAATTCATCTCAGTCTGGAGCTTTCTGTTTCAGAAAATTGATTCAATTTCTTTAGTATATATGGGCTCAGATTATCTATTTCTCCTTGTGTGGATTTTAGTAGATTGTGCCTTTCAAGGAACTGATCCGTTTCATCTGTTGTCAAATTTGTGGGCAGAGTTGTTAATCCTATTCCTTTATTATCTTTTGAATACCCATGTTCTCAATAGGGATGGCCTCTCTGATATGAGCAATGTCTTCTTTTTTCTTTGTTAGCCTGGTCGGAGATTTATCCTTTATTGATTTTTCTTTTTCCTATTTTCAACATCATTTTTTTTTGCTCTAATTTTTATTTTTCTCCTGTTTGCATTAGTTTTATATTACTCTTCTTTCTCTAATTTCCTAAAGTGAAAGCTTAGGTTTTAGATCTTTCTTCATTACTAACTGCATTCAATGCTATACATTTCTCTCAAGTGCTTTTACCACATCCCATCAAGTTGTATTTTCACTGTCTTCAAAATATTTTTAATTTCTCTTGAGATTTCTTCTTTGACCCACATGTTAAACCCCCAAATATTTGGAGATTATCCGGCTATCTTTCTGTTAACTGATTTGTAGTTTAATCCCATTGTGTCTAAGAGCATACTTAAGTTTGTTGAGGTGTGATGGACCAGAATATGGTCTACCTTGGTCAGTGCTCCATGTCAGCTTAAGAAGTATGTTTACTCTTCTGTTGACTATTGTTCAGAAAATCCTAAGGATTTTCTGCCTGTTAGATCTGTCAATTATTGAGAGAAATGTGTGAAGCCTCTAACAGCAGATTTATTTCTCCTTGCAGTTCTGTCCATTTTTGCCCCCACATATTTGGATGCTCTGTTAGGTGTGTACACATTAAAAATTGTTATTTTCATGGAGAATTGGTCCCTTTATTATATAATGCCCCTCTTTATCTCTAATAATTTTGTTATTAATTCTTTGAGCTATCCCAGCTTTCTTTTTGTTAGCAGTTTTCTCGATCTCTTTAATTTTTTAATTGAAGTAAAAAAAAAAAAATTACCTTAACCACTTCTAAGTGTTCCATGAACATGGTACATCTATTTTTGAAGGTCTTTTTGATTTATCTGTTGTATAGTTTTCAGCAGACCTTTTACATATTTTGTAAAACTTTTATCTACTTCCTGGATTTTGTTGCTTGCTAAATCACTTAATTCTAGAAGCTTTTTTGGTAGATTCTTTGGGATTTTCCACCCGGTCATGTTGTTTGTGAATAAAGCAAGCTTGCTTTCTTTCTAATCTGTATTGTCTTCATATTTTTACTGTTACCATACTGGCTAGGATCTAAGGTATATTGTCGGAGCACAGAAAGAGGACAGTATGTATGATTTCAATTTCTTGAAATTTGCCAGAAGTTATGGCTCAGCATAATGGTCACTTTGGGTCCATGTTGCCCATGAGCTTCCAAAGAATGTAGAATGTATTCTGAAGTTGTTAAGTTTCTCTCAGCTAGGTGCAATGGCTCACACCTGTAATCCCAGCACTTTGGGAGGCCGAGGCAAGTGGATCACCTGAGGTCAGGAGTTCAAGACCAGACTGACCAACACGGTGAAACCCCGTCTCTACTAAATACAAAAAATTAGCCAGGCATGGGGGTGCAAGCTTGTAATCCCAGCTACTTGGGAGGCTGAGGCAGGAGAATCTCTTGAACCCAGGAGATGGAGGTAGCAGTAAGCCAAGATTGCACCATTGCACTCCAGCCTGGGCAACAAGAGCAAAACTCCATCTCAAAAAAAAAAAAAAAAGTCTCTCTCTCTGTCTCTATACACACACACACGCACATATATACACACCTATATATGTGAGTATAGATATGAGTCAATTAAATCACACTTGTTCACTGTACTAAAATTGTCTATATCTTTTTGCATGTTTTCTTCTGGTCCACTTGTTTTATTGAGAGAGGTGTGTTAAAATCCCACTATGACCTTGGACTTGTCCATTTCTTTTTGTAGTTTTGTCCATGTTTTTGAAGTGCGTATTAATTTAGAATTGCTTTATTCTCCTGGTTAACTGAATCTGTTTTTTTTTTGGATGTATGTTTTTTGTTGTTGTTGTTTCTGAGACTGATTCTCACTCTGTCGCCCAGGCTGGAGTGCAGTGGCGTGATCTTGGCTCACTGCAGCCTCCGCCTTCCAGGTTCAAGCGATTCTCCTGTCTCAGCCTCTCAAGTGGCTGGGGACTACAGGTTTGCAGCACCATGCCCAGCTAATTTTTTGTATTTTCAGTAGAGACGGGGTTTCGTCATGTTGGCCAGGCCATTCTCAAACTCCTGACCTCAGGTGATCTGCTGGCCTTGGCCTCCCAAAGTGCTGGGATTACAGGTGTGAGCCACCACGTCTGTGCCTGAATCTGTTATCTTTAGGAGATACCCTCTACTCCAAGTAATACTTTTTGCCCGAAGGCTACTTTTTCTAAAATTAATGTAACAATGCCAACTGTTGGCTGCAGTATCCTCCTTCCTCACTCGTCTTTGAGTTTCTCCCACTGTGTCTAGTACATAGTAGGAAACAATCAGTAAATGTTCATATGACTGACAATTTTTATTCTTAAAATGTGAAATAACCATATGTGTGATTGTTTTTGTACAGCCATAAACAATATTTTGTTTTTGATCTTCATCTAAATGGACTCAAAGTATACTTTTTAAAAACTCACTGCTGTTTTGAGATTCAACAATGTTTTATTAGTTACTCATTGACTCTTACTGCTCTATAGGATTCCCATTATATAAGTAAACCCCAGGAGCTCTCATGCAGTCCCATACCTTAAAATACTGTCTTCTAAATTTCTCTCTCTAGTCTTGACCTTTTCTTTGAGTTCCAGACTCCTATATCTGCCTACCTACTCTGTATCCTTACTTTGATGCATCTAACAGGCACCTCATATTTAACATGAACAAAACAGAATTCTTGACTTCCTACTTTCCACCTCCACCCATCCCCTAATACTCCCTTTTCAGTCTTCCCCATCTCTCCCATAATACATATACCATTTACCCAGCTGTACCAGAACCAAAACTAAGATGGAAACACATGTGGTTTTATGTTGAGGCACAGCAAGGAGGACATACTGACTTGATTGGAGGTAAACATAGTGGGATATGACAAGAGACAAAGTCAGAGGGATGGGCAAGGGCCACAACTTGTAGGGCTTATAGTAAGGAATTTTGATTTGGTCTGAAGATGACAGGACGACACTGGTGGATTCGGCAAGTAAGAAGACCAGTAAGATGACAGTAGTCTAGGAGAGGCAAGGTGGTGGTGGGAAAAGTTGTAACCAAGCGAGTCATAGAGAAACGCCACACTTTGAGACTAATTCAGGAGTCCTTTATTAGCCGGCGACCGAGAGACAGGCTAGCGCTCAAAATTCTCTCGGCCCCGAAGAAGGGGCTAGATTTTCTTTTATACTTTGGTTTAGAGAGGGGAGGGGGACCCTAGCTGTAGCAATCTTACAGAAGTAAAACAGGCAAAAAAGTTAAAAAGACAAACGGTTACAGGAAAACAAACAGTTCCAGGTGCAGGGGCTTTAAATTCATCACAAGGTGATAGGTGTGGGGGCTCTGGGTGATATCTGCTGGACACAAACGCGGGGGCTTTAGAGTACTATCACCTGAGCAAATTCCTGGGCACTGTGGACATAGCTTGCTTGCCACAGTACCTTATCAGTTAATTGCACTCTTTGATGTGCTGGGAGTCAGCTTGCACAAGTTAAGTCCTTGAGGAAGGGGGTGGGTAAGGAGCCCTTAATGTCTTGCAAATGAAGGAGCCAAATGGAATCCATCTGGCTTTCTCAGCTAAGAGAGAGTCAATCAGGTTAATACAAGTTACGGTATCACAGAACTACAGTAGTAGCAGTGGAGATGAAGACAGGTGAAGAGATTTGAAATATATTTTGTAGCTAGAGATGGTAGAAACTGTTGATGGATTAGATGCAGGGACATATAGAAAATAGTCCTAAGAGTGACTTGTCTCTGTTCCCATGATCTCCCTTTCCTTCTGGACCTCCTAACAAGATTCTCTTGTTCAACATTCCAGTTCACAAATTCTCTCTTCAAATGTGTGTAAAATGCATTGAGAACTGTTTCTCATTTATTGGTTTTCAAATGTCTAATCTTTCATAGTATTTTCCTATCTGTTTTATGATTTATTTTATTTGTACTTCTTAAAGAATTCTACTTTTATCTGCTGGCTTTTCCTCCTGTAGATGGTATGTATGTAGGCTTAATCTTTCCTTCTATGATAATCCTATGGGACCCTATTAGAAACTCTCCCTAAAGGGCAGTTTTTGTATTTGTTTCTGCTGGGGTGCCAGAATTGATTTTATTTTCTTGACTTGTGGTTCTTACAGTATAAAACACTTAGCATAAACCCAGACCTTACACTTACACCCATGGTAAAGGCCTGGGATTCTGATTTCATATAGATAACTTTGTGTGTGTGCTCACGGATCTAGTCCTACTTGAATATGTGATCTCTTTGCAGGTTTATGGAGGGGACTAATTCTCCTTGTCTCTACATGGAAATTAGGATCTCAGCCCCTATATTTAATGGAACTTCACTGGTTTTAGTGGATTTATTATAGATTCATAGGAACCCTTTCTTGAAGCAGGAGGTACTTTGTATCTCTTTACAGATGGTGGTTGAAAGTGCTGTGTATAGGCTGGGCACAGTGGCTCACGCCTGTAATCCCAACACTGGGAGGCCGAGGCAGGTGGATCACCTGAGGTCAGGAGTTCAACCAGCCTGGCCAACATGGCAAAACCCTGTCTTTACTAAAAATACAAAAATCAGCTGGGCATGGTGGCAGGTGCCTGTAGTCCCAGCTACTCAGGAGGGCTGGGGCAGGAGAATGGCTTCAACCCTGAAGGCAGAGGTTGCAGTGAGCCAAGATGGCACCACTGCACTCCAGCCTGGGCGACAAGAGTGAAATGCCATCGCAAAAAAAAAAAAAAAAAAAAAAGAAGAAAATGCTGTGTATAAAGAGGAAACATTTTCTATTAATTGATATAACTCAAGTTTTTGTTTTATTGATTCACTTGATGATTCACTTGAGTCCTCTAGCATCTGATAACAGGTGTACCTGCAATCAAGTTCACATTATTATTATTATTTTTGAGACAGGGTCTTGCCCTGTCACCCAGCTAGAGCACAGTGGTGAAGTCGTAGCTCACTGCGACCTCAAACTCACCTCAGCTTCCTGAGTAGCTGGGACAAGAAAAGCATGCCACTGTGCCTGGCTAATTTTTGTATTTTTTTTGTAGAGACAGGATCTCCCTATGTTGCCCAGGTTGGTCTTGAACTCCTGGGCTCAAGTGCTCCTCCTGCCTTGGCCTCTCATAGGCATAAGCCACCGTGCCCAGCCCAATTTCACTTTAGACTCCACTGGTGCCAGCATGGGAGGTCTGCAGGACATAGAAGATTCTATTAGGATTAAATATTTAGAACAGATGTGTGATGGAGTGCTTGTTACTTTTGTATAATTTCTATTATGTTCGAATTCCACTTTTGTCTATAAGTGATCACATTCTCAAATAGCTTCAGTGGAATATTTACTTTTGAATAAGTAAGTTCATATAAACCATCCAGAAGGAATAAGGCTATACCAGTTCAATCAGTCCCAACATCAAAGACTTTTACCCTTTCACTAGAATACTTTTTGGAGAAATGTTTGTAGAATAAATAAGCATATACAATAAGCATATATATGAGTGAATATATGAAACAAAAATTATACCCAGGCCCCCAAATGTTAAGATTTTCCTACAAGAAACCCAAATGATAAGACTAATAATCTCTGAATCTATATTTTTAACAGTTTGCTATTTCCTATCATAAAGACACAAAAACCAAGGGAAGTAGTACAATGGATATCTATGAACCCAATTCCCAGTTTAAAATAGTTAACATTCTATCATGCTTGTTTGACTTCCCACACCCATACATTGAAAAAACTACCAAATCATCACATCCATGAAATTGACAGCAGTTCTTTAATATCATTCATTACTCAGTTCAATTCTCCACATCTCTTCATTATTCTTAAGATGTACTACAATGACTGGGTCATTTAATTAAGAATACTTAGTTCTTACCTGTTTACATGTTTTCCTTTCTATGGAAAAGTTGGAATGTGTGATTTACTATTTTACAACTCAAAAGATTATTTTAAAAATGTTATAGCCACTCTAAGTTTTCCTGTCAGCTCTGACTCCTGTTTCCCATTCAGAAGCAACCACACATCATTTTTCTAGTCATCCTTCTAGAAATACACACCTTTTGATTAAACTCTCAGAAAGTTTAAACAGCCTAAATATCTGACTTCTAGCTCTATCTGACATTTCAGATTGGGAAAAAGTACTAACTTTTATGGTGTGATTTCTTTTGCCCCTTCATAGCCCTTTAATGATATATTGCTCTGTACTTATTCTAAGAAAATATCAATTACTATAAGCTATGTTAAAGAGCTGGTTTATGGAACTAGCAAATAAATAGTTAATAAAAAAATATTCAACTCAAATATACTGAAATGTTCTACATAAAGTTTTGAGTTAAAATCCTAAACAATGAAAAAAAACCTGTATACCTGAATAATCTTTTGCTCTTTCTAGTGACCATTTCCTACAAATAACACACAGTTGCATATATTTTACAGTTTCAATCTTATATTTATTCTCTTGTGGAATGCTAGGTTTAATGTTACAGTATGGTTGTCAAAGCTAATGAAATGTGACAAATGTCTAAATGCTGCAGAACAGTATAATTTTAATTAAACAAAACACCTGTTATTGTACAGCTGAGGTCTGATGGTTGTTAAACTGATGCCTATGTGTATGGCCAGCCACAAACCTTGGGGATGTTTATTACCTGTACATATATATACAAATATATCCCATACATATGTATGCACACAGGCATGTATTAATTTATGCGTGAAACTTATAAAATTATATATACAAACACATACATGCACATCTATCTACATATACCTACCCTCACCATTGAGTAATCAGCCTCATGCCCAATTATTATTGCTGCCCAGTATAACTACATGATTTTAGTGCCAATACCAGGCACCTTTTTGGGTGCAGGATAGGTACATCTATGCATATAGATATGCATATTCATGTATGTTTGTGTATATAAAGAAATTCTCTCTCCCTTTTATGCTTCAGCCATGCATTACTACAATAAACAGTCTTTCCACTGTAGGTGTTGGAATTCTAAACAGTGTAAAATCTATTTCTGGAAAACTGTGTATGTTCATAGTTACAAAAAATATATTATATATATGATTGAAACCTATTGAGTACATATGTTATTTGAATCTGGCTATATCGTAGCCATTAGATAAATTAAAAAAAACCACCCTCTAAATAGGATGTTATGGTAGCCTTAAATATACCATTACCTGTATTTAGAATAGTTGATATTATATCTTAAAAGTTGAAAAAATGATGTTAAAGATTTGAAAAACACTATGCATCTGCATTAAATATATAAATGTTTCCACCAAGGGCCCGATTAAATTCATTGTCTGACATTTTCATGTTCTAAGACTGACCAATATCATAGTCATTATTCTTATATTCTTAAAATTATGGCTCATTAAGGCTTTTATAGAAAAAAAGCCCTATTTTAAATCAATTATAAAAACAAGTTCTATTTAAAAGAAAAAACATATACAAACACTAAAGTACTCATGGATATCATCCTGTACAAAGTGACTAAAGATAGGAGGCCTGTTCCCATTAAGAACACCTCCTGGTAGCACAAATAAACCTGGTTTGGTTCCTCTGCTCTGCAGCTTTTCAGCATGTAAAATTTAAACCATTTCACATTAACATTTAAATTTAATACAGTGCAAATATTTGAGAATAACTTGTTTCCCCCAGTGAAACAAGAGCCAGCATTATGCTGAATATTCTCCAGATCTATTTACACATTGAGTTAAAAGTTCACCATAAACTTAGAAATTTGCTGAATATCAGCAGAAATGTAACTGAACTAGCAGCAATTGCATTTACAATATTTGATAGTTACTTGAGAGAATGCATAAAATTTTCCAGGCTGTACTCTGAATCATACTGCTCTTGATCCCAAAGATCACTCAGGTTTTCAAGAATTGATTTCATACTTGCTTTCCCAGAAGTAGAGGTGTCAGCTTTTTCTGCTTTGCCATCCTTAAGAAAAATTGGCAAAAAAAAAAAAAATAAAATGAGAGGTTAACTTCACAAATTGTATTTTCCTTTAAAATCACACTTGTTTCTAATACAATTATTCAACAGAATTGAGTACTTCAAGTGATGGGGAAATTCATGATCTCCAAATACATTTATTTGTCAGTTTTTTATTTGGAAAGAACTTCAAAATTATGGAAGAATTATAAGAACATAACAAAGAACTTATTTGCTTTATCATTCTCTCTCCCCATTTATATATGTGTATGTATATATGGATGTCAGAAATATAGTTAGATATCAGTTTTTTCTCTGAACAATTTGAAAGAAAGTTGTAGACATCATGTCCTTTTATCCTTTGAGAGGAATCAGCATGTATTCCTAAGAACAAGAATATTCTCTTACATAACCATATAAAGATCAGATTAAGGAAATCTAACACTGATATTAAAATGTTCTAATATACAGTCTGTTTTCAAATTCTGCCAATTGTCTAAATAGTGCCTTTTATGGCAATAGGCCATTTCCCTAAAATATCCCTCTGAGCCCAGTTCTGGTCACTGAAAGTCACCCATAAGAATATTCCTTCAAACAGAATAAAAGCTATTTGAAGACGGCTATGCATGTTTCTTTGAGCCTTCTTTTTTCTATGTTAAACATGTCTCATTCTTTCAACTTTATCTTGACTTTCAATATGACATGATTGAAGAACCTGCCTCCATTCTGGCCACCAGGGACTTAATTTGTTACCATTTAAAATGTAGCTCCCCAAACTAGACATATTTCAAATGTGGTTTAACATACACATAGTATGGCAGAACGATTTTCTCTTACTTGAAAGTACACTTCTGTTATTACAGCTAGTTTTAATCATCATATACCCCACCATAATTTATACTAAGTATGCAGTGGATTTTCTGAACCTATGTAGGACTTTAAATCCAACTATATTGGTTTTACAATATTAGACTCACTAATATTTCCAAGTGGTGCATCCTTTTGATTATAGATTGTTATCTGATGTATTAGTTCCATCATCTGCAATAACAATGGCTACTATTTATTGAGAATCTACACTAGATATCCTTTCTGACTGCTTACATATATAATCTTACATCACAACCATGTAGTAAAATAGGTATAGAAGCTCAGAGAGATAATCTGCCTAAGGTAACCAGTTAACAGGAGGCAGGGCCAAGAACTCTCACCCATGAGTCTTACTGACTCCAGTGATAAGCTGTGCTTTAGCAGAAAAGGACTAAGGAAAGAAACCTTGTGGCAAGACACTGAAGACATCAATGAAAAAAAAAAATCAAAACTTCACACATCCCCTAGTATGCTGCAGAATTTATCTAGGCACCAAAAATTCCCTCCAGTGGTGATCTCATGGATACTAAAGTAAACGCATTTTGCTGCTCCTTTAATACTTTCAACTTAGCAGTCACAGGAAGCCTGTGACTCAAAGATACAACAAATTGTGTAAGTTCTTTACCTTATCAAGAGTAAACAGATCAAGAAGCTGATCAGTCCCCATGCTCTGCAAACTAGAATTCTCTTGGCTAATAACAGTATTCGCTATGTTCATCTTGAATTTCTGCAACCCCATTATTTTTTCTTCCAATGTTCCTCTGGTTATCAATCGGTATACGTTAACCACACGTTTCTGGATAAGAAAAACAGTTAAGCAACCGTAACACATATTATGCTTTGAGGTTCCAACGAGTCAGAGGGCTTGTAGACTTGTACTATTTTATACTACCTAATTAGGGTTGGATTTTTATTTTGTCTGGCCACATGAGCTCAAAATGTGTGCAGCAATCACAGAATATTAGGGATGAACAGTGATCCAGGTTTTCCTAAGTGCTAGCACCTCATTTAATGCATGAGGAAGTGATACCACAGAAGAGTTAAGTGATCTGTCCAAGGTCATAACACATGTATGTTAACACCAGAGCAAGAACTAAACCAAGGTTTCCTATCTTTCTGGGGGAGTATATTTTCATGCACAGGTTAACATCTGTGAGGTAAAATTGACTTTTACCTGCCCAATGCGATGGGCCCGGTCCATGGCTTGTAGATCTCGCATAGGATTCCAGTCATGCTCCACAAATACTACTGTGTCAGCGCCTGTCAAATTAAGTCCCAGGCCACCAACGTGAGTGGTAAGTAACAGAACGTCTATAGATGGATCATTATTAAACCTAAAAGTAGATAACAAAAATAAAATTAGTCCATTCTTAAGTCCTATAACAGAAACTGTTAATAAAAATTAAAGAGCACAAATGAAAATGCTGCTTTAAAAATCCACAATAGGGATACTTACATGATCATCTGAGAAAAATATCCTCTCAATATGTATAACGTTTTTAGTAAAAGAGGGCATTCCAAAGCTATTCAGGAATTTCATAAATACAAAATAAGGCAAACTGCATTGAATTTAGTAACATCAGGTAAGGACTAACTTGCAAAAATATAATTAAATGCTAATTATAATTAAGATAAACCCAACTATGAACCTTTAAAGTATGGGGACAGAGAAGTGTGAGAACAGGCTAGACTTTCATTCAGGGACGACAGAAGGTGAGAGTGTTAGGGTTGCTACTACTGTACTAGTCCTAGAAGACACTGACAAAGGATATCTAGTAACTTCTAGGAAAAAGAAAAAACTAACATTAAAAATAGCAGCTACCAAGCTACGATTTATTATCCTTACTACAAGTCAAGCAATAGTCTTTGTACTTTATATGCATTATTTTATTTAATTGTTACAATAGCTCTATAAGGGTATTATTACCAATATCCCTATTTTAGAGAGACTGAGGCTGTGTGAATGATAAACAGGCTCAAGAGAACACTGCTTAAATAGCAGAGCCAGGAGTCAAACCTGAGCCTGTCGGCTTCCAAAGTCCCTCCCCGGGTCTCTAACTTTATTGTGCCTAATGATCTCTTAGGGATGCTTGTTTTTTTTTTTTTTTTTTTTTTGAGACAGAGTCTTGCTCTGTTGCTCAGGCTGAAGTGCAGTGGCCCAATCCAATCTCTGCTCACTGCAACTCTGCCTCTCGGGTTCAAGTCATTTTCCTGCCTCAGCCTCCAGAGTAGCTGGGATTACAGGCATGTGCCACCACATCCAGCTAATTTTTATATTTTTAGTAGAGACAGGGTTTCACCATGTTGGCCAGGCTGGTCTTGAACTCCTGACCTCAAGTAATCCACCCACCTTGGCCTCCCAAAGTGCTGGGATTACAGGCATGAGTCACCGCGCTCAGCTGGGATGCTTGTTAAAAATGGCTACTCTTGAAGTCAGCAGCTTTGGGACTAAGCAGAACCTAGGAATCTGCATTTTTTTTTTAAAAAAAAAAGCAACCACTGAGATTTTAAAAGTAGAGGCTGCAGACCACATGTGAACACTGCACTCACCAGTTCTGCTTCCTAGCTGGGCCAGATTCCAACTTGTTCTCAGTGCACAAACAGGGATTAGGATGGAGATTTTAGCTAAGCCACTTGTTTGGTTCCTCTCACCCTAATTCTCCCAAAAAGGTAAGGGGGAAAGTAGTTATCCTTACTGTTGGTTGATGCCTTAAATTTCTTTCATGCTCTTCAGAGTGCTTTTCTATTACAGTCACACCCTTTTCATATGCTAAGCAAATAATCTATTCGATTATATTTATGTAGTTCTATAGTTAAAAAGGGGTTTATTTGGGGTGAATTACACAATTAAAAAAATGCATTTGCAGATATTTAGCCAATGAAAATATTTCATGGGGCAAACTTCTATGTAAGTAATAATATATTTATTTATGAATAAGAGTCTTAGAAGCCACTTACCGGGAAACAATGGAATGCCTCTGACCAGGAGGTATGCTGCCATCTAATCTCAAATAAGTGACAGAGGGCAAGTGAGGTTTGAGGAGATCATGCTCTACTATATCAAGCATGCTTTTCAGCTGACAGAATATCAGTATCCTGTGCTGGGCCACAACAGACTCTGTGCCACTCTCGGAAGTGCTGCCATTTCCCAAACCGCAGTCCAACAGCAACTTAGGAAGAAAAAAAAAAAAAACTACATAAGCGTTCAATAAAAGCAGAAAACTAATCTCACTGTGACATTCCTCTCTGTGGCAAGAAAAGGTTAAATGTACCTGAAATCTGGAAAGCAGATTAGCACTTTGGGCTGCAATCTGTCACCCTGCAGCACACTGAACTAGTTTTTGAGGTGCTCAGGCTTAGAGCTCCCTGATCACCTCTTCAGAAGTTTTCATTTAATTTTTTTTATAGACTCAAGATCTCACTATGTTGCTCAGGCTGGTCTTGAACTCCTGAGCTCAAGTGACCCTCCTGCCTCGGCCTCCCAAAGTGCAAGGATTATAGGCATGAGCCACCACACCCGGCCCAGAAGTTTATCTAATAACAAACCTACCTTCCTTTTCCTCAATCCTTGAGACTAAAGCCTCAATAAATGTTTATTGAAAGTAATGACAAAGAAGATGCCGCAGACAAACTGGTTCCTAAAGGGTTATTCAATAATGTATGAAGAAAACAATGGAGCAGCCACATTTGGTAGAAAAAATTATAGAAAAGAAGCATTTAGCTAGATGTGGATTCTTGACAAGACAGCTTATTACTCTATCTGTAGACCAAGATCTTTAATGGCAGAAACCACATTTTGCTATAGATCATTTATACTTATTCCTAAAGTGGTTCGGTGCCTTGCACACAGCAAGTGCAATTAATAAATGAGCGAATAAAATCCAAGAGAATCATGTTTAGATCAATTTGACAAACAGTATACCCAATAGTACTCTTCTTCATCCATAGTATTTGAGCTATTACTGAACTCTGTTCAAAATCTAAGAGCTGGGCCGGCAGTGGGGGCTTATACACCTGTAATCCCAGCACTTTGGGAGGCCAAGGCAGGCAGATCACTTGAGGTCAAGAGTTCGAGACCAGCCGGGCCAACATGGCGAAATCCTGTCTCTACTAAAAATGCAAAACAGCCAGGTGTAGTGGCATGCACCTGTAGTCCCAGCTACTTGAGAGGCTGAGACAGGAGAATTGCTGGAACCCTGAAGGCGGAGGTTGCAAAAACAAAATCTAAGATCTTTTTTTTTAGAGACAGAGTCTCCCTCTATCACCCAGGCTGGAGTGCAGTGGCGTGATCTTGGCTCACTGCAACCTCCAACTCCTAGGTTCGAGATATTCTCCTGCTTCAGCCTCCTGAGTAGCTGGGATTACAGGTGCCTGCCATCACGCCCAGTGAATTTTTGTAATTTTAGTAGAGATGGGGTTTCGCCATGTTGGCCAGGTTGGTTTCGAACTCCTGACCTTAGGTGATCTGCCTCAGTCTCCCAAAGTGCTGGGATTACAGGCGTGAGCCACTGTACCGGGCCAATCTAAGATCTTCATGCAGGATGATTTCTCCTTTCTACTAACAGAAGTTACTCAAAACACCAAAAGCTCTGATAGGAAAGATAACCAAAAGGCCATCCAGGCAAACTCCAAACTCAATGTAAAACACTTAGGATGTTGTATAGAAAAGGACACTGTTTTCCTCAGAAAGTCCTCTTCGTAAGGTTGAAATTTGGAACCTGGATTTTAGGAGTCTTCCCATCAGTCCCTAACTGGTAATGATAGTTTACTGTGCCTAAACTACTGTGCAAATAATATGATTTAGGCTGAAACCTGCCTTCTGAGGGTCTGGAATTTTGATCCATGCTAGGCAAAGGGAGTATATGTGACCAGCCCCCAGTAAAAACTTTGGGTACTGAATCTCTAATAATCTTCCCTGGTAGACAACATTTCACATCTATTGTCACAATTCAATGCTTGAGGAAGAACACATGTTCTCATTCTTCTACCTAACAGCCCTTAAAGTTTGAGATTTTTATTATATAGTAGAATATGGTATACTAGGGAGACATTCCTCCAAATAAACAAGTCTGATCGATGTAATTACCCCTACATCTTGCCTTAAATCTGCGATCAAATTACTATTCAGCTGTTTCTTTTAAAAAGTCCTATCTAAGGTGTCTCAGGAGAGACGTGACTATGTGGTACGCAGTATAAATAATGTATATTGGCTGGGCATAGTGACTCATGCCTATAATCCCAGCACTGTGGGATGCTAATGTGGGAAGACTGCTTGAGGCCAGGAGTTCCAGACCAGCCTAGCCAACATAGGAAGATCCCATCTCTAAAAAACAAAACAAAATTAGCCAGGTGTGGTAGCGCACACCTGTAGTCCTAGTTACTTGGGAGGCTGAGGTGAAAGGATTGCTTGAGCCCAAGAGTTTGAGGTTGGAGTTATGACCACACCACTGTACTCCAGCCTGAGTGACAGGGTAAGACCCTCTCTCTAGGAGAAGAAAAAAAAAGTGTTATAAGTGTGACATCCTATACAGATCCCATAAGAGTTCCAGAGAGTGAAATTTTATCAGAATGTCTGTGTCATGCACACTCAATTATCTCAGTTCCATAGGCAGCAATGTCAAAACCTTAAAGATAACCAGTTATATTAAGAATATCCAACTAGGACTTCTCCAAGACCATACTTACCAGACATTCTTCCTAATGTAATCTTTCCCTGGTGCAGCTATCCTACTGAATATGTGGACATATCATTTGACGTAAGTATCTCTGTCTGGTAGCAGAATTGATACTCTGGTATTCTCACTAATCTATAACCCAAGTCTGCTCTGAGAGACTGATCGAGTTCAGGGCCTTGAAAAGTTGATTACTAGACTCTAGCAAATATTTACCAAGGCCATCTAATAATGGGTGTTTGAGAGGTCAGCTGACACCCCAGAGAGCATTTCAATTTTATCTTGCCCTAACTTCAGCATAGGCTAAATTACCCGTTTTTTCAATCATTCCTCATATTAAATGGCTTCTAGATGTTTTACCATTTTGATCTTCCACTTGTAGTGGTCAAAACTATAAAACTCAAAATTTGGGCCAGACACGGTGGCTCACACCTGTAATCCCAGCACTTTAGGAGGCCCAGGCAGGCGGATCATGAGGTCAGGAGAGCGAGACCATCCTGGCTAACACGGTGAAACCCTGTCTCTACTAAAAATACAAAAAAAAATTAGCCGGGCGTGGTGGTGGGCATCTACAGTCCCAGCTACTTGGGAGGCTGAGGCAAGAGAATGGCGTGAACCCAGGAGGCAGAGCTTGCAGTGAGCCAAGATCGCGCCACTGCATTCCAGCCTGGGCGACAGAGCAAGACTCTGTCTCAAAAAGAAAAAGAAAAAAAAAAACAACTCAATATTTGTTCTGACTAGTATGAAATACAGTGAAACTATGATGCCCCCATTTTGGCCGTTATATAGTTATTAATCCCAGCCAAGATCCTATTAGTTTTATTTACTGGCAACTAATTCACACCGTTCTTATAGTGAATTTGCCATCAAATCAAACTCAACTTTGCCTCATATAAAATATTTGCTAAGTCTCACATAGTCAAAATACACCTAAGTGTTTTCTTTTAAAACTGACTCTGCTTATCTCCATTAATTTCACCTACAGTTTTAGTTCTTCATTACAGCCTCCTGGAATTTTTCATTCTAGCTTTGGCAATATTAGATACTTCTCCCAGCACTACTTGCTGATAAACATGTTTCTACCAACAGATTTTTAGAAAGCAAGTAAGACTTCTCCTCTAACTTCACAGCATATACATATTTAGATTTAAAAAATAAATTTATCCTTCCTGAGACAGAACCTTCACTCTGGCTGAAAAGAACCAAGAAAATGGATAAGAAGGCTACTAGAAAAGTCTTCCGTGAGGACAGCCAGAAAAAATCTGGGCCTCTTTAAGTTGCAGACTTCCTAAGCATCTTAATTCGAGATGTGTCAGGGTGACAAGAAGCACACTCTAAAATAAGAGATCAATGTAATTAGCAACTGCTGGGAAAAAAAAAATCTGTAAGAACCTATGTAAAATTCAAATATGGATGAAATTCAATTTTTATTTTGAAAATAGATCTAATTAGAGGATTCCTTGACTAAGTATATCTTACAGCTTTACCTAATATACTAGCTATGTTAGGAAAACCATGAACATTCTATATAAAGACCTACAGCAAGGTTTGGTCAAACAAGAAAACCATTCCATATATCTAAAGGTAACAATCATTCTTCAGTTTTACAGTGTGAAAGTTCATAGTCCATTTTACGTTTAGTGATGTAAGGATACATATTTGGATATATATGCCAGATACACTATTAGATAACATTTTCCACACTAACCTATGTGGAATCTAAAATCTTCATTCATTAGTTGTTCTCAATGAGCTTTAGGCCAGAATAACTACTGACCACAAGCTAAAACAATTACTAAAGTCTAGATTTTACAATAAAATCTTCGTTTATAAGGGTAGTTAGAACTAAATGGCATAGTGCTAACATTTTGGTGCTTGAAATTGTTTCCCTTAATCTTTTGAAATCCTAGAATTTTTAAAAATTAATTTTTAAAAGCAACACCAAGAGGGTGACATCAGCAAAATGATAGAGTATGCAGTTCCAAGTAAAATAAAGAAATCCACATCGACATGAATTATAAACTGTTTAAAGACAAAGAACCTTGAAAGCAGCAAGAAAAAAGCAAATGGTCATGTAAAAGGGATCTTCAATAAGATTAACACCTGATTTCTCATCAGAAACCATGGAAGACATTATCAAGAAGTAAAAAGATAACCTATAGAATGGGAGAAAATATCTGCAAATCATATGTCTGATAAGGGTTTAATATCCAGAATTATAAAGAATTTCTCGGCAGGGTGTGGTAGCTCATGCCTATAATCCCAGGGCTTTGGCAGGCCCAGGTGGGAGGATCGTTTGAGGCCAGGAGTTCAAGACCAGCCTGGGCAACACAGTGAGACCCCCATTAAAAAAAAAAAAAAACAGCAACAACAAAACAAAACTTTCACAACTCAACAAGGTGAAATAAGCCAATCAAAATGGGTAAAGAACTTGACTAGACATTTTTCTAAAGAAGATATGGAAATGTCCAATAAGCACATGAAAAGATGCTCAACATCATCAGTCATTAGGGAATAGCAAATCAAATCCACAAGGAGTTATCACTTCATACCTAGTAGGATGACTATAATTAAAAGAAATCAACAAGTGTTGGCAAGGATATGAAGAAACTGGAACCCTGGTACATTGCTGGTGGGAGTGTAAAATGGTGTAGTCATCGTGAAAAAGTTTGGCAGTTCCCGAAAATGTTAAACATAGAAATGCTGTATGACCTACCTATTCCACTCCTTAGTCTCTAGCCAAAAGAACTAAAAAGAGTAACTCAGATAGATACTTGTAAGCCAATGTTCACTGCAGCATTATTCATAATAGCCAAAAGGTGAAAACAACCCAAGTGTCCACTGACACAGAAATGGATGAATGAAATGTGCTATATCCATAAAACTGACTAATGAATAAGCCACAAATGACAAATATTTTATGATTCCACTTAAATGAAATATTTAGAACAGGCAAATTCATAGAGAAAGTAGATTAGAGATTACCAGGGGCTAGAACAAGGGAGAATGAAGAATTATTGCTTGATGAATATAGAGTTTCTGTTTGGGTGGTGGAAATATTTTAGCAGTAAGATAATGCTGATGGTTGTACAACATTGTAAATATAATGCCTCAGATTTACACACTTAAAATGGTTAAAATGGCATATTTTGTGCTGTATATATTTTAACCACATTTTTACAAAAAGCTGTATCAAAAATTTAACCAAATTTAAAAATAAATGGTAAACACAGTAGTAATCTTTAAGAAAAGCAAATTTACCAAGAATTTATATTCCTGGGGTACAACACACATTTAACACTTAAAAGACATACATACTTGTTTCAAAGCTGAGAGCTTAGGGGCATGTTGAATATCATGTAGAGAAGAATTCTGAACTGCCAGTTTTTCGGCAGTGGTCTTGAATTCTGGATGTTGAGGTGTTAAGACTAATGCTGGATGGTTGCACAGTTTACGTAAGTACTGTAATGCCTTCAAGAGGAAAAAAAAAGTATATATGAGTCAATTTCGCATATCACAAATATTTTTATCTCTGTATCTTTCCCTATGCTATTTCCTATGCTGTTTAGAATGCCTTTCTCCCTCTTCTTGCTCGGCAAACTTCTACTCATTCTTCAAGAACCAGTTCAAATGTCTCATTTGAGATTCTTGTGCAGTTTCTATGCGGACATTTACAACGCGTATAAATTGTACTGTTTATATCTGTCTCCCCCACCAGACAATGAGCTTCCCATGGCAAATTGAGCGTCTTAGTTGTTTTCTTTAAAACCCTTTCCCACTCAAAGTACCTGGTAATGCAGACAGATGCTTCTGGAACCAGGGATCATTTTGGATACAAAAGTTGCTCAAACTTCAGTGAGTGTAAAAATTTCTGGCCGGGCATGGTGCCTCACCCCTGTAATCCCAACAGTTTGGGAGGCCGAGGTGGGTGGATCCTGAGGTCAGGAGTTCAAGACCAGCTGGCCAACATGGTGAAACCTTGTCTCTACTAAAAATACAAAAATTAGCCAGGCATGGTGGCATGTGCCTGTAATCCCAGCAACTCGGGAGGCTGAGGCAGGAAAATTGCTTGAACCCTGGAGGTGGAGGTTGCAGTAAGCCAAGATCATGCCACTGCACTCCATCCTGGGTGACAGAGCGAGACTCAGTCTTTAAAAAAAAAATTCTTGAGGACCTTATAAACCTGAAATTCTCTCCCTTCTACACATTATTCTGATTCAGTAGATGAGAGGAGGGGAGCAAGGAAGGGGACTGTCTCAAGTGGTTGTGTTTGTGAAACAGAACCTTATATGGTCTCTTCTCTGATTCAGCCACACTTTCTCTTCTGCCTCTTACTTGGCTTAAGATTTGGGTCTCAGCCTTGGCACACAGATGTTTTATTAGTAAGCTCCATTGGCAAGGCTCAAGACAGTGCTGAGCACTAGGATTAAAACTTGTGGGAGAGGCCAGGTGCAGTGGTTTGCACCTATAATCCCAGCTACTTAGGAGGCTGAAGAGGGAGGATCACTTGAGGCCAAAAGTTCAAGACCAGCCTGGGCAACATGGTGAGACCTTATCACTAAAAAAATTTTTAAAAATTAGCCAGGTGTGGTGGTGTGCACCTGTAGTCCTACCTACTTAGGAAGCTGAGGCTGAGGATCGCTTGAGCCCTGGAATTTGAGGTTGCAGTAAGCTATGATCCCACCACTCCAGCCTGGGCAACAAAACATGACCCCTTCTCTTAAAAAAACAAAACAAAACAAAACAAAAACTAGATCTTCACAACTATCTTTTCCTTCTTATATCTTTAAAAATGCTACAGTACTTAATCTATTAGCAGGAGGTTTTCTGTGGTGGACTATTCAAGAGGGAAAGATAAAGTGACACTTGCCACCTCTTTTTGCTATTCTCTCAAGCATATGAGGCATGATCTGACTTGAGACTTCTGTACTTTTTGTATCCTCTGCCTGGAATCACTTCCCCCCATACACCTGCATGACTTAATCCTCCTTCAGATCTTTGCTCAAATGTCACCTTCTCAGTGAGGCAGTCCCTAGCCCCTCGATTAAGAAACCACAACCTACCCTGGACTCTGATACACTATAACCACATTATTGGCTTTGTCTTACACATAATATATACCTAAGTATTTTTCATCTCTACAAGGGAAGGAGTCTGTTTTATCTGCTGTTTTAAGTAATCCCAGAGCTTTGAAAAATTACTGCCATGTAGTAGGTGTTCTAATATTTTTTGAATAAAAAAGCAAAAGATTCTCTATTCTAAAGCCCTTCTTTTCATGTAATATACAAACATATATTGCATTTTATACATTTAATTTTAATATTAAAGTGCTTATTAAGATATATTAAATAGGTATTTTAACTTATTTTCAAGAATGTATACATAATATTGAAACAAATATACATAGATCCGTATTTTATTATTCCATATAAAAAGTGCCTCATTAAAAATCATTATTCAACATTTAAAAAGTGGGATGGGCCAGACGTGGTGGCTCATGCCTGAATCCTAGCACTTTAGGAGGCCAAGACAGGTGAATCACTTGAGGTCAGGAGTTTGAGATCAACCTGGCCAACATGGCGAAACTCCATCTCTACTAGAAATACAAAAATTATCCAGGCATGGTGGCGCACACCTCTACTCCCAGCTACTCAGGAGTCTGAGGCATGATAGCTTGAACCCAGGAGGCAGAGGTTGCAGTGAGCCGAGATCATGCCACTGCACTCTAGCCTAGATGACAGAGTGAAATTCCATCTCAAAAAAAAAAAAAGTAGAATGTAATCTATACCTGGAATACGTGGCCTGTAGCTTTAAGCTTTGGTTTTTCAGTTTCTTCAGAAAGTGTAGCTGAAGAAACTGTTTCATCAACATCACACTTGGCACGAGACTTAGCAAAATCTTCATAGAGCTGAACCTGTAAAATGGCCCCCGTGGGAGAAGCTTTAAGTATATTTATTTTCAATTGTTCAAAACACATAACCAGCAAAGGCCAATAACAGCAGTAATTTAAATCAGCCCTCATTAATGAAAACAAATTGTGATATCTCTAATTCACTACAGGAATTACAGGTTATCCACTCCATCTTGGTAAATTCCTTTAAAATTACATTTAGAAAACAAGTATGAACACATTAAGTTCGGCTGCCAAAATATGAAAAATACAAGTCAAATAGTCCAAGACTCAATTTTTCTACTGTTCAGGAAAATAAATACATTACCAGTAAAAGAAAATCTTAGAAAAATTGAGTCTTAAAAAAGAAAAAAAGAAACTCTTAGAAGTAAATGAGAAAAATCTTCCTTAAATGAAGTTACATGATCAAGACCCTGTATGTATGTTTCAAGACACCAAATTTTACAAGAATGTTACTGCTAGCCTAAAAGGGGAACATATGTCAAGTTTTAAAGTACTACGCTGGGGTCTGGGTTCCTATCTTGTACAAGCTAAAATAATGTGAAAGAAAAGAAAATCTAGAGAGCTAAAGGACAGAAATCAGAGAATAAAAAATCTGTGAATGCTAAACAAAGCCAAAATGCCATTTCTCTTTGGAGCTCGCTTTCTCTAGATTGATTACTTAAATGCATTTTATGCCTATGTTACAGCACCACAACCAGTAAATCACCACAGATTTTTTTCACATGACATCTTTTCCTTATTGTACCTACTTTAAGAAGTCTTCATTTCATTACTTCAAAAATGTATTCCTTTCAAGAAATATTAATTTTTGCAAATGAAGGAAGAGGGACCTGAGAGATGAGGCAGATAGTACAGAAGAATCAAAGAACTCTCAACTTCTTATCCTGCCCAAGTTGAATAGATGAATACCTGTTAACAGGTTAACCATCTATACAATGGAGGGGGGAAAAGTAAGTTTCTGGGTATGTATATCTCTTATTCATTTGACCGTAGTGAATCAAATCCTAATAGTAAGATAGACTGACACATACAAACCTAGAACATAAAAAAATTTTCAAAGAGAAAATTCTGACCCAGAGGCCATGTCTTACTAAGACAAGGAACAGTTTCCATTTAATTCTTAGAAAAGTACAAGGAAAGGCTCACAATAAATTCCTTTAATAATGGTCTTTATGTACAAAATCAGAACTGTGCACAAGGCAAAATTTATTTTGAACATTTTTAGGTAATGAAATAATACTTCAAAGGGAATGAGTGAGGTCCCACTGACCAAGGTTTAAAACTCAGCTCTGATACATAGTCATGCACTGCACAAGGACATTGAGGTCAACAATGGACTACATATAAAATGGTCATCCCATAAGATACAATATTGTGTTTTTACCATACCTTTTCTATGCTTAGATATACAAATATAATTGTGTTGCAACTGCCTACAGTACTCAGTACAGTAACATGCTGTACAGGTTTGTAGCCTTGGAACAATTGGCTATACCATCTAGGTGTGTGTAAGTACACTCTATGATGTTTGCACAATGACAAAATCACCTAATGATGCGTTTCTGAGAAATCACCCAAGCCATTAGCACTGCACAATTGTGTATTAGCTCTATGACCATAGCCAAGCTATGTAACTTTTCTGAATGTCACTTTATTTGCAAAAATGGGGATTAATAATACCTATAATGTTGTGAGGACAGCATGACAACATTCAGAAGCAGATTTTTGGCCTTTATAAACATTGGCTTATTTCCTTAGCAATTTAATACCTTGCAATCTTTTCAATTAACTAGACACAAAAGAAAGCAACTGTAGGCTGGGACGGTGGCTCACACCTATAATCCCAGCACTTTGGAAGGCCAAGGTGGGAGGACTGCTTGACCCTGGGAGTTTGAGACCACCCTGGGCAACACAGCAAGACCCAGTCTCTACAAAACTTAAAAAATTAGCCGGGCATGGTGATATGTGCCTGCAGTCCCAGCTACTTGGGGGACTGAGGCTGGAGAATCACTTGAACCCGGAGGTCGAGGCTGCAGTGAGCCATGACTGTGCTCCTGCACTCCAGCTTGGGTGACAGAGTAAGACCCTGTCTCTTAAAAAAAAAAACTTAAAAAGCAACTATGATACTGAATTTTGTTTTAATGCTATATTCAAAATGCATACACTCAAACTTACATCCACATCATTTAGGCTTTATCTGCATCTGATAAAGCCAAAGGCTAAGCCCCTTTATTCAATAGTTTTGTGGCTCATACAAAACAATCTGCTAATAAACATACCACTAACAATGATAAACACGAGATTCCTAACCTGGAGAGGACTAAGAGTACAATAATAGTCTTGAATAATTTTAGGTGGAAGATCCTGCAAAACATCTTCTTTCATTCTTCTCAAAAGAAACGGTAGTACTTGGCGGTGCAGCGCATCCATAGCAAGAACACCTGTTAATAGTTAAAGAGAAAATGGCTTCAAAAAAGTTAAGAATAAATTATATTCACTTACACAGGGTTATAATTATATCTCTTTCATACCTGCTTCTTGCTCTCGACTGGAGCTTCGAGCATCCCTACTTGCTAATATAGGTTTACCATATCGAGCAGCAAACTGGCGTTCAGTACCCAAAAATCCTGGCATGAGGAAATCAAATAATGACCACAGCTCCAAAACGTTGTTCTGTAAACAGGAACACCAATTATCTTTTGTACTGGGATTATTTCCTTACAACTAAAAAAGTAACATTAATGAAAGCCCATTATTATAATCATATAGATGAGAGATTATCACTATATTTTTAGACATATGGTGTAAGTCTTTATTTTAGTGTGTAAAATTCAGGTCAGTATCCTTGGAGAGAATATTGTATCCTATCTGGGGGAAATCCTCAAGTCTCCTTCCCTAGAATAAGCCTTGGTCCACAGTGTTACAATTTACTGTTGGCATTTATGAAGTACTAAATAGAAGAGCAGAAAGATAACTTTCTGATTATTTTGACACTCAACAGCAAGATTTAAGGAATGTGGCCAATATCACCATTTCATCATCAACAACAACAACAACCTATTAGAATTTGGTTATAAGTCAAGCCCACTCAGTATTTATGGGCCACAATGCAAAGACACAGATTCTTTCCAATTCTACCATCGAAGTTTCATGGAAAAAAAGAAAAAGAAACCAGCACTTTTTCATTTCAGACGCTTTCCTGATAGGTGCAGGTCCTAAGGTACCCTTTTACCCACCTTCCCCTTTAAGAATCCCTCCTCACCCTGCTCAGTGGCTATCCTCTCATTTGGACACACTTCTAATCCTACTCAGGGCCTCTGCCCCCTGACTCTGGGCCACCATGGCTTTTGTAAGGAAGAGGAAAAGAAAGGGCCTTTAAAAAGCAAACAACTAAAAACCAAAAAACTTCTTCCGATGTCTGAACCAAGTAAAAGCAATAACATACTTTAAATTACTATGATGTTTCCATATAACTTCAAATTGAAGCACAATAAATCTTGATAATTCAGCCTAAAGAGGCTTTTTTCCCTTTTAATTATATTTTTAAGCTTTTTTTTTTTTTTTTTTTTGAGACAGAGTCTCACTCTGTCACCCAGGCTGCAGTGCAATGGCACGATCATGGCTCACTGCAACCTCCACCTCACGGGTTCAAGTGATTCTCTTGCCTCAGCCTCCTGAGTAGCTGGGAGTACAGGCGTGCGTCACCATGCCTGGCTAATTTTTGTATTTTTAGTAGAGATGGGGTTTTGCCACACTGGCCAGGCTGGTCTCAAACTCCTGACCTCAATTGATCCACCCGCCTCAACCTCCCAATGTGCCGAGATTACAGGCATGAGCCACCGTGCCCAGCCTTACATTTTTAAACTTTTGATAAATTTAGAAAGGCTTGTAATTATCTCTTGCGGTTATTAGAATCTGCAGTGTTTACTTAATGAACAGAACACTAACACTTGTGGCCCCAGCTACTTGGGAGGCTGAGGTGGGAGGATTGCTTGAGCCCAGGAGGTGGAGGTTGCAGTGAGCTGAAATCACACCACTGTACTCCAGCCTGGGTGACAGTGAGGCCCTAGGAGGGGAGGGGAGGGGAGGGGAGGGGGGGAGGGGAGGGGAGGGGAGGGGAGGAGGGGAGGGGAGGGGAGGGGAGAAGGGGAGGGGAGGGGGGAGGGGAGGAGGAGAGGGGAGGAGAGCAGGGGAGGGGAGGAGGGGATGGGAGAGAGGGGGGACAGGAGGGGAGGGAGGGGGAGGGGAGGGAGGGAGGGAAGGAGGGAGAGAGAGAAAGAGTAGGTAAGTACATAAAGAATCATCAGTTTTTAAAGTTGGAAGGAATCTTAGAGGTCACACGGTGTCTACTTCTCTACTGAGAATGATTCAAGGTCTTCCCACCAAAGTTTGCTATCCAAGCTAGATGTGAACATTTGCAACCAATTCTTCTGGAGGACAAGATAATTTCTCAAAAGTATCTAAAGATACATACATACCTATCTCCTTCCTTTTACAAAATAAACTTCTACAATCGCTTGCCTTCAATTTCCTCCTGACATCAGGTATTCACACTTCTACTATATGATGATTCACCTCTGACTCAGCTCTAGCTTTTCAATGCTAAATCAGATTGCAGTGTACTACTATGGAAGGAGAATGGCCAGTGTGGAGTAGAGTCTGATTTTTATGTCTTTCATACTTTTGACACAAGATTTCTATTTATATAGTCTAAAATTACATTTTAAAAATGACTTTTAAAACCTGGTTTGTTTACCAATGAACCATTAAGCAGGCAATAATTATATACTGGAAAATTATCATTACTATAACAACAATAAAAAATCTTCTTTAATTCACCGCCAAATACCAAGCCTACCCTCCACCTGGCAAACATGAAAAATAAAAATAAAAATAATTAAAAAAAATAATAATAAATAATTACCTGGATTGGTGTTCCAGAAAGAATAATCCTATAATTAGCAGTCAGTTGTTTTACTGCTTTTGACAACTTTGTTTTTCCATTTTTGATGACATGGCCTTCATCAAGAATGCAGTAGTTAAATTTAATATTTCTAAGGGAGAATAAATAGAAAATTTTACAACTTTTGCTGTATGTCAGGAACTATATGAAGAATCTTTAAAGTGGGAAAATATTAAGAGTCTTCAAATTTGATATTAATTTTTCTAAAAAAAAAATTAATTCTTACCTAAAGAAATCTATGTCATTCCTCACAACATCATATGAAGCCACTATTAGATTGTGCCTTTTTACTTGGTGCTGTAACCTTTATTTAGAAATGAATAAAATTAGAAAACAGAGACCCTGAAAAGTTCTTAATAGCTACCATTTGTATAAAGTGCTTTCAATCTGCCCACTAAGCCCAGCATTCCCTTCTGCTTACTCTACATACATGACCCTGAAGGGCTACTCTTCTGATGATCTGGCTGTGTTGCCCTACTCAGTCTGATTAGAAAAGAGATGAACATCAGACTGAAAATATGGTGGACATTTCAACTTTATTTGCCAACATCTCTTCCTTAGGGGCACTATTCCTTTCTCACTCCATGTTGTTCTAGGTGATGTGGGGGAACTACCAATCATGTGTCCCCATAATCACCAAGGAAATGAAGCATTTGAACCAGGTTAAGCTATTCACAATACTTAATCCCCTAACCACAAAGGTTGTTTTGGGAGCATGACCCAAACAAGGCCAGTCAGTCATCTCCAGTACTGATATATTCATGAGAGAGAGGGAAGATCTGTTTACTACAGTTGCCAAGCTAAGAGAATATGGGCCAGAGACTGCCCATTGTCATCTTATCTACCAACTGTAGACTGAAGCCCAATAGTAACAATAAGTTATGTAAGGGGAGGAAGAGTGAATGAGAGTAATCTAGATGGGCCTGAAGCAACAATCTGCCCCTGAAATTCTCAAGTTAGTGAATTAATGAATTTTCTGTTTGCTTAAGCTAACAGAATTGAATATTGAGAACTGAATATTGAAACTGAGAATTGAGTTGAATTTCTATCACTTACAAATGAATGAATTCTATCAAAGAGGCACTATAGTAAACTGCTCAAGAGTGCAAGTTTTTGAGCTGACTGTATTCAAAGCCTCACTCTGTCCACTTAATTAGCTGAGTGACCTTGGACCCAGACCCCATGCCTTAGACTCCTTATTTGCAAATTGGAACAACAGTATTCCTACCTCATAAAGTGACTGTGAGAATACATAATGCACAATTTTTTGTTTAGTTTTTTTTTCAGTCCTGCTCCTTCTATACATAATACACAATTTTACATAAAAGAAAAGCTGCTTAGAATAGTGCCTGGCCAGTAAGTGCTCAAGATAAAAACTAAAAATTTTAATAACAACATTATTTAATAATAATATTTGCTATTATTAACACAGGAGTACAGCAAATCTATGGACTAATCTGCAACTATGACTATCCAACCTTTAAAAAATCAATGAGCTGAAATCAATGAGCTTCCACTTGAAAAAATTTACAGTTAGGAACATAAGAGATGTACTAGTTAATAGGGAAGGGGTAAAGCTGAAACAATGCTAAAATTTAGTGCAGCCATGACTGCAGCGGCAGCTAAAGCAGCCATAGTGGAACAAAAGTACTTCTGTGGAGAGGGAAGGAAAGGGAACAAAGCAAAGGGGAACTCTTTTTTATTTAAGAGAGGGGAACTCACTATGTTGCCCAGGCTGGCCTTGAACTCCTGGGCTAAAGCAATCCTCCTGCCTCAGCCTCCTGAACAGTTAGGACTACAGGAATATTCCCCTGCACATGGCTCAAAGGAGAGCTCTCAGGAAAGTGGGTAGAAAATGAGAATAAAACAGAAGCACCAAAAAGATGCTATGGTCACAGACTCCCAAAAGGGGCATACAAAATGGCTTTGGTTCCTGATAGTTCTCCAGCTCTAGGAAAGCTCAACTTATTGTACAATGGTTAAAATTCCTCAATTTTGATGAGCCTCACTGATTATATCTTCCCAAAGTACATTCACTTTTCATAAGTGAAGTTTCTATGTCATACAACCAAAAGAGCTAATTAGAATTCACTTTAATAAATGTTACTGTTCCTTATCTTAATTATGACAACAGATGAAATATTTTGTTATTGTCATACAACTCTTACCTTATTCTTTCAGTGGGAGGTCCAGTGTAATGCAACGGGTTGAGATATTCTCTAGAGCAAAATTTACCTACTTCATCCACCCAATGGCCTGTTAATGTTGGCGGACAAACCACTAAGGAAGGAAGTGGCATACATTCTGCTAATTTTGATCTTGCATATTCCTGGGCCCTTTACAATAGCAAAACACAATAAATTAACCAGCTTGTTTACATTTCTCCAAATCCGGAAACCTTATTTTAAAATAACATCTTAAATTACCTATGACAATGATCTCCTGCTAGAATGCAGATGGACTGTAAAGTTTTTCCTAAACCCATGTCATCACACAGAATTCCATGAAGTTTATACTTATTAAGAAATGCTAACCAGTTCACACCATCCTGATAGAGAGAAAAATCATAAATGTGAATACATCATAAATTTATTTTTTCTTATAAAAACATTTTCTTATAAACAACGTTTGCACAAAACAAAAATATTTCTATATGCAAAAGAGAAATAAATGGGTATAAGACACTAAACACAAGATTTTACTAAATCGATTTTACAAAATGCTTTAAGGCCAGGTATGGTGGCTCACATCTCTAATCCCAGCACTTTGGGGGGCCAAGGTGGGAGGATCACTTGAAGCCAGGAGTTCAAGACCAGCATGGGCAACAAAATGAGAACGCTGCCTCTACCAAAAAAAAAAAAAAAAACTAGCTGGCCATAGTGGTGCACATGTATAGTCCCAGCTACTTGGGAGGCTGAGGTGGGAAGATGGCCTGAGTCCAGGAGTTTGAGGCTGCAGTGAACCATGATTCTGCCACTGCACCCCAGCCTGGGCAACAGAGCAAGACTCTGTCTCAAAAAAGAAACAAAAGCCCCCCCCAACAAACCCACAACGCTTCAAGGTTCATTTGAAAGGAAAACTCACTATTGTATAAAACTTACCTGCTGATATTTTCTGAGTTCAGCATTGATTGGTACTGGAATTTTATAATTTTCCAATTTTTTCCCATCTAACAATTGCTCCAAAAAGTGTCGCTCCTTGGCTTTCAATTGGATTAATTCTGCTGACATGTTTGGAGGGTCTGGAATGCCTGCCTAAAATGATTTTTTTAAAGTTATTAAAAACTACGTACTCACAGTTTTCATTCTTAGATCAAATAAACACAAAACAAACACACAGAAAAAAGAATTCTGAAAATTGTACAAAGACTTGAAGACAAATCAGGTTAAAGAAATTGACAAGCATTAAAGGTGCTACAATTAGTCTACTAGTAAATACATATGGAATATCTGAAAGACCATAATCTACAACTTCATTTTCCCACACTATGCATTATTTGATAAAGAGGCATATAAAGTTGCATAGTTTAATTTTGAATTAAATGCCATTACTGGCACTTCTCAATTTTAGTGTTCTGATACCCTAGGGTATTAGCTCTCAAAATGTGGTCTGCGCGACCCCTATGGATCTCTAAGACCTTTTCAACTATTTCATAATAAAAGAAAAACATTATTTGCTTTTAATCACCATGTTGATATCTGCGTAGATGTTACAAAAGTTACCATGGAGAAAACTGCGTGTACCTCTGAAAGAATCAAGGCAATGGCACCAAAATGTGCTAGTAGTCATATTTCTTAGAACTATACATTAGCATTTTTTCAAATAGCCAGTGTTACTTAAAAATGTCCTTGATAAGCGAGGCATGGTGGCTCGCACCAGTAATCCCAGCCCCAGGACTGCAGGAGGCTGAGGCAGGCGGCTCACTTGAGGTCAGGAGTTCAAGACCAGCCTGGCCAACATGGTGAAACCCTGTCTCTCTACTAAAAATACAAAAATTAGCTGGGCGTGGTGGTGTGCACCTGTAGTCCTAGCTACCCCACGCTGGCAGGAGAATCGCTTGAACCTGGGAGGTAGATGTTGCAGTGAGCTGAGATTGTGCCACGGCACTCCAGCCTGGGTGACACAGCGAGACTCCATCTCAAAAAAAAAAAAAAAAAAAAAAAAAAGACAAAAAATACCTTGATAGAGCAGTAAAAATGATCGATTTTAATAAATCTCAACCCTTTAATGCATGTCTTTTTTAACATTCTGTGAGGAAAAAAACTGTGAATTCTGCTGCTTATCAAAGTACAATCTGTTGAGGAGCTGAACTAGCCATTTTAAAAAAAAAAACCCAAATATGAAGTCTTTAATACTCCAAGAATTTCCTTGACAAACTCAGTAGTGTTTATATTATATATCCATCCTGGATGTACTAACTGTATGTTCTGTTTGTGGTTGATGTTTCATATTCTTAAAATAAAGATTTATGGGTATTAAACTTGGAAACACCAGAAAATAATTATTACTTTTCTTTAGACAAACTGTGCCCAGGAGAAAGAAAGTATATTAACATAGCCATTTTTTAATGGAACAACATTTTACTTGAAAGGACTGATAAACTGTGGGTATTCCGACTTTGGTATTTGGCTGACATTTTCTCAAAAATGAACTTGTCACTTAAAGGAAAACAACTCACATTAACTTGTTGTCACTGATAAAATTCATATTTTCAAGAGAAGCTGACAGTTTCCAATAAAAACAATTTTATGCTGTTGATAATAAACATGATTTTTAAAATATTATATAATGAATTGTGTCCACCTGTGGAAGATTTACGTAACTCAATGAACCAATATTTTCCAAATGACTGACGCATGATGTTACAAAACATGTATGGGTAATAAAAGATCCATTCAAAAGTATAAGACATACTTACCTGGCAGGGGAGATACCATGATCACAAAAGTGTAAGACAACCAATGAATTTCAATGTAAGAGAGTATGAAACATTCATTGATAGGATTTAGATTCTATATTGCACATAACACTTAACAAACTTTCTCTTTTTGAGTTCTGGTATGCTATCAGATAAAATAATATCCACAATTATTTGAGAAGGCTGTCAAAATATTGCTCCCTTTTCTAACTATCTCTGTGAGGCTGGACTTCCTTTATATATCCCTGAGCCAAAACAACATATTGCAACAGACTGAATGGCCAAGCAAACATGAGAATCCAGTTATCTACCATTAAACCAGAAATACTGGCCGGGTGTGGTGGAGGATTGAGCCCAGGAGTTTGAGACCAGCCTGGGTAACATAGCAAGACCCCATCTCTACAAAAAATTTTAAAAAATAGCCAGGTGTGGTGACATGGGACTGTAGTCCCAGCTTCTTGGGAGGTTAAGGCAGGAGGATCGCTTGAGTCCAGGAGAGGCTGAGGCTGCAGTGAGCTGTGATTGTGCTGCTGTCCTCCAGCCTGGGTGACAGAGTGAAACCCTGTTTCAAGGAAAAAAAAAAAACCCAAAAAACAAAAACATAAACCAGACATAAAAAAGATCTGCAATAGTATAATGCAATGTCACTCTTCTCACTAACACATTGTTTTAGAAAAGTTATTTTCATCAAAAAAGTTAATTATGTTAACATGTAGGTTTGTTATTTAAATGAATTATTTAAAAATTTCCCAGTTTTAGTATCTATTACAGAAAATATAATAAACAACAGCTCTTTGGTGTCTTCAATTTTTAAGAGTGTAACAAGGTCCTGACACAACAATCTATGTGAAAAAAGAAATCAAGAAAACAATCCCATTTACAATAGCAACAAAAAATAAAATAGGAATAAATGTAAGGAGGTGAAAGATCTATACACTGAAAGCTATAGAACATTAATGAAAGAAACTGCTGGGGACACAAATAAATGGACATAAATATGGAAAATAAATGTTCTTGGACTGGAAGAATTAATATTGTTAAAATGTCCATACTACCCAAAACTATCTATAGATGTGATGCAATCCCTAAATTGCAGAGGATCCCTAATCCCCAAAATTCCAGTGGCATTTTTTACAGAAATAGAAAAAGCAATCCTAAAACTCATATGGTTCTCTATTATCCCTCTGAATAAGCTTTCTATAAAAACAAACAAACAAAAAAACTCATGTGGAACCACAAAAACCCCAGATAGCCAAAGCAATCTTGAGCAAAAGGAACAAAGCTGGAGGGATCACGCTACCTGATTTCAAAATATACTACAAAGGTATAATAATCAAAACTGTATGATGTTGGCATAAAAACAGCAAAGACCAATGGAACAGACTAGAGAGCCTAGAAATAAATGCATGCATTTACAGTTAATCTTTGACAAAAGAACACACAAGGGGAAAGGACAGCCTCTTCAATAAATGGTGTTGGGAAAACTGGATATTCACATGCAGAAGAATGAAACTGGACCTTTGTATCTTACACCAAGTTCAAAACTCAGGTCACGATCAAAAAATTAAATGTAAGACTGGAAACTATAAAATTACTGGAAAAAAATAAGAAAAAAGCCTTTTTGACACTGGTCTGGACAAATTTTTTGGATATGACTCCAAAAGCACAGGAAACAAAATCAAAATACAGGCCAGTCATGGTGGTTCACCCCTGTAATCCCAGCACTTTGGGAGACTGAGGCAGGAGGACTGCTTGAGCCCAGGAGTTTAAGACCAGCCCGGGGTAAACAGAGGGAGATCCCATCTCCACACAAAATAAATAAAGTTAGCTGGGCATGGTGGCACACACCTGTAGTCCCATCTACTTGGGAGGCTGGGGTGGAAAGATCACTTGAGCCCAGGAGGTCGAAGCTGCAGTGAGCCATGATCATACAACTGCACTCCAGCCTGGGCAACAGAGTGAGACCTTTTCTCAAAAACAAAAACCCAAAACAATCAAAACATAGGTTGAGCATCCCAAATCCAAATATCTAAAACATTGTTATTTCCAGCATTACAAATGAAGGAAATGCTCAATGGTGCATTTCAGATTTCAGATTTTCAGATTAGGGATGCTCAACTGGTAAGTATAATGCAAACATTCAAAAATCTGAAATCTTAAATACTTCTAGTCACAAGCATTTCAGATAAAGGATACTCAACATATATAGACAAATAGGACTGCATCAAACTAAAAAGCTTTCTGTATAGCACAGGAGACAATCAACGGACTGAAGAGACAACCAACAGAATGGGAAAAATTATTTGCGAACCATAAATCTTGATAAGAGGTTAGTATCTAAAATATAAAAGGAACTCAACTCAACAGAAAGAAAATAAGATGTAAAAATGGGCAGAGGACCTGAATAGGTATTTCTTAAAAAAAAAATACAAATGGCCAGCAGATAAATGAAAAAATGCTCAACATAAATCATCAGGGAAACACAAATTAAAACTGGTATGAGATATTACCTCAGAACTGTTAGAATAGCTATTATTAAAAAGACAAAACGTGTGGAGGAAGATGTGGAGAAACAGGAACCCTTGCGTATTGTTGGTGGGAATGTAAATTAGTACAGCATTATGGAAAACAGTATGGATGTTACTCAAAAAATTAAAAATAAAACTACCATATAATCTAGCAATCCCACTTTTGGTTATATATCCAAAGGAAATGAAATCAGTACATTGAAGAGATATCTGTATTTCTGTGTTCATTGCAGCATTATTCACAATAGCTGAGATTTGGAATCAACCCAAGTGTTCGTCTATGTGATGAATGGATAAAGAAACTGTAGTGTATCTATATATAACTGGATACTATTCAGCCTCTAAGAAGGTAATTTTGTCATTTGTGACAACATGAATAAACCTGGATGACATTATGCTAAAGGAAACCAGCCAGGCACAGAAAGACAAATATGTGATCTCACTTATATGTGGAAATCTAAAATGTCAAACTCATGGAAGCAGAGTAGAATAGTGGTTACTAGGTGCTTAGTGCGTGGAAGGGAGAGGACTGAGGGGAAATGGATAGATGCTGGTTAAAGGGTACAAAGTTTACATAGAATGAATACATTCTGTAGATCTGTACAGCATGGTGACTACAGTTAATGATAAATACACTTGAAAGCTGCTAAAAGATTAAAACTTAATTAAATGGGTTTTCACCAAAAAAATGATGACTGTATGAACTAAGGTATATTAATTGGTCTGATACGTTTCAAAACATCATGTTGGACGCCGTAACTTTTTTTTTTTTTTTGAGACGGAGTCTCACTCTGTCGCCCAAGCTGGAGTGCAGTGGCCCCATCTCAACTCACTGCAACCTCCGCCTCCCAGGTTCAAGCGATTCTCCTGCCTAGCCTCCTGAGTAGCTGGGATTACAGGTGCGTGCCACCATGCCCAGCTAACTTTTGTATTTTCAGTAGAGATGGGGTTTCACCAGTTGGTCAGGCTGGTCTTGAACTCCTGACCTCGTGATCCACCCACCTCGGCCTCCCAAAGTGCTGGGATTACAGGCGTGAGCCACCATGCTCAGCCACATTTTTTTTATTAATAAAAAATGAAAGACTAAAAAAGTAATGAGACCAAAAAATTTGAGAACTACTGTCCTATGATGTCTCTCAACTTAAGAAATTTAAAATTCTGGAAACAGAATTTCAATTAAATCTAATTAAAATATATATTCCACACAACACTAAAAATAGCATTAGGGCAGTGAGGTATGTAGATTGAGTCTATTTTCAAAGGTATTGGAATTAACTTTATCTGCTAAGAGAAAAACTAACATTTCAGAACATCTAACAACATAATGATAATCATTAAAATAAAGTCTTTCTGCACAACGCTTTACAAATACCAAAATCTTCATATATTTATCCTCATGGAAATTTTAAGAAATGACAAGACACAGGGCCATATAACTAGGTCCATTCCCTAACAATGAAACCCTAAACCCAAGTGTTACGAATATTGTTTCAGTGCCAGCAACCCCTCGTGAGTGTCCTTCTCACTCCAATGTCCATAAAAATCAGCAAAAGTTACTAACAGTGCAGGGAATTAGAGCCTCTATAAAAATCACTGGTTGACATTCCAAGATTCTTTGACAACATGCATTTCAGAAAAGTAGATGATTTTTTCTATGAAGACTTAACAGAGAGAATCAAAATAAAGAGGAACAGGAATGAACTTAAACGACATCATTCTTGTTTCTATTGCTATGTATCTTCAAATTCACTAATATTTTCTTCCACAGTGTCTAACCTGCTATTAATGCAATCCAGTGTGTTTTTATTTATAACTGCATTTTTCATCTCTAGAAGTTCAATTTGGGTCATTCTTATATTTTTCATTGTGCTCGTCATCACACTCATGCTTTCCTCCTCTACCTTGAATATATGGAGTGTGTGTGTGTGTGTGTGTGTGTGTGTGTATATATATATATATATGGTTTTTTTTTTTTTTTTTTTTTGAGACAGGGTTTCACCATGTTGTCCAGGGTGGTTTCAAACTCCTAAGCTCAAGGAATCCGCCTGCCTTGGCCTCCCAAAGTGCTGGTGTTACAGAGGTGAACTACTGCACTCAGCCTTGGAGTATATTTTAATGTCCTTATCTATTATCTGGGTCTCTTCAGGGACTGTTTCTGTTGACTGTATTTTCCCCCAGTTACTGGACATATTTTTGGGCGTGGTAATTTTTTGGTGAATGTCAAACATCTGAAGTTTTATGTTGTTGGGTGCTGTATTTTTTTTAAATTATTCCTTTAAATATGTTGAGGCTTTTTTTTCTGGGAACTATTTAGTTTAGCTGAAATTAATTAGAACCCGTTAAGGCTTGCTTTTAAGCTTTATCAAGGAAGATCCAAATCAGCCTTTTGTCAAGGGCTAACTTGGCTCTATTACTGAGGCAATATGCTTCTAAGGACTTGATGCTCAGTATGGTAGAAGGTCTTGTTACTCTTACTCTGCTTAGTGGAAATACAAACTATTCCCAGCCCTGTGTGAGGTCTGGAAATTGCTCCACCTACTCCTTTCCACAGTGACTCTTTCCCCAGTCTCAAAGATGTCACAGTACATGCAGATGAATACTCAGCCAAAGGCTTGGGAGAACCCCCCTGTGGACCTCTGGAGCTTTCTCTCTGTGCAGCTACCTCCTGTCTGTGCAGTACCTACCTTCAGGTACTCTGTTTTGCTAATTCTGTCTTAACTCTTCAGCTCAGCAAGACTACTGGGCTCTCTTTGGGTTTCCCTTCTCTGTGCTATGCCTCCAGACAATAAGCTAGGGCACTTCATTTGTTTCGTTTCTCTCATGGTTCACTATCCAGTGCTGCCTGTTGTCCAATGCCTGAAAACCACTGTTTGGTACATTTTGTCTGGTTTTCTAGTTAAGGCAGGAGGATAAATCTGTTGCCTGTTTTTCCATCATGGCCAGAAGCAAAATCTGTATCATGTTCTAGTAATTTTCACAACTATCAAAGTGAGTCTTACTAATCTTTTCTCAATACCTAAAGTTCAAAATCTCTTTTGTCAATCTGTTATCAAGTACTGTTATTTTTCCTTAAGAACAAACAAACCGGGTGGCTCATGCCTGTAATCCCAGCACTTTGAGAGGCTGAGGTGGGCGGATCACCTAAGGCCAGCAGTTCGAGACCAGCCTGGCCAACATGGTGAAACCCCGTCTCTACTAAAAATACAAAAAATTAGCATGGTGGCCAGCACCTGTAATCTCAGCTACTAGGGAGGCTGAGGCAGGAGAATTGCTTGAACCCAGGAGGCAAAGGTTGCAGGAGCCAAGATCACACCATTGCACTCCAGCCTGGGTGACAAGAGCAAAACTCCAACTCAAACAAACAACCAAACAAAAAACAACCAAGAAAACCCCAAAAGACTACTGCTAAGCATTAGAGTTTAGACCCTTTATCACCTCACAGTGGATGTGAGCTCTATTTTGGCGCACTTTCAATTCTAATCCATATTCAAATGGCTATTAAACTGATTTTCCTAAAATACTACTTTCAGCTGTTAGACTAATTTTCCTTAAAAACAAACAAAAACTGCGGTCATCATCTCCTTTGTTTAAAGAACACATAATAGCTTCCCACTGCTCACTTATTCCAAAGCTAAGAAAGGGCCAAGGAGACTAAGTACAACCCATTTGGTTTAAAGGTGGGATGAAGATCTTGGAGTTGAAAGAATCTGAGTTAAAATCTAGGAAGCAGAGGATGAAAACAATTCTGGAAATGACACCTAGGTATTTTGATACTGTGGTCTAGTATCTTTGTTGTTGCAGTGGTAATTTTTTTTCACACTTTTTTTAGTGTGAGGTAAAATATACATATAGAGAAATAATCTAAGAAACAGTTTAGTAAATTATAAAACAAACATCTATACAACCAGATCAAGAAAAATACCCCTGCAGTCACCCTAGAAGATCCCATATGCTCCTTCCCAATCATAACCTTCTCTCTCCTTTCCTCAAGAGGTAATGATTTCACTGACTTTTATGGTAATTTCTTTATTTTTCTTTATACCTTTATCACCAAGTTTCTTTTGCCTGTTTTTGAATTTAATAAAAAAGGAATCCTATGTTAAAGATTTATGAATATTACTGTATGTGTCTGTGGTTTGTCTTCTTGCAGTATAACAGTACATGATTTACATATCTACTATCCATGATTATGTGGGTGATTTTCAGTTTCAGACTACTATAAATGATGTTATATTCTTCGCCAGGTGTGGTGGCTCACGTCTGTAATCCCAGCACTTTGGGAGGCCAAGGCGGGAGGATCACCTGAGGTTGGGAGTTTAGACCAGCCTGATCAAAAAGGAGAAATCCCGTCTCTACTAAAAATACAAAATTAGCAGGGCGCAGTGGCGCATGCCTGTAATCCCAGCTACTAAGGAGGCTGAGGCAGGAGAATCGCTTGAACCCGGGAGGCAGAGGTTGCAGTGAGCTGAGGTCGCGCCATTGCACTCCAGCCTGGTTGCAACAAGAGCAAAAGTCCGTCTCAAAAAAAAAAAGTCTTGAAAATGTGTTGAATTCTCTAGGTGTACATGTAGGATGAATTTTTCAGGTCATTAGGCTGGGTAGCTTCAATTTTACCAGATATAACCAAACTGTTTTTCAAAGAGGCTATCCTATTTATAACTCATTATTTTGCTGGTAGGAATGTCAAATGATACAGTTACTTTGGAAAACAATAAGGCAGTTTTATAAAAAAAATTAAACTTACCATATGATCCAGCATTTCATTCTTAAGTATTTACTCAAAAGAAATAAAAACACACATCCACGCAAAGACTTATAAATGCAGAGCAGCATTATTCATAATAACTTAATTTTTTTTTTTTTTTTTTGAAAGGAAGTCTCACTTTGTCATCCAGGCTGGAGTGCAGTGGCACCATCTTGGTTCACTGCAACCTCTGTCTCCCAGGTTCAAGCGATTCTCCTGCATCAGCCTCCTGAGTAGCTGGGATTACAGGTGTGTGCCACCACGCCCCACAAATTTTTGTATTTTTAGTAGAGACGAGGTTTCACCATTTTGTATTTTCAGTTGGTCAGGCTAATTTCGAACTCCTGACCTCAAGTGATCCACCCACTGTGGCCTCCCAAAGTGCTGGGATTACAGGCATGAGCCACCTCACCCAGCCCATAATAACTATTAATAAAAGCTGGTAACAATCCAAATATCCATCAACTGGTGACAGGATAAACAAAATGCAGTATGTCCATACAATGGAATACAATTCAGCAATAAAAAGGAAGTACTTATACATGTTAACAACATGGATGACATGCCATACCTACTATTTCCTGAATTATTCCTGGCTCTTTCTGTGTTTCAAGCCACTTCAGTTTCCTGCATTGGCCACACATTATTTGTGCCCCCATGAATGTACTCCGAAATACTCCAACATGATCCTTCTAGTCTTCTTTTTCATACTCCCACAGAGACCTCATTTGCTTTTTACAGTCTTAATTACCATCTCTCAAATTTATCTTTTGCCTAAACTTTAGCCCACAGTCTACACCTAGATGTTACCAGAAAAACTTAGGAACAATTCTATTTCTAGAAAAGCATTAGTAAATTTTTTTTAGGAATCATAGTGTCTGATTTCTTGTTTTACTTAAATTAAAACTCTGTGTGTTAAAGGAAAAAAGTACCAATTAAAAGCCTAAAAATCTTAATTATTGTAATATAAACATTTTTGAAATAATGCCTTCTTTTTTTAGCCTGACATGTTCTTTAACAAGTGTTACTTTTCTTTTCTTTTCTTTTTTTTTTTTTTTTGAGATGGAGTCTCGCTGTCGCCCAGGATACATACAGTGCAGTGGCACGATCTCAGCTCACTGCAACTTCTGCCTCCAGGTTCCAACAATTCTTGTGTCTCAGCATCCCGAGTAGCTGAGACTACAGGCACACACCACCATGCCCAGCTAACTGTTTTTGTCTTTTTTTTGTATTTTTTTTAGTAGAGACAGGGTTTCACCCATGTTGGCCAGGCTGGACTCAAACTCCTGACCTCAGATGATCCACCCACCTCAGCCTCAGAAAGTGCTGGGATTACAGGCATGAGCCTTTGTACCTGGCCCTAAAAAGGGTTACAATTATTATGGATCAAGTTATAGAAAACATTATGTCTTTAAAGCAAGTATCTTTGACTTACCTCAAGTGGCATGAGTCTAATTAGCGTTGCAAAGCACTGCGTGGCCATGAATCTCACACTGTCTGTCTGATCACTCATTCTTCCTAATACAGGAACAACTAAAAGGACAATATATGGAACAATACCAACATCTAGTTGTTCCATTACACCTGAGTAAGTGATTAAGGAAATTTTGAAATGGTTCCAAGACAGATGTTTTCACAAACAAACTGATACCAAGATTTTAACTTTTTAAAAGGCTCACCATTTTCTCATCTGTATTATGAGGGAAAAGACTGACCCTCCAGGCCTATGATTCAATTATAAAAGTATCTGCCCATTTTGTTGCTCCTTGGAAAATATTATGTAACTTTCTCATGATTAGGAATATAAAATTATGTTTTTCTTCTGAGGAAGGCTGGAGAAAGCTTTACCAATAAGATTTTTTTCATAGAGAAATTGCTACAAGCGTCTGGAATTCCAATGTCAAAATAAAATAAGTCACATTGTAAGTAAAGGAATATAACTGAGTGTCACTCAAAGATTAATTCCAAATTTCCCACCAGGATCTTGACAATCACCAGCAGGATATAGTGAGCCTAGTAAGCGCAGTTCTCCTGTAATCTTCAGTATTTTTGAACCAGAGTTTCTACTGATTTGATCTTCATCCATCTTTTGAGCTCTGTGAAATATCTTTCAGATACTTTGAGTTAAAGAATGTTAGCTGCTGCCATACCCTTAGCAAAGGGCTTGCCTGTATATTTCTAATTATCTAGTATAATATGGTCATTTGTAAACCCAAGTAATGAACAAACTTTAAAAACATAAAATGTTTATAACATAGGGACTACCTATAGAATACCTGATTAATAAGACACTGATTATAAACAAATAAATCACTTACTAGACATATAGTTCATAAAGTACATAAAACTATTTTGCCTATTAAAAAGATGTTTTAAAATCAATAGCAATTTTCCAAACTTTCCACATGAAAATTTTTATCATAAAATGCAAATCAGTTTGTAACACATTTGTAATAAAATACAAAAATATTTCAAAATAAGATGTAAAAAGAATAGGTATTTTTTGGAACAAGGCAGGTTATTTATGTGCATATTAGAACACATCAATTTCATTTTAATTATCCTTAAGTGAAATGAATATAATTCCTGAACAGTTTGTCAAATGAAAAAGGATACAGGCAAGTGCTTCAATTGCACCCTCTTGTTTGACACTGTCATCAATTGCTCCCAGCCACGGAAGAACCTTCTCCAAAAAAATATTCATTGTTTCCATGGTAGCTATTTTGCTCATGACACCTACACAACGAGCAGCCATGTGCCTCACTGCAGTACTGGGGTATTGAAGGCACATATAAAGATGTGGCAAATGCTGGACCAACTAAAAACAAAAAGTTAATGGCAATTAGAATTATTAGGAAATACTGTTTAATATGTAACTATAATAGCCCATACTCAGGAAAGTTTTCAATATTCTAAGTGACTCTAAAAATATCTCCAAATACTTCAAAACATTACTGCCAAAACATTCTCAATAGAAAACTAATCCAAATACAAATTAATGTATTACAACTCTTTCAAAAAGAAGGGAAAAAAAGGTATAGAACCTCTGCTCTGCTCATATCATCTCTTAGGCATATAGGAACACTCAATTCTTTCCAAAATTAACAGGAAACAAACCAAAAAGTACTTGGCAAGATTCTCCTACTGAAGCTGGAAAACAGCACCACACATCACCAGCTCCCTCCAAATTTGGTAGCACTAATTTAGATTTAGGTACATAATTTTTATTCAGTGGCTTGAGTGTTCCTGATTTTATTCTAGCACCATACTTTGGTAGGTATCGTCCACTGTAGCTTCCTGGCTTACCATAGGTGTTATAATCACAACAGCATCACAACAGCACCTTACTAAATGTCTGCTACAAGGAACACCAGAATTAATGCTGATGAGAGCCAGGTATCTGTTCAACAGTTTGATGTGCCTTACAGTTCAGCTGAATGCATGTTGCTAATTATGAAGATTAAGAGCGTACAGATGGACTCTACTTTTTTTTTTCCTTCTTTTTTTTTTTGAGACTGAGTCTCGCTCTGTCGCCTAGGCTAGAGTGCAGTGGCGCGATCTTGGCTCACTGCAACCTCTGCCTCCCGGGTTCCAGTGATTCTCCTGCCTCAGCCTCCCAAGTACCTGGGACTACAGGCATGTCCCATCACGCCCGGCTAATTTTTGTATTTTTAGTAGAGATGGGGGTTTCACCATATTGGCCAGGCTGGTCTTGAACTCCTGACCTCGTGATTCACCCACCTCGGCCTCCCAAAGTGCTGGGATTACAGGTGTAAGCCACCACGCCCGGCCTACTTTTCTTTACTAACAGTAAATCAGCAAAACTTTTAACAAGTAAAAGGACATACTTTATTACTATGTACAAAAAAAAAAATCCATTCTTCTCCACCCTCTCATAGATTCTCCCTTTTGTGTTAAATAACAATAGAGAACTGGGCTAATACCCTTCAAAATGGGGTAAATTGCAGACAGCTTCCTATTGCAGAGATATGAAAAGAATAATATTCTTCTATGAAAAAAACCAGATAATTCTCTATTTTCCTCCTCCCTCTGTCCTAATTCTTTTGTAAGAAACATTTTAATAGTTTTTTAAAAAAATCCCAAACCAGTGTTCTATCTTTGCCACTGACCAGCTTCACCTTAGGCAGGTGACTCCTTTCACCTTTGTACTTATCTAGGAAACAGATTTCATTATATATGCTTTTCCTTTCTTGGAGCTGTATTATTAGGATCATCTGGATGAACAGGGCTGCAGTTTTCTTTCCTATTTACATCTGGCTCCTGTGTCATCAGAGTCCTTTCCTCAATGCCCCCACATTCTAAGCTTCCAGGTTGGGTTTTCTATTAAATTCAAGCAGCCTGGTCTACATCAAAGCCCACAGGAGTTGCACTGTTAGTAAAGGAGGAATCTAGTTATACCACAGCAAAGAAAAATGCAATTAATAAGGATGACATCAAAGCTGTACCTTTCAAACCTTAAGACTTTTTAATAAGACCACTTGTTTTATTTGAAGAAATATTACACTTGCATTAGTTAGTTACCAAGGGATGAAGCTCAGAATCCATTGAAGCTGCTGCTGTTTCAAAAACCTGCAGAGAATTCACCAATTCTTGAGCAGGGCTATCTCCCTTATCCAGGAGGGATTTTCCATCTGTTAAAATATATTGTCTGTATTATCTGGCAAATAATTTTTCAAAATCTAGAGCACACAAAAACTTTTAGCACTTTTTCAGCTAGCATAGGAGAGTCAATTTTGCTTCTTAGTGTTAAAATTAAATGCCATGACCTTAATTTAAGTGCTGGGGTACTACATGTAGAGCAACCAAAGAACTTAAACATAGTGATCCATTTCAAGTATCTCTTTAAAAACAATTTTTTTTTTTTTTGAGACAGAGTCTCGCTCTGTCATCCAGGCTGCAGTGCAGTGGCATAATCTCGGCTCACTGCAACCTCCACCCCCAGGGTTCAAGCAATCCTCCTGCCTCAGCCTCCAGAGTAGCTGGGACTACACGCCCAGCTAATTTTTGTATTTTTGCTAGAGATGGGGTTTTGCCATGTTGGCCAGGTTGGTCTCAAACTCCTGACCTCAAGTGATCTGCCCACCTGGGCCTCCCAAAGTGCTGGGATTACAGGCATGAGCCACCATGCCCAACCCAAATATCTCTTTTATAAAATAAAGGTGTGTGTTTTTTTTAAACCAAGTTTCCATTTTAAAACTTACCAGCTGGTCTGGAATAAACAGGTAGAGGCATAGAGGCATTTTTATTTTATAAGGATATATTCAATTAATAGACATTAAAATTTGTTAAAAACTGGACTCATAAAAATATGTGTATACCAAAATTATTTATGTCGATTGTATTCCTCAATGGGCCAACCATAGCATCCCAGAGATGTGGCAACTTCACTGCCATTTCACCACCAAAATGCTTTACTATAGTTGTCAAAGCAAATTCAGCTCCTCTCCGTTGTACCAGGTAAGGCTTCTGGGCCTTAAAATTAAATGTTAGATAAAAACAGAATTTCAGAAAAAATCATAATACATTTAAAATTTTAACAAAAGAATTTAAAAGTCACCATCTAAGAATTCATAATGTTATCATTAACCAAGTAAGCAATTATTAGACATGTTTGTCTCAATTATAAACATTTCCCAATAATTAAATTTACAGGGGCCTACAACACCTAACTAGATTTTTGTGACCAAAGTAAAACACTTTTTTGGGGTTGAGGATAAGGAACAGACGGATATGTGCTGTTTCTAGAGATAGTCCTAAGTGACATTTTTTTTCCTCCTTCTCTCTACCTCAAAGAAACTTGTCAGCTAGAGAGAAGATAGATGAAGTGATGTGTCCTTATTTACATTCACTTAAGGGATAGTACAAGATCATCTGTTTAAGCTAACCCCAAGATTAATAATTCTTATTCAGCAGTAATTACGGTCCATAAATCTGTCCCCCCAAAAAGATATTTATATTTTTAAAATTATGTTTAATTGGAGGAATAACTATGCAAACTAGAGATATAAATATCAAAATCACAGTAAAATTTTTATTACAATTATTATAGGGAAATATTGTCAATGAAAAAGACTTTACAGAATGTTTTAAGGGAAATATAGATAAGCTGTTGATTTTAAAAAGAAACTTAAAAGGGGTTTATATTTTACAGAAACATGTCTTTTAGTATTGATGGTTTACTGCTGAACTGAGGTACATTCCTATGCCTTGCATTCCAAAGAACTAACTAGAGCATTCATTCTATTGCTAATAATGTGACTGTCAGATTTTCAAAACAAAACACTTTTTAAAAACCACTGCTTGTTAAGACTGTACGGTGTAACAGGTGGACCAATGGGAGATAATGGAAAGCCTGAATAGACCCTCACACATATGAAGCCATTAACAGAGGTGCCATTATAAATCAGAGAGGAAAGGATTCAATAGTGGGATAACTGGCTGTTCATATGAAAAATAAATTTAGAACCCTACCTCACACTAAGCATTTAATAAATATCAAATTGACTAAAAAAGTCAGGTGGGTTGCAATTATATGACATTTGTGCATTGAAAGGACAGAGAAAAGTTAGCTTTCACTATTATTGAGCACCTTCTCTACAGTCACTGCTATAGGACTGAATTAGTTTACAAGGCTGTCTTGCCTAGGAAGATAAAGTTAAGCTGGTAAAAATTACAAGAGACATGAGATATTTGAAGTTTGCCGTTTTTCTGGATCATATTGTTGGAGTACTCCAAAAATTAATCCCATTTCTTTACTTAAAAACAACTCTGGAAGCTAATACAACTTAGTTCTCAATTTGTAAGTCAGATATTTGTTTAAAAATCAAAGCATTAAAAAAAAAAAAAAACTACTTACCTCATCAAGTTCAACAAGAATATTTCCACTACTTCCTGCAGGAAGATCTGCTATTTGAGCTTTTACTGCTTTGGGGGTAGGACCTCGCCTACTTGTGATAGCAAAGGCAGCTTTCTGGTGCCTGTAGAGTGTAATTATACCTCTGTGCTTGGTGACAGTATGGTGCATTCCATCTTTTTCTGAGGTGGATCCTAATAAGAAAAAAGTTAAACAACCTTTTAATCATAATATTGGTGATACCAAATGTTTTCAGCTCCATAAGAGATAAAACATTTTTAAACTATGTCTTTTAGGCCTCAACTTTTATAGGCCAATGACATTTTCCTTAGACAATGAAATGGCAATAAAATAGTCTATTTGCATAGGATTTATACCTAATACAATCCAGGTTGCAGAGCCATCTGAACAATGAGAAACAGCACATGAAAAAATTATTGTGACTTCAGTTAATGTGTTTGTGTGTGTATATATGTGTGTATATATATATATATATATATATATATATATATATACACACACACACACACACACACATATATATAATTTTTTTTTTCTGAGACAGGGTCTTTCTCTGTTGCCCAGGCTGGAGTGCAGTACCACCGTCTCAGCTCACTGCAACCTCCACCTCCTGGGCTCAAGAGATCCAATCCTCCCACCTCAGCCTCCTGAGGAGTTAGGACTACAGGCACACACCACCACACCCAGCTAATTTTATATTTTTTGAAGAGATAGGGTTTCACCATGTTGCCCAGGCTGGTCTCAAACTCCTGAGCTCATTCCATCTGCCCGCCTCGGCCTCCCAAAATGCTGGGATTATAGGCATGAGCCACCATGCCCAGCCTATTAATTTTTTGTTGTTATTTTTGAGATGGAGTCTCACTCTGCCACCTAGGCTGGGGTGCAGTGGTGCAATCTTGGCTTACTGCAACCTCCACTTCCCAGGTTCAAGGGGACTCTCATGCCTCAGCCTCCTGAGTAGCTAGGATTACAGACGCACGCCACCACGTCCGGATAATTTATATATATATATATATATATTTATATTTATATTTATATATTTTTTTGAGACGGAGTCTCGCCCTGTCGCCCAGGCTGGAGTGCAGCAGTGCGATCTCGGCTCACTGCAAGCTCAGCCTCCCAGGTTCACGCCAGTCTCCTGCCTCAGCCTCCTGAGTAGCTGGGACTACAGGTGCCTGCCACCATGCCCGGCTGATTTTTTGTATTTTTAGTACAGACGGGGTTTCACCATGCTAGTCAGGATGGTCTCGAACTTCTGACCTCGTGATCCACCCGCCTCGGCCTCCCAAAGTGCTGGGATTACAGGCGTGAGCCACTGCACCCAGCCTAATTTTTATATATTTTTTTAGTAGAGATGGGGTTTCACCATGTTGACCAGCCTGGTCTTGAACTCCTGGCCTCAAGTTATCTGCTCACCTCGACCTCCTAAAGTGCTGGGATTACAGGCATGAGCCACTGCCTGGTCCCTGGCCTATTAATTAATTAATTATTATTTTTTGAGACGGAGTTTCACTCTTGTTGCCCAGGCTGGAATACAATGGCGCGATCTCAGCTCACCGCAACCTCCGCCTCCCAGGTTGAGGCCATTCTCTTGCCTCAGCCTCCCGAGTAGCTGGGATACAGGCATGCACCACCATGCCCAGCTAATTATATATTTTTAGTTGAGATGGGATTTCTCCATTTTGGTCAGGCTGGTCTTGAACTCCCGACCTCAGGTGATCCGCCTGCCTCGGCCTCCCAAAGTGCTGGGATTACAGGCGTGAGCCGCCGTGCCTGGCCTGGCCTATTACTTTTTAAAAAATTATTGTGCCTAAGCATAACGAGAAATATTAAAAAATATCTCAAGCAAGTTCTCTTTAAAAGCAGAGTCACCATGAATTAAAAAAAAAAAATTGGTCACTGCAAAATGATGCTGCCTTATATAGCAATGGACCAGGGGGGTAAGAGGGGGGAGAATGACCCCAATGTATTTTTAAGATGTTAATATTCAAAATGTCCACCTTTCTTCTTCTAGTTCATAAACATATTTTTCAAGATCTATGCTGCACCAAAGCTGTAAGTCTACTACATTTCAAATAATTTGTTTTCCCAAAATCTTGTTAACAATCACACATACAAAAAGCACATAGGACTGAGTCATATGAATAAAACACTGGTCTTTAAGACCTGCCTACAGAGGGCAGTTCTCATTTTCCATACAAATTCTCCAAGTGAAAACAAAAAAGTTGGTTAAGTATTATTTACTAAAAGTACTAAAAGTTCACTAATCTCATAAAACATGCACTAAATTAGGGAAACGAGAGATTTTATAATGACTTTTTCAGTCAATAGGGTTGCTCCTTTGGTTAAGGAAAAAAAATTCATTAAATAACATTTGATACAATTACCTTTTCTAGCTTGATACAGTAAACCATATAATGATGGTTTTGAAGGCAAAGGTAAGGGTGAACACCTGTCTTACAGATTTCAGTCACCTTATATCAGCTATCAGATCTTCCATGAATGGCTTTTTTGAACTTACAGGGTTGTGACTGGTAAGTATTATGTGCAAATTCATGTAACAAAGAGTTTTGTTATAATCAAGCCTTTTCTCTCAGAATGGGAAAAAACACTAACATGAACTGGATTTGTGCTTAAATTATACCCATAAGTAAACAAAAACAAATTTAAAAGGTTATTTCTCTACCCCAAATAAAAGTTTAGGTATATACCTTTAGAATTTTCCTGGCCACTTTGTGTTGGTACTGGACATGTGACACAAGGAGTTAGATATGGGTCCACACAAAGTGAGCTACAGAGGTTTTTAATAATTTTTGAATTGGGACAGGGCGTCCTTGTTGTGCACTGCTGAAGGAGTTTAGCTATGCACTGAGCTGCATAGTTTTGCACTAGTGTATTCTCTTCTTTTTTAATTGTCTCCATTAATGGTTTTATGATAGGATTTAATTTCTCCGGAAGCTGCTGCAAGCTCACAACTGCACAGGCAGCAAAAGTATGCACTCTCAACTGCAACACTTGCCACTCCTGGTTGGTCTCTGTAACTGTCATTTGGACCTGCTGTCGTTTACTATCTAACTGTTGTAACACTTGAGGATTTAAATCGAAAGATGATGTGGCTTCATTAAAAACAGTAGTGACCTATTAAAAAAAAAAGAAATTAAAAATCATTAATCATATCAACCCCAAATAGACTGTAAGCTCCTAAAGGGTAGACAGCAAGCTTTCTGTTTCAATTTTGGTTTCCACAATATGTAATATTGTTTTAGTACTCAGTAAACTAATGTCTAAAACTTCCCAACTAAATTTTATTTTAATCTGACTAAAATTTAACATTAGCATTATATTCTTTAAGAAAGACATTCTCTTGAGAAGAATAAAATTATCTAACCTTTAAATATGTCTAAATGACTTTGAGGAAAATCACATTTAACACCCGCAGAATACTCTGGTGAAACAAGAAAGCTACAGGCAAATATAAACTAACTGTTCATGAAGGAATTCCAAAACTCACAAACTTCTTTTTGGGAAAAATATTCTTTTCAACTCTAAAACTCGTGAAAACTTAAGAGTGGCTGTTTACTAAGTGGCTAAGTGTTGCTAACTGAATCATTCTCTTTCTTTCTTTAACCTCCCTTCTGGTGGAAATGCCCAGGCAATGGAAGAAGGAAAAGAAACAAAACAAAACAAAACAGAACAGAACAAAATGGTGCAGTTATCATTCACTTAATTACCAAGAGCTATCTAAGGCTACAGGACTGTTGTACCAGACTACTTTGCAAGCCCCATTGAAAGACTGTTCAGTCAGTCTTTTTTTTAACAACTTTATTCAGATATAATTTGCATACCATAAAAACTACCCATTTGAAATGTACAATGTATAAGATTTATTTGAAACAGGGTTACAATGCTAAAAGTTTAAAAACATTGTCCTAAATCCACTATGCTCATGTCACTTTTCAATGACTGTAGACAACTGAGGAAAAGCCTCAGTTACCCCCAAATTAATTCAATCATTCAACCAATATTTATTAAAAGATAAATAAGATATAATGTCTTAATATGCTCAAAAAATGCAGAGACTAATGTGGGAGAGATATAAATAATTAAGAAAATGTAACATATAACTGAGGTAAGTGCAAGTTGCTGTGGGAATACAGAGCACTCCTTATTCCTTCTTAGAAGAAGAGATTAGTGGGAGACTTGTCAGAGGAGGATAACACTTATGCTTGGTTTTTAAAGAACAGGCCAATCAGGGATTATAGGGACATCTTGGCAAACAAAGTGAGGTAGGGAGTGGAAAACAGGACACTGTCTGTGGAATTGAAGTTTATCATAGCTTGAGCACAACACACAGAAAAAGAGATGAACTCTGGATAAGCACAGAGGGTTAGGGATGGGGAATTCCTGGCAAAGGAAATAGAAGCTCGGGCCCAGAAGTGAGAATGAGCAGAAGTGAATAAGTGTAGCGTACTTGCGCAAGAAGAAAGCTAACTGGGCGTGAGTGGAGAAAGTTTGAGAAATAATGAGGAGATAAGAGATAGAGCATTTAGAAGAAAGTGATGAAAAGAAGAAAGATAAAAATGAAAAAGCAAGGAAAAGGAAAATAATGTTTTTAAGCAGGAGAGGGATGTTCAGGGTGGCACAAAAAGAGCATTGCTAGTCTAGCACAACATGCAGAATGAAATGGACCAGAGGCTGCCTGGAGCCCTAGAGATGAGTCAGGACCTAGATATAAAGTACTAAGATCTGACTGGGCTCTGATAATGGAAATAGAGAAGAGATTAAACATGAGACTTTCTTTTTTTTTTTGAGACCAAGTCTCACTCTGTCACCCAGGCTGGAGCGCAGTGGCGTGATCTTGGTTCACTGCAAGCTCCGCCTCCTGGGTTCACGCCATTCTCCTGCTTCAGCCTCCCGAGTAGCTGGGACTACAGGCACCCACCACCACGCCCGGCTAATTTTTTGTATTTTTAACAGAGATGGGGTTTCACCATGTTAGCCAGGATGGTCTTGATCTCCTGACCTCATGATCCACCCACCTCGGCCTCCCAAAGTGCTGGGATTACAGGCGTGAGCCACTGCGCCCGGCCTAAACACATGAGACTTTCTGAAAGAAAATGCTGACAAGATTTGTGACTGGAATAAAAAGAGTATCTTTGTCAAAAAAAAAAAAAAAAAAGCCAGTTTTTGTTGTGTTCAGTGTGAAGTGACAGTGAGATATTTAAGTAAAAATGCCTAAAAGAAGAACGTAAGAAAGACTGAGAGTAGACAGCACACAGTACCTGGGTAGGAACTAAATCATGAGAATGGTGCAAGAGACAAAGATCGCAGGGAAATGTCTATATTTGGCAGGTAACAGGAAAACAGGGATTCAATGAAGATACAAAAGGCAGTGGCTCCTTTGAAAACTGCCCTTCCCTCAAAAGTCCCTTACAGAAAAAAAAAAGAAAAAAAGTCTCTCCCAGAGATTCTGATATTTATGCTTATCTTCTAGCCCAAGTCAAAACAACTGAAGAGTAAAAGATCTGAATAAGCAAATCTTAAAGAAGGGGCCATTTGATGAGCTTAAAAAAGGAAAGTTCCCAGAAATAGTAGGCAGGGAACCTAGACTATAAAGAAAATTTGAGATTTAATTCCAGACAGGCAAAAAAGTAGGGAGAGGAGGCAAAAAGGAAAACTTACAGAATAACAACACTCGGGAAAATAACTTTATAAAAGAAGAGAACCCAGGGGGAAAAAAAACAGCAATTTTAGCTTTCTCTCCACAGGTGAGAACAAAAAAATTCAACTATATTATTTTTCAACTAGAAATGGGGATAAGAAATGAAGATTACTATTTTCATGGGGACCAACACAAATGAAGTGACTCAATTTCTGATCCTATAACTCAAAAAAGGAAGAACTCATATATACTACACCTAATCTCATGCACTTACTAAGTACAAAGCTGCTGTAATGAAGCATGGATGCTGGCATAAGGAAAGACAAATACATTGAACAAATGGCCCAGATACACAGCATACTTATATAACTTCAGTTGGTTTTTGACAAAGGTGCCAGAACAATCCAATAGGGAAATGAAAGTATTTTCAATAAATAATGCTGGAAAAATTAGATATCTGTAAGAAAAACAAACCTCAACCTCTACTTCATACTATACACAAACATTAATTCCAAATGAATGATAAATCATAAAAACTAAATGACAAAACTTCAAAAGAAAACATATGTGAATACCTTTGCCACTTGGAAAGTTAAAAAAAAAAAAATTACTGAAGTCACACAACATAATAGCCATGAAAGAAAACAACTGATAAATTAGAATTCACCAAAATTTAAAATATCTGCTCATCCAAAGACAGCATTAAGAGAATCAAAAGGCAAACCACTCACTGCCAGAAAATATTCAGAAAGCATCTACTTGACAAAGGATTGGAATCCAGGATACATAAAGAACTCCCACAACTCAATAACAAACAAACAACCTAATTCAAAGTAGACAAGATTTTGAAAAGATATTTCAGAAAGGAAAATATACAAATGATCAATAAAAAATTAGAAAGTATTCAACATATTAGTCATCAAGGAAATGGAAATTAAAACCACAATAACACTATCAGACAATCACTAAAAGAACTGACCACATCAAATATTGATGATGTGGAGTAACCAGAACTCTCACATACTGATGGTCAGAGGGTAAAATGATACAATCTCTTTGGGGAAAAGTCTGTAGTTTTTTCTAAAACTAAACCTACACCTATCTTATGATTTAGCAATTCCACTCCTACATATTTACCCAAGAAAAATGAAAGCAGATGTCCACAAAGACTTGCAGAAGAACGTTTATAGTGACTTTTTTCACAACAGACAAAAAGTGGTAACAGCCAAAGTGTCCATAAACGGGAGAATGGCTTAAACTAGTTGTGGTATAATAATACAATGAAATAAAACTCAAGCAATAAAAAAAATAAGTTATTGATATATATATATATAACACAGATTAGTTTCAAAAATACCATTCTAAGAAAAATCCTTACACCAAAGAGCACAGTGTATGATTTCATTTACATGAAATTCTAGAACAGGCAAAAGTAATGTATCTTCGGGGGGGAATTAGAATAATGGTTACTCGGTGGCAGGGAGAGGCAGAGATTACTGGGAAGTGGTGATGATAATGTTCTGTATCTTGACAGTGGTTCAGGTTTCATAGGCATATGCATCTGTCAAAATTCACCAAATGGTCCACCTAAGATTTGTGTGCTTTAGCACATAAATTTTTCCTCAGAACAGCAAAAAAAAATAAACAAATACTGAATTTTAGTTAATTATATAAAATCCTGAAGTATACTGATATCTGAAACTTACTTAGAAACGCATTTAAAAAAACTGCCCTGGATGGATTCATGGTTGGATAGAGAGGTAGGCAGGTGAATACGTATGTGATAAAGTAAATTAGGTAAAATGTTAACTATAAAATCTAGCTGTTAAGTATGAGTGTTATGTAATTTCATCACTTTTTCTATATGTTTGAATATTTTCATTATAGGCTGAGAGCAGGAAGAAGTACTCAGGAACTTGTAGAAGCAGTTTTTTCTATACTCTGCAGTGTTAAGCAAAACTGAAATGACAAAATATAATAGCTTTTTCTAATAAAGGTGCATTGATTTATCAGAATTTTGGTTTAAAAAAAATTCTTTGTTATTCTCTTATTTCAAGAAAAGCCTATACAATGAAATAACCTTTCTCAAGGGTAGAGATGACAGGCTACCAAGCCACATACAGACTCAACAAACTAATGTGTTTTTGTGATAAACATGTCATGACAAATTTCTAACCTATATTTCATGTTCTATCTCTAATTAAGAAAGTTATTTCTTTACTCACCAAGTCACTAGCTTGATCTATTGTTAAAACATTGTTGTTTACTCGATTACCAACTTCAATATGTACATCAGCTAATGATGATATAAGTTGTTTACATTCATTCTGCATTCGTGTGAATGGAACGGCAATTTCGTCATAATATAAATGTTCTGAAAGGATATCAAGTAAACGCGGCTGCACAGCTAAGGTAACAGCTTTACACTCCTAAAATACAACAGAAAACAAATAGGGTAACTGTATGAACATTAACTTTATAGATACAGAAATCGTCATTTGTAGACTACCAAGTTCTAAATTCTTACTTGTACTGAATCTATATTCTGTTACTTCTCCAAACAACAGTTAATTGCACAGAAAAAAAGGTATTACATCCAAATTATTGTAAAATTTTAACATGAATGACTACAGAACATGCACACAGAACTATTACAACTTCATTTTCTACCTATCCAAAGTTTACACGTGTATATATATCACAGATTTTAAAGTGTATTATGGTAAAAAAAAAAAAAATCAGAAAAGAAATCTATCAAGCACTAATTAAAAATGTTATTTAAAAACTCATTATTAGATAACAGTTGAACCCTAAGCTTCACATGCCATACTGTAAAAGTGGATATAAATTTTAAAAGCTACTTATCTATCCCCAAATTTAACTAACCCTTCCCACTCTCTCTGGTTGTTGCCTGCCCCAAACCAACAGGAAATGGCCTCAGTGGTGAGCCATGAGGGGTTCTGTGGCATCTCAGTTATCAGCCTGGGCTTCACAGAGTAAGTCCATGAAGCTCTGTGAGTGTCCAGAAACCTAACTGTCAACACTTGCTGCTAAGTCTGAGAGGCACAAAAACATAGCATCACTGCCTCTCCAGCACACCAACTCCTGCCTAAAAACAGATGAGCTTTGCTTCTTTCCAGAGGCCAAGCAGGGGTGTCAGCTGCAATGGAGCATGGCTCAATTACTTTTAGATACAGCTTTGACAAACTGCTAACAGGCAGTAACAAGTAACTCTCACAGCAAGTGCAGACAGTTAAATTTCCAGAATTCCAGTCAATGGAATAAACAAAGCCAGTAGAAAGTTTCTTTGATTTACAGAAGTATGTCTTATACAAAATCATACATCTCCCTAGAAGTTAACGGTTAAAGAGGCTGGAAGGGAATGGTTTATTTGGAAACATGAAGATTTTGGTTTAAATACAGAGATGTTATTCTTCCTGTGACCAAAAATTCTGCCTTTGCTACTACCCACACAGATGGATGTCTAATACTCAAAGCCTCATCCTTTGTAGTTTTCAGTGATACCTGAGTGACATATAGAGGAATGGATGACCAATAGTTTCTGGACTACTTTCACATATACGCGGTTTTTAATAGGGATATTTCTTAACAGACTGTACAGTCAACAGCAAATATTAAGTATGAGCATAACTAGTAGTTGGAAGTATGAGTAGGGGTTCTAAGACAAAAGTCCAGAGTTAAAAGTAAATGGGAGAGAAATAATCTTCAATATAATTTGGACACTTTTCTGTAACTCTTGGATTTTTATACATCGAAAATTTTCACTTTTCTGTTGTAAATAATCCTAACAGCTAATGGAAATTGGTTTACTTAATTTGTCTTTATTACTTTTGGGGCAAAATCTTACCTTTTGTAAAGCAGCCCATTCACAGATTACCAAAGCTACACTAATCCTCTGTAAAGCAGACTTGGAGTTCAAATGGAAGAGTAGTAACTGGCCCAGGGATTCAGCTGGTTTAATTTCTTGAGTTACCACATTTACACCTGGATCACAAATACAGCAACAAAGTGCTCCTAACAACCTAAGAGGGAGAAAAAGGAAGTTACTATAAGAAATTACTTGAAGTAAAGTTTCCCCATACTTCGGGAAATTTTTTCAATTTCCTATAATTACTTGAAGCAAAATTTGGCTTTTTGAAGCCATAACTTTTCCCACAGAAGGTATAATGACTATCTTGTCTTCATAAGAAGATATAAATCCTATTTTAAAGCTTTAAAATAATTAGAAGTATTTGCTTACTCTAATTTTTCCTTAGGCTATAATTAGTGTGATGAAGGAAGGAAGGACTGATGGAGACAGCAGAGGAATCTTCTGTTGGTTAAATAACCTTTGAAAGCCAGACTTGTAAATGTATGACTACCTGACACTTAATGTACACTCACTTGGCTGCCATCATTCTGGCCCGCATAACTACAAAATCCCTGGTGGCTGGGTCTTCCATGATGGTGTCGGCACCTGCAATATACTCCTGAAGTACTTCTTTATTCTGGCTTTGGCCTTGGCGCACCTTACCACCTGTTTTTTCCTACAGAGGGAGGGGAAAAAAAAACAATAAAGATTAACCATTAAAACTGAATAGGCAACAACAAAAATATGATATTTTTAAAATAATCCCAGTAAAATACAGTTCTTTTCACAAAATTTTAATGGATAAACATTACTATTCATTTTGTCAGGGTCCTAATAAAATAACGGTTTCTCCTTACTTATGTTAATTAAATCACACTTAAGGCAATACAGATTTTTAAAAATATGGTTACTGTATTAATAATTAGATGATGAACACACAAATACACTATGTCCCTCTACACTTACCTTGGCTCTAGCTTTTACTTCTAGCAACATATTTAAATCGATAGGTAAATGAGAAGGCTGCATCATCAAGCAAAGCCAAGCACCCATCCATGGGCAAGCAGCTGCTACCACATACTGAACTGAAGCCTTACTCAACAGTTCCATCCAAACCTGCAGGGTAAAAGGGGGACATGAAAGTGAATTTTTTCTAATAAAAATAAACTCTAACACTTATCTTTAGGAATACTGAGGTTTTTTTAAGTAGGAAATAGCACAGAGATTAATTTAGAAATTCAATATAGAGGCTTATTTTGAAATACAGTACTGTTTTCTAATAGGTTTGTGCACTAAAAAAAAAGTCATGCAAAGGAAAGTTTTTTTTTAAAAAAAGAACACAATTCTCTTTTTAAAAAAACATGCCTATAAAAGTAATACAAAATTGTCAAAATCTCAGTAAGTCACTGAAATAAATCCTTTGCATATATCATAAGACTCAATATTAATGCAGTCCTATATTCAACACACATTTAAAAATAGCTCCTAATATTCTCTGCTAAACTCAAAGGTGGTAATAACCTAGTATAAATTTAAAACAGTATAAGTTTTGATTCATGATCTTACTTAATAAGGATAAGGTACCTTTCCTGATGCCTAACATTTAATGGGCTAGGACTAGCCTATGGCAAGATCACCACTGTTAATCCAAGGTTGTTAACAAGGAGTCACTTTAGAGGCCAACAATTCAAGAGTAATTTAACAGATTATAAAGGTACAAAAGTGCCATTTCCCCCCATAAATGCTATTAAATATATCAAACGGCTCCTCCTTTAATGATTCTAACACATATGATCACTCTAAGTAGGGAAAAAAGTACAAGTTTCAACAATAATTAGACTCTATATTACCAACAGATCCTAAAAGATACTTTGCAGGATCTATAAGCATATTGATAAACAGCAAGATGAGGGCTAGAGAAAAGCAATCTTTTCCTCATTTCATTTTCTGTATTGAGGCTATCAGAAAGTGCTTAAAACACCTGTGTAAGTCACATAATAAGAGGAAGAAGCATGGCCAATCAAAACTTAACTATTACATGCTACATGTAAGAAGCCTAGTTCTCTGTCTCATTATGCAGATCTCCAGACTTTTCAAATCTCCATGAGATATGAATGACCAACAGAACAGCAATTATGAAAAATTTTAAAAATCTACAAAAGTTACTAGGAAAAGGAACACAAATACATTTGCTGTGTACCTTGTGAATAAGGTCCAGAATTTCCTGGCTGCTTTCCAAAACACAGAACTGAAAAATGTGTCGGAGCATATCAGGCAGTATAGGTATAAGCCAAGATGAAGAGTTCTGAAAACAAAAACAGAATTAAAAGCTGTAGCATATAATTCTTGGATGTTAGCTTACCTGAAGAATTATATGTCAAATAACAAAAGTACTACCATGAAAAGACTGCATGGTTTCATTAAAAAGGCTAAACAGGTGATAAACTTTGACAAGATTTTGAGGCAACAACACCATATTTATTATACCAATGGTCTGAAGAAATAACAACATATAATCACTGGGAAGCTGGAAAAAGTCTGATTATCATTAACAACAATTTTTCCTCAAAGTTGAAATCATCCTCCATATGGAACCATCCTCTAACCAGCAACATCTCTCTGGTTATACCATACATCACTGCTTTGTCAAGAAAATCTATAAAATAATCAGGTTACTGCTGTTGTGCTAGATGATCAGAGTTTAAGTTCTATATGCTCACCAATAATCCAAGTAATGAATTATACTATAATATCCAACCTAGAAACTTCTACTTGGAGTTCACTACAAAATTAAGGTAAAAGTTCTTAATCTATTTTGGGTCAGGGACCCTTTAAAACTCTGATGAAAACTATGTACACTATGTTATCAGAAAAACATATAATTACTAACAATATTTTGCTTCCAAGGTTCAGGGATCTCCTAAAGCCTGGGTTACAAACCTCAATTTAAGGAACTTCCTAACAATTCAAAGGCCCACCCAAATCAAGCAACCAAATAGTGCTTCACCAAATATCTAATGTGTGTCCAGAAATCCCAGAATAAGGAATCCCAAACTGTCTATTGCTATTCAAACAATTACAAGCTCACTGGATAGAAATGTCCATCAGAGAAATTCTACTAACTAGCTCAAAGTACCTAACAGCCCCTGCCCTCCACATGACTTTTTTTAAGCACTAAATACAGTGTTTTTAAGAGAAATTTGGAAATTTTAACTGAAATTGCAGAAATCCACAGGTTCTAGGGATAATAAATGTTTAAGTTAGAAAGCTACCTATAATTTGTAGCCAATGGAAAACTAATGACAAAGGTAGGACCAGGGTTTTATGTTCTCAACATGGTTTGAAACAAGTTTTAAAAGGGCCACATGACTCCTCAAAGAGGTAAAAACAGAACTGCCATTTGACCTAGCAATTTCTTTACTGGGTATATACCTAAAGGAATATAAATCATTATATCATAAAGACATATGCATGAATATGTTCACTGCAACACTATTCACAAGAGCAAAGACACGGAATCAACCTAAATGCCCATCAACAGTAGTCTGGATAAAGAAAATGTGGTACACATACACCATGGAATACTATGCAGTCTTAAAAAAGAATAAGCTCATGTTCTTTGCAGGAACATGGATGGAGCGGGAGGCCATTATCCTTAGCAAACTAACACAGGAACAGAGAAGTACATATTCTCACCTGTAAGTGGGAGCTAGCTGATGAGAACACAAGGACACAAAGAGAGGAACAAAAGACACTGGGGCCTACTTGAGGGTGGGAAGGAGGGAAAGGATCAGAAAAAATAACTACTGGTTATTAAGCTTTAGTACCTAGGTGGCAAAATAATCTTACAACAAACCCCCGTGACATAAGTTTACCTACATAGCAAACCTGTACATGTACCCATGAACCTAAAATGAAAGTGAAAAAAAAAAAAAAAAAAAAAACAAGCCATAAATCATCCATTGGAGGAGCATTCTCACTACTTCACTGTCTTAACTCTACTTTTCTGATAACACAGGACATTTCATTGGATAGAAATGTCCATCAGAGAAATTCTACTAACTAGCTCAAAGTACCTATCAGCCCCTGCCCTCCACATGACTTTTTTAAAGCACTAAATACAGTGTTTTTAAGAGAAATTTGGAAATTTTAACTGAAATTGCAGAAATCCACAAGTTCTAGGGATAATAAATGTTTAAGTTCTAGACAAAGAGAAAGAGAAAGGGAAGCTGGGAAGAAAAAAGTTCTTATTTTCTCACTGGAGGGAATTAGGGACAATCTTAACAGAATTAGGAAAGCTATAACAGCAATAAGCAAATAATTTGGTGTTACTCTTCCATAATGTCTCTTAATTTCTGATTTTCCCCCCAAAATATTTACCAACTCTGTTCCCCGACCCTCAACCCCAACACTGGCAATCCAAGCAGTTGCCTGTAGGTCCCCAAAAGTCACATCTATAGAGGAAGATTTTCCCCCTATATTTATGACCAATACATGTAATATAAACTGTAGTTGTCTTCTCAGGCTACAAACATCGTTACTCTACTAAATTCTACTTTATAATTATTAAAAACAGCCAGAGAAGGAAAGGATACATGGGTAGAACACAGGATTTTTAGGGCAGTTAAACTATTCTGTGTGATACTGTAATTGTGGATACATGACATCATGTTTGTCAAGCCAATAGAATGTATACTACTGAGGGTGAACCCTAAAGTAAATTATGGACTTTGGTTGATAATAATGTGTCAATGCAGGTTCGCTGATTGTAACAAATTAGTACTAGTCTGGTATGGAATACTGATGGTGGGGGAGGCAGTGTTGAGGATGGGGGATGGGATATATGGAAACTGTACTTTTCCCTTCAATTTTGCTATGAACCTAAACTGCTCTGAAAAATAAAGTCTAGGCAAATAAGCATATGAAAAGATGGCCCACATCGTATGTTGCCAGGAAAATACAAATTAAAACAACGATGAGATACCACTCTATACCTGTTAGCATGGCCAAAATCCAGAACACTGACAACAACAAATGCTGGCCAGGATATGAATCAACAGGAACTCTCACTCATTGCTGGTAGAAATGCAAAATGGGGCAGCTATTTTGGAAGTTTCTCACAAAAATTAAAAATACTCTTACCATCCAGCAATTGTGCTTCTTGATATTACCCAAAGGAGGCAAAAAAGTCCACACAAAAATCTGCACAAGATGTTTATAGCAGCTTTATTCATAACTGCCAAAACTTGGAAGCAGGCAAGATGTCTTCGGTAGGTGAATGGATAAACAAACTGGTACAACTAGACAATGGAGTATTATTCACTAAAAAGAAAATGAACTATCAAGTCATGAAAAGACACAGAGAAATCTTAAATGCATATTACTAAGTGAAAAAAGCCAATCTGAAAAGGCTCCATACTATATGATTCCAACTATATGACATTCTGGAAAAGGCAAAACTATGGAAATGGCGTTTCTTCCTCTGATCTGCCTTCCGGAGACTCAGAATAAGGAGAGTTGATGACAAACAGAAATAAGACTATGGACATTTCACTGTACCTGAAAATGAAGGTTAAACTTCTAACTATCTATACCCCCCTTCCATGTTGCCCTCCACCAAACCAACTTCCTGTCACTTATTTAGTGCCATTCTGCTCTCTCCTGCCTCCAGAGTTACACATACTATTCCCTCCTCTGACTCTTACCCTTATTTTCCCCTGGCTAAATTCCACTTACCCTTCAGGTTTCAGCTTAAACTTCACTTCTAACATGATGCCTTCCCTGTCCATCACCCATCTCATTTAGGATCCAATAGTGTCTTCTACCTCCCATATCAGAGTTACCTCATTAAGTTATTCTTGTTTAATTATTTGTCTTCTCCTGTCTAGTCTCCTATTTTAAGCACTACAGGAGAGCAAAGGCCTTGTCTCTTACCACTATCTAGAAAATTGTTCGAGCCCATAGCAGGCACTTAAATAGTTGTTGAAATCCATCCTGGCCACTGGAAATAATCCAAATTCGTATCGTAAGGAATAGTTGCCAATATGCAAAATTTCCCAAAATTGTGATACTGTAATATAAGAAATTTTTTTTCAGCATTTTGTCCAGGGTCTTAAAAAGAAACGTATTTGATCTTCATCCCCAGCTCCTGGCACAGAGCTCCTAAAACCCAAAGAACTTCCTGAGTGATAGGGATTATTCATAACCATAATCTAGTTTGTGCTAACGAAGTGACTCTTGGGAGGCCCCAAGATAGCTTCAGAAGGGGGCTGGTTGCCAGAGGAACTAACTATGTGATTAGAGGGCTAAAAAATTTCAGACTGCCTCCTGCTCCCCACCTCCAGAGCTAGAGGGGTTGGAGATTAAGTTAATCACCTCACTAATGGCTAATAATTCAATCAATCATGACTACATAATAGAGTCTCCATAAAACACCTACATTTATGGGTTTATGGGTTGGTGAGTGCACAGAGGTGCTGAGGGTGGCATGCCTAAAGAAGACATGGAAGCTCCACGTACCTCATCCCCATACCTTGCCTTGTGCATCTCCTTCCATCTGGCTGTTCCTAAGTTGTGTCCTTTATAGAAAACCGGCAATTGTAATTACCAGTTTAACAGCCTTTCTGAGTTCTGTGAAGCATTCTAACAAGTTATCAAACCTGAGGAGAGGGTCAGGGGAACCCAGTTTACAGATGGTAGGTCAGAAGTACGGAAGGTCCAACACTTGCAACTGCTATCTGTTGTGCGACTGAGCTCTCTAACTTGTGGGAGCTGACACTAATTCCAGGTAGACTGTCAGAACTGAACTGAATTGTATGATACCAAGTTGGCAACCAGGGAGTTGGATAATTGGTTGGTGTAAGGAAAAAACCCACACGTTTGGTGTCAGGAATGTTGTATTGTAAAAATGGCTCAGCCATAGATCCCTAACTGGCAGATTTGGCATCTCAGGTGGGATAAGATCTTGTCTGTACCCTTTTGTTACGGTCCCTCTTTTATCTTCCCACAAAATGGGTACACTCAGAAAAAAGGAGCAATCTGAGCATTACCACAAACACCTGATTCTTGCCTGCAGGCCAATTCATCATTTCTACCAGCATATCAAATGCTCTCAGACTGCAGGGAAGAAGATCAGGAGAGAACCTGTAAGTTGGTGATGAATCACACTGGGTTCTTTCACTAATTTTACTAATTTGCTCTGAAACCCTATTGTGATCCACAGCCAAAGGAAAAGAAAATTTCCATATCAGACAGTTTATAATGCCTTGTTCTATTCATTTCTCCAACCAACATTTATTGAAGGTCAGCTAAATATTTCAACTTTGCTCTCTCCTTTTCATATTTTTATAAAATCTGGCAATACCCAAATATGCTAGCATTCTCTAAGGCCAAAGTCTTAGTTCAGGCTATTCTTTTGGTCTTTGTTTCCTACTTATTTGTGTATGTTAAATTTTCTAACATTCGAAATTATGCTTCAGATTCCAACTCAATCTCATGTATATCTTCATGTAATAACTAAGCTTGCCTTTCAAACAAAAGTTAATGTATTGGTAACTGAAATTTTGGAATGACTCACAAAGTGACTGAGATGCAATGGAATGGAAAAGTTGACCCAGTCAGTAAAGAAGGCAAAATAGGAGATTCATGTCTAGGAGTTTGTCTGGCAACAACAGTTACCAGTTACTAACACTAGTTAATCTGGATATTTCAGTAGTTCACTGATAGATATATATATTAATAGGTGTACTCTAGCACGTACAAACACACTGGCTAAAGAGACAATATAGAAAGGACAAACAAATGGTAAATTCCTTCACTTTGATTACCAAGCTGCTAGTTTAGCAAAAAAAAGTTATACCTTGATTGTAAATCATTATGAAATAAAACTAGTTGTTTTTTGTTTTTGAGACGGAGTTTCACTCTGTCACCTAGGCTGGAGTGCAGTGGTGCAATCTCTCGGCTCATTGCAACCTCTGCCTCCCGGGCTCAAGTGATTCTCCTGTCTCAACCTCCCGAATAGCAGGGATGACAGGCACCCACCACGACTCCTGGCTAATTTTTGTATTTTTAGTAAAGACAGGGTTTCACTGTGTCAGCCAGGCTGGTCTCAAACTCCTGACCTCAAGTGATCTGCCTGCACTGGCCTCCCAAAGTCCTGGGGTTACAGGAGTGAGCCACTGTGCCTGGCCATGGTTTTTCTTAAGAGTACCTACTTCATGCTCCTCAAGATGCCAAGCTTGCCAATTCTTTCACATGTTAACATCACAGAAGAAGGCACACTGATTAAACAATATATTTTCACAAATGCCATGGTATGCCACAGGGAAGTATAAAGGAAATAATGTTTCAGAGACAACTGCATTAACTGTAGTTTTATTTAAGGACATTTTAGAGATGTGCATGCCAGCACACATACTTATAATGGATACCTTTTAAAAATAAGGACATCTCCCTTATAAAATCTACTGATTTTACAAAGCAAAACAAAACCAAAAAATTACTAAAGATAACCAGGATAATTTCAAGGAAACAGAAGCATCAATCTTTACAACGCAGTGACACACTGAGCTATAGCCAAGTCTGACCTTGAAAAATTACTTTAGAATTATTGAGGTATAGCTTGAGAAGTTAGAAACTGAAACCAGGACACAGCTACTAGTAATTCAGGTGAGTTTCCTTTTCTCACTTTGTAGTTAAAATGACTCCATAAGCAGAAGTGGGAAAGCAATTAGACACATAATTATTTTGTCCCCGTATAAAATTTAGTTAAAAGCTGAAAGCCAGAATAAGATCTGAAACTGAAGTGAGCTGCTTATATGAGCTTGGGAAAGTTTCTTTTTTTTTTTTTTTTTTTTGAGACGGAGTCTCGCTCTGTCGCCCAGGCTGGAGTGCAGTGGCGGGATCTCAGCTCACTGCAAGCTCCGCCTCCCGGGTTCACGCCATTCTCCTGCCTCAGCCTCCCAAGTAGCTGGGACTACAGGCGCCCGCCACTACGCCCGGCTAATTTTTTGTATTTTTAGTAGAGACGGGGTTTCACCGTTTTAGCCGGGATGGTCTCGATCTCCTGACCTCGTGATCCGCCCGCCTCGGCCTCCCAAAGTGCTGGGATTACAGGCGTGAGCCACCGCGCCCGGCCGGGAAAGTTTCTTAATCTTTGATTATCAGTTCTCTCATCTGCAAAACAGGAATGGCAGTAGCCACCTCATGTAAACTGCTTAGCACAGTTCCTAGCATAAAGTAAGCCCTCAACAGCTTAGATTATTATTATCACAATTAAATATCATTCCTATACCCCAGAATAAGGAAAGAATGCTCAGAATGGAACTACTAATTATTCTTTTAGTATCTGTACTATTATTTATACTTGTATAGCATTAACATTTTCAAAGCACTTTCATACACATTATCTCACTTGATCCATGTAACTCTGACAGAGGCTAGAGATAATCACCAGAGAGGGTTAGACAAATCTGACAAAGGTCATAAATTAGCAAATGATAGAGCCAAAGTTAGAACTCAGATCCTGTCTATTTAAGGGATCTTTTCATTTTACCATTGAAGGGGTAACAACAGTGATAAAAAGCTCTATTTAACGGCTCTTTACATTATGATTGCTTCCATAAAGGATTGCTGACTAATTAGGAATACTTAACAACACTAAGAAATCAAAGGCAAGGAAGCAGCTCAGAAAAAGGAACACAAATTAAAAGTGAGAGTGGATTTTTATTATCACAATAGGTCAATGATCTTTCATCCAAATTCCCTGGAGCCAGAAGTGTTTTGAAACTCAGAAATTTTTCAAATTTTAGAATAATGAATTGTATACAGTGTATATTATATAATATCTCCAATACAATACCAGTAGCACCTGAATAAAATATATTAATATTTCTGCAGCAAAATGTGTGAATAGGCACATTAAGTGGGATAAAGACTAAACAGTTTCTCTTCAGAATGGTCAGGTTTTGCCACCAAATTAGTAGTTTTATAAATTGACCCAATTCACAATAAGCTTTGGCTTTCAAAGTTGCAGGAAAGGAATCATGGAACTGCACCACAAAGAGTTTGCACACAGCTATAAATTAATCAATAAGTAACTTTCAGGCAATTTGTGGAGAGGAATACAATAACAGATAAAAGCATCAGAGATGGTTTATTCGTACAGCTTTTCAGAAAGCAAATAATGGGATCACAAGATTAACAATAAAAATTAAATGAGTTTTCATTGCATAATGACGACTTTAAACAATGATTTAGATAAAACAAGTTACAGAAGTTGGAAATGCTTTGTCGCACTAGAGATTTGATTTGTCTCATGAGAGAAAAGGTACAGAGAGGAAGAAACGGAGCTAAAATTTAGGAAGGTGAGAGTGGGAGGGAGTGGGGGTAGGGGAGCAGGGAGCAAGGAGCCATGTCCAAAGATACTTTGGTCAAATGAACATGATTACACTTAGGATACAGGAGTGGATTTAGAAAATGTTCTTGACTCCAGAGTATACATTAGGAAATATTAGGGGAAAATGTTGACAAGAGCCAAGTATTAGAAAACCAAGAAAGACAGGAATTTAATTCTAATATAGTGGTAGGCGATTACAAATTACTAACCAGTTTGTGAGTAACTGAGGCTATGGTCCCCCAAATCCTTCTGAAACTTAAATTCTTTCCTTTTAGAAATGCTATGACCATGTAGAAACGAAAATTCCAAACTTTAAGGAGCATACTGGAGAAAGGATGATAATTTTTATGAATACACAGAAGGCAGAAGTAGGTAAATTAGAAGATAGGATTATAACTTAAATTTTTTATGACAAAAACTTGAAACAAGACAAAATTATAAGAAATGTCAATTATGGATGGTGTAAACATAAATGAATGCTGTTTCATACAATTCCCTGCTCTTTTCTCCATTAAAAAAAAAAATCCCAAAATTTAAAAAAAGGAAATAGGTGGTAGTATTAAGAAAAGCTTCCTGAAAGGTTTGGCTTTGGGCTGGGCACGGTGGCTCATGCCTGTAATCCCAGCACTTTGGGAGGCCGAGGCAGGTGGATCACCTGAGGTCAGGAGTTCAAGACTAGCCTGACCAACATGGCGAAACCCTGTCTCTACTAAAAATACAAAAATTAGTCAGGCGTGGTGGCGCATGCCTGTAATCCCAGCTACTCAGGAGGCTGAGGAAGGAAATCGTTTGAACCCGGGAGGCAGCGGTTGCAGGGAGCCAAGATCATGCCGTTGCACTCCAGCCTGGGCAACAAGAGCAAAACTCCATCTCAAAAAAAAAAAAAAAAAAAAGTTTGGCTTTATACCATTATTTGAAAACACAGAATGAAATAGCCAATAAAAATAGTAAAGCATGTATGTGGGGACCAAAATCAGAGACTGCTAAGAATCAGTGATTAGTGCCATAGCCATAGTCTTTGGTGGTGAAGATAATAAACAGCAAGGATCAGGGCAGTGACAAAGCACAAAATCTGGAAGCACCAATATTAAGTTTCACAGACAGCATCTCTTTCAGTAAAGAGATACGCTGAAGATAAAGGCTAAACACAAGTGAAATTTCATGAATGATGCCATTGAAAAGTTATGAAAAATAATAGAAAAAGAAGCTAAAAGCATAATCAACACAAAAGGATACAGGAAACACAATAAACATTAAGACTCCAACAAAAAAGGACCACAAACATGTCAGAATAACTGGAAGAAAAATATGGAAGCAGAATGTTTTAAAAGTCTAAAGGGAACAGACTAGAAAAGCACTTTTGTTCAAAACACATTCTGTATGCTTGTCTAACTTGAAATTGACATATTCAGTAAAACGTCTGTGAAAGTACATATCAAAGATACTAAATATGAATCAAAAAGAAGTGAGGGAATACTAGTTTTTTTAACCACATCACCTAATCTTCCTGATCTTTCAGCTTAGTTTGTCTTTTAATGCTGCTGTCTGACATCTCTCACATACTGGTCTTCTGTTATTTAACTCTTTGTAGAGGTTATTAAACTTACCATGTAATATAATAGTCTTATAGCAACCATACTGTAAACTTTTCCAAGGTAAGAAACATGTAGGATGATATGGTTTGGCTCTGTGTCCCCATCCAAATCTCATCTTGTAGCTCCCATAATTCCCATGTGTTGTTATAGGGACCCAGTGGGAGATAAGTGAATCACGGAGTGGGTCTTTCCTGTGCTGTTCTCATGACAGCGAATAATTCTTACAAGATCTGACAATTTTAAAAACAGGAGTTTCCCTGCACAAGCTCTGTCTTTGCCTGCTGCCATCCACATGGACGTGACTTGCTCCTCCTTGCCTTCCACCATGATTGTGAGGCTTCCCCAACCATGTGGAACTAAGTCCAATTAAACCTCTTTCTTTTGTAAATTGCCCAGTCTCAGGTATGTCTTTATCAGGAGTGTGAAAAAAGGCTAATACACAGGATTTCTTTTTTTTATTTCCCAGGAAACCCAGCACAGAATCTCACACTAATTTACTTAACAAACATTGAGGGCCCATGCTTAAAAGGTGGCTAACATGCCACAAATTACATACAAAGACAATGGCATTCTGGTATAGGAAATGATAAAGAGTCATATTAAATGATAAAGAAATGAAGGCTAGTACCAAAGCCTTCATTTATGAGCCAGCAAGGGCAAATTCAAAAGGAAAAAAAAAAAATCCCTGGACAAGAAAATCAACATCAAAGAACACAGAGATGTTTTCACAACCAGGAAATTTTAAAAGCCAATATCCATAATCATTGAGGGACTAAAAATTGGAAGGCGAATTTTTTTTTTTTTTCTGAGACAGGGTCTTGCTCTGTTATCCAGGCTTGGCAGTGGTGCAATCTCGGCTCACTGCAGCCTCTGCCTCCCAGGTTCAAGCAATTCTTGTGCCTCAGCCTCCCGAGTAGCTACGATTACAGGCAGACACCATCATGCCCAGCTAATTTTGGTATTTTTAGTAGAGACAGGGTTTCACCATGTTGCCCACGTTGGTCTGGAACTCCTGGCCTGAAGTGATCCGCCCGCCTCAGCCTCCCAAAGTGCTGGGATCACAGGCCTGAGCCACCACGCTGGGCCCGACGGGGATTTATAACAATCTTGGGATCTTATTTATAGCAAAAATTTTAGAACAAGGGAGGAGGTATTACAAGACTAACAAAAGTGAGAAATCACAATTGACAGCAGAGAGGAGATAAAAATTAGGCAACAGCAAACCGAAAAAGAACAGTTCAATTACTGCAAACAGTGACTCATGTATCTCAATATTCCCACAGTATGCTATAATAAACAGTATAAAAACTAATAACCAACAAATAATATTGGTGACTGACTCACCAAAAAAAAGTTAGCTTATGTTTAATATACTTTAAAATGATGATCTACTGTGGCAGTCATTTTAATAGCTAACTTTTTTTTTGTGGCAAAAAAAGTATATTTCAGTTATTTGAAAATTTCATTTATACAGAATACCTTATTTTCTAGTAATGTAAAGTTGGTATTACTAATAATAAAGTCACAAGTTAAAAATAGCCTGCAGGTGGCTTGATCACCTAATAAGGAATAAAAGGGCTTTAAAAAACAATATGAAACTGTATCTAAAATATACAAAGAACTCTTAAAATTCAACAATAAGAAAACAACCCAATATTAAAATAGGCAAAAGACTAGCTTGGGTAACCTAGCAAGACCTCATCTCTAACAAAAAAAAAAAAAAAAAATTTTTTTTTTTAATTAGCCAGACATGGTGGTGCGTGCTTGTAGTCTCAGCTACTCAGGAGGCTGAAATGGGAAGATCACTTGAGCCCACGAGTTCAGGATTGCAGTAAGCTATGATCACACCCATGCAACAGTGTGAGACCTTGTCTCAAAAATAAAATAAATAAATAAAAATAGGCAAAAGCTGAACAGACACCTCACCGAAGATGAGAGGTAGATGGCGAATAAACATATGAAAAGATGCTTAACATCATGTATCACTAGGAAACTGCAAATTAAAACAACAATGAAATACTACTACACACTTATAAGAATGGCTAAAACCCAAAACACTGACAAAAAATGCTGGCCAGAATGTAAAGCAATAGGAACCCTCACTCATTGCTGGTAGAAACACAAAATGGTACAGCCACTTGGAAGACAGTTGGCAGTTTCTTACAAAAGTCAACATACCCTTACCATACAATTCAGCAGATACGCTCCTTGGTATTTACTCAAGTGAGTTGAAAACTTAATGCCCACATAAGAACCTGCACGTGAATGTTTGTAACAATTTTATTCATAATTGCCAAAAACTGGAAGCAATTAAGATGTCCTTAGAAGGCAAATGAATAAACTGGTACAGACAATGGAGTATCATTCCGTGATAAAAAGAAATGGGCTACCATGACATGAAAAGACATGGAGAAACCTTAATTTCATATTGCTAAGTGAAAGAAGCCAATTTGAAAAGGCAGCATACTATATGATTCCACTATGTGATATTTTGGAAAAGACAAAATTAAGGAGACAGTAAGAAAGATCAGTGGCTGTTAAGGGTTGAGGGACAGGGAAGGAAGGATGAATAGGTGGAACACAGGGGATTTTGGGGATAGTTAAACTACTCTGTATGATACTGTAATGGTGGGTACATATTATTGTACATTTGTAAATGTACAATATGTACAAAATGTACAGAAGAGTGAACGAACCCTACTGTAAAGTGTGGACTTTAATGTATCAATATTGGCTCATCAGTTTTAATAAATGTACCACACTAATGCAAGATGTTAACAATAAGGGGAACTATGTGTGGGTAGTAGGAGGGATAAAAGGGTATTCAGGAACTTTCTGTACTTTTCCTTCATTTTTTCTGTAAATCTAAAACTGCTATTAAAAATAAAGTCCATATATACAAAAAGAATGATATGAAGATAAAAAATTTGGTAACTTCAAAGGGTCTACATAAAATGAATTTAAGAATTCACAAACATTTAGGCAAAAAGCATAAAAATAAAGCAAAAATGAAATGAAAATTAAGAACAACCCATGCCAGCTGTCATATCAGCCCATGCTTGATCAACTGAGAACTGTAAAACAAACCTGACAGTTGTTCTCAGAGATTTGGATCAGACAAAATCAAAATGATAATGCCAAACAAAATTTACAGATGTTTATTTACAGAAGTTCAACAGAGTATCATGCTGCACACTAAGGCAAGTCTACACAAAATGTTCCTAATTCACATGAGAATCCAGTTAGTGAACACAAAAGAGGCACTTATTCACTACTTAGTCACTATTTTTAAAAAATGATTGGCCCAAACTGTAGTACCTATTAACTGCACACTAGAAAACTAAATTTCTTATTGATAATCCCCTAAATCTAGGTACTTTGTTTGACCTATAAGGTTATTTTAAAAATGGGAATGTGAAGCCTTTTATAAACAGGGCAAGGACTCCTAAGCTTACCACAGGCTCCATTTACACACTGATATTATCTGAATGATCTCTGTAGACATTTCAACGTGACTCCTGAAGTATACTATCCTTGAAAATAGCATGCTCTTAAGATTGAAAAATCTTTAAATAAAGGCAAGAGCCTGGGAATTCCTTGGTAAGTCTTTTAAGAGTTGTACTCTAGACCTTCAAATGTAGCCTTCTCACCTGGGCCATGGGTTCTGCCAGCCACCCAACTGTCAGCCACACAGACAAAGAGCATGCAAAGACTATATAACAGGTCTCTGACAGGAAGAGACTATTCAATCAATCACTCATTCAACAAACATTTACTGAGGACTTCCTATGTGTTAAGCATGATTTCAAGTGGTGAGAATACAATCTAGAACAAAATATTAAAATATTTCTGCTCTTACAGTGATTATATTCATCTACATGGTTACCATACCACTAGGCCCAACATTGTCCTGATCTTTGGATATACAGCAAGGGTAAGCTAAAGACCAGGTTTATTTTATAAAATTAATTTATATAAGTTTCAAGACTGCTATAGTTATCAGTTCTTACCTGGTCCTGTGTTGATAATAACGTAAACAGAGTTTCCAATGCTGCTCTTCGAACTGATGATATAGTGTGATGCAAAAAAGGCCAGACACGTGGAACTAAAACTGTCAGTGACTGCTGAATACTAATAAAGAAGACACAAATTAATCTTACTTATTCTAAGTTGTAACTCTGTAGATACATTATCTAAATATTCTCATGGGATCTAGTGATGCTGACACCATGTGACTTTTTTGATGAATAAATTCTTAAAAGATAATACAGTTTTCATATGAACATTCATGTAACAATGTCATTCACAACTGTTATCGTAGCAACAGAAGAGCCAGAGCAAATGCAGTCAAAAAGAAGGGTAGAAATACTAACATCAGGTTCTTCTATGGCACTAATGCTATGAGTCACCTTTATCAAGTTAGGACTTTCCAATGTAATTGTTCTTAGGAAAATGGGACATGTATCCTAGCTGGTAGTCAGCCTACATGATCAGGATTGCTAATCCTTACTTCTTCCCCATGGCTAACCCCAACGGGTAGATACACATAATTTCCATCTCCCTTTGGTGCCATCTCTGTCACATATCAAATGAGCAAGTGGTGGTATGGTAGCAACTTTGACATTTATTATCCTGGTGTAGCATTACTAAGTTAGGAAAACTCAAATTTCTTCCTTCTCATAGATTAAGTTTTAAATGGGGAAGCAAACAAAGCCAAGTCTAGACTAACTTGGGCCACAGGATTCCTGTCACATTCGTAAGTCATTTGTAAAAGTTACCTGGAACTAGGAAATAATTCATAAGCAGCATTTGAAATATATGGCTCCACAGAAAAAGACATAAGCAAAAAATAATATGCCACTGTATTTGGTCTTTTGTGGTTCCTCCCAGGAGGCCTATCTTTTAACACTATTTTCATTACTTGCAGGTTTGTATGAACACTACCTTCTTGTATTTATTTTCATATTTAGCAAATTTATTTATAAAATTCTAACTTAAACACAGGTACACATAGACATAAAAAAGACACAAAACACATAAAAGCATTATAACAAAGTCTTGTTAAATGTCTAACTGTTCATGCTCCAAATAACATGCTACATTTCTTCTTACATAAACTAGAAGAAAGTATCTGCCAAGTATCACAATATATGAAGCAAATTTGAAACAAAAAAGACGGAAAACTACATTATTTCACATTGAATTAATAGAATTTTCACTATATTCTTTTTTATATTATCCAGTTTTTCTGACACCATCCACTAAGGCCCATAGGCCAAATCCATTCCACCCATTTTTTTTTAAGTAGAAGTTTTATGTGTACACAGGCACGTTCATTCTCTTATGTATTACCCATGTACAGCTGTTTTCACACTACAGTGACAGCTTAGTAGTTTTGACAGACAGACTGGCTCACAAAACAAAAATACTCACTATTTGGGCCTTTGCAGAAAAAGATTACCAATCCTTGATTTACAGTAATGAAAAACCCCTTCATCTTGCAGCTTAAAGAGGGCTTTCACATAGATTAACTCATTTAGTTTGTACAGCTTTCATTAGTAATAGAAACATCAAAAATTAGGAAACCCCATAAATGTACTACCACTTCAATTTTTCTCTTCTTTTGCTTTTATAGGCACTTATTTTGCTATTCCTACTTATAGGCTATCCAACTAATCTAAACTTAGCATTAAAGTACTTCCAGTAGGTCAGTATTATTTGAAATATTTTCTACTTTTTTTATACATCTATGGGTTTCATGGGAAATACTCATAGAGCCAGAAACCACATATAAGCATTTATATGAACATTCACTGAACGCCCTCACTAGGACAAGAAGAGTAATTTTCTCATCTGTGAATTTTTTAAAGTTGCATAATAATTTTTTCTTCTCTGTCTCTAAGGACACTATTCTCTATCTCTAAGGACACTTATCTCTAACAATATTCAAGGGCCAGTCTAAAAGGTAGGGAATATGTTAATTCGCTGAGCTGAGATTCATATATCAGGACAGGAAAATTGGTGACACTAAATTTTTGATGTATGTTTTTGGCTTCATTTGATCTCTGCCTTTGGACATTATATTACATTATTATGTATTTCCTTCATGATAAGTAATTACTGAAATCAAGAACAAGAGTTGAAGACATGAACATTACAAAAAAAAAGTTCACAGAGGGGCAAGTTTTAGAAAATTTAAAGCTGATGTTCGATGATAATTCTGTTAACTAAATGTTACTAAATAAAGCTAAAATTCTACGTTCTAGGACTAGAACTGGAAATACTATTCAATGATTATATTTCTAAGTAAACAATTATAAGACGAACAAGACGATGAATTATATAACTGAAATATCTCAAGGGTAAAAAAAAAATGATCTTTGTAAGCTGCTGCCCGAATGGCTAGAGTAAAAAAGACAAGGCCTTCTGAAAACGGTAGTCTTTGGCATCTCCAGCTTAAATAATATTATTCTTAAAGGTGCTAAAATATTGTTATGTTTAGGCTGAATTATCTCGAAAGGTATGTAAAGACTTTTTACTTTATTCCACTAATTAGAAATAATTACCTGCATTGTTGGACCTGAGGGTAAGTTAACAAGGATGAAAGGAGAGTCATAATACTATTTGTTGAAGCTGTTAGATCATCTAATTCCAGAAGAGCATCCCACAATGTATTTATAATGAAGGGCACCTATAAGATCAGTTTTCAAGAAAAGTTATCAATTTTGCACAAAATACTCACAAACCCTGCCAAATGGTATCCCAGGGGTCACTACTGATTCAACAACACATGCAATTCCAATGACCTTGGACGGTGTCAATTTTGAGTAAAGTTAAGGAGGTCACACTATTTGCCTTTAACAATTCTCTATTCCTTCTTTTTAATGCCATTCAACTCTACTTTGATACTTCCCTGCCTGACCAGACTCATAATGGGTAGAATTCAGAAAATAAAAGAGCCACAACTATTTTATGTAAAAAACTTAACAGTGAAAACAACAGAGCATCGAGACACAAGACATGTTCTTCTATGTAATTTTACTGCATTTAAAATGGTACTAATCATCATAAAAAAAATTTAGTTTTTAAGCTCTTAAAATACTGCTTACTGTACTTCTAACTTTGTGTTCTGATTTTGATAATAAGGTGGAAAGTCAGCCAGATCTTTAAAAAAGTCATTTCAAAAAATGAGACTAGAGGGGTGGGTGTGATGAGTCACACCAGTAACCCCAGCACTCTGGAAGGCCAAGACTGGGAAGATCTCTTGAGCTTAGGAGTTTGAGACCAGCCTCGGCAACATAGGGGGACTCCCCCATCACTACAAAAAATAATTTTTTTTTTTTTTTTTTGAGACGGAGTCTCGCTCTGTCGTCCAGGCTGGAGTGCAGTGGCGCGATCTTGGCTCACTGCAAGCTCTGCCTCCCGGGTTCACGCCATTCTCCTACCTCAGCCTCCTGAGTAGCTGGGACTACAGGCGCCCGCCACCATGCCTTTTAAAAAATCAGCCAAGGCACAGTGGCATGTGTCTGTAGTCCCAGCTACTTAGGAGGCTGAGGCAGGAAGGACTGCTTGAGCCCAGGAGAGTGGGGCTACATGTCATCCACTGCACTCTGGCCTGGGTGACAGAGTGAGACCCAAGAAAAGAAAGAAAATGTTATGTGTATATATAGATTACACAGCACTTATTAGTTAATAATTAATACTAATTAATAATTAATAATGAGAGGAGGAGAGGAGAGACAGGGAGGGGAGGGGAGACTAGATTTAAAAAAACAATCCAAAAACTAAAATCAAAACAAACAAAAATCCAATATATCTAAAAACCAGGAGTAAAATTAGGAAGAAATGGCTGCATTCTTCTCAAGGAAGTTCCCTATATATTATGTACATGAAGGGAAAGTAGACAAATGGATCCAATTCACTCTTCCAAAGTACAATATATAATCAAGATTGCATGCATCAGAGGGCTGTTGTTAAAAAAAAAAATTGAAGATGAAGGAGAAAAATGTACACAATGTATTTTCTAATACTCCATATCCCAAATGAAAACAAGCTCTATAGTAAGAAACTGTAAAAATATTTAATTTACCTTTTGTGTCTGAAGATAGACAAGGCTTTCTACTACAGGCACTAATGATGCTGCAGCAACAGCTCTGACATCATCATCAAGATCCTGGAGTCCTTCAATTATTCTAGTTAAAACTTTAGGCAATAAAGTATTAATTACATCCTGTAAAACAGTACATGAAAATAAATTAATTTTCTATTCTACAGTTACTGTGCTTAAACATTTTAAAATTTAAATTTGCCACATGACAGCTAAATTCCAATATTTATAGTCATGCACTGCTTAACAATGGATACATTCTGAGAAATACATCAGGCAATTCTGTCATTCTGTGAACATTATAGAGTGTACTTACACAAACCTAAACAGTATAGCCTATACCACGCCTAACTATGTGTGTGACACAGCCTATTGCTTCTAGGCTACAAACCTGCACAGCATGTTACTGAACTGAATACCATAGGCAGCTACTAACAAAATGATAAATATTGGTATATTTAAATACAGAAAAGGTACAATCAAAGTACAGTATTATAATCTTATGGGACCACCATCATATATGTGGCCCATCATTGACTGAAACATCATTATGACTGTACCTACTAAAAAACAATCACATAAACAAAAATGTAACATCAATAGAAGCCTAAGTAATCCCATTTGAAAAAGACAAGGGCATCAAGTACTTTATTCAATGAGACATAAAACATCAAAACATGTTTTATACGTAAGACTATGAATTCTCTGTGTGAATACACACACACACAAACCCCTCTGCCAGAATCCTAGCCTCCATATCTCATTCAATGCCACCGACAACCAAAAGGAAAATGAGAGAAGAGTGAAAGAAAAGCCATACCTTCCCACTTCTCATTATTCCAATTTAATGTCTTTTCATTTCCCCCAACAGACCAGGCCCCAGACATTACTCCTGTGATCATATACTAGGAATCTCACTGAGAACTGGTTTCACTACGAAATAGGGATAATATTTCAAAAACAAATAAGGTGCTTTCCATTTCCATATAAGTCTACTGTTATCTACAGAGGCTAGAGTGCAGAACACAGAAAAAAAGGTTTTGTTTATGGGGGTAAGAGGGTGGCTGCCAAGGGGAGAAGAGCACTAAAAGGGGCAGGAAAAGCAAGGAAGGGAGCAGAGGGAGAAAAGAGTTGGACAGAGAGTTCAGGTCTCTCAGCAGAATCACGAATGCTTTGTTATTGGCAGTTAAAGAAGGGAAAAAAAAAAAAAGACAATCTTAGAAAACTTCAAAAGGCCTTTGAGCTTGCTTTTTGAGACAGAAAGGGAGGTTCCAATCTGTTATACAGTGAGCATGGGAAGAGAAGAAAAGCTGGCACAAAGCATTAAGTAGCCATAATGGATAGTGAAATGCCTATATAGGCCAATGCCTAACACCCTGACAATGCTGATCCTAACTGGAAAGTATTACGGGAAATTAAACTGGTAAGAAAAGGTCCTGGTCTCTCTCTAGCTCCTCATTCATAATCTCTCCTTTACTTCCACGTCTCTTCTTTTTCGTCAATACTCACTCTTTGCTGACCCATTATGTTCAGAGTCAAGACAACTATTTGTGGAAGTCCCTAATTCTGTCACTAGATCTATGGTGGAGAAGCAGGGAGAAGGAGAAAAGAGATGTTTTACTGGCATCTCATATTGGAAATCAGAATCAATTTTTCCACAAAAATATTATGTGTATATATAGATTACACAGCACTTATTAGTTTAGTAAAGGACTTTAGATATATTTATATATGAAATAGGCTTTTGTGGGCCAATCTAAGAACTGAAGTCCTAGCCAGAATATATCAGAGTTTTTAATAACCCACTAAGGGAACATAAATGTTCCTGAGTAGGGGACTATCTGCATATGCAGGTATTTTCATCCTAGATGATGTATAACATTACACTAAACACTGTTCTATAAGACATGCCATTTAGTTTCTAGTTCTAGTACTAACTAACCTTAACTAGTTTTGTGACCATCAGCAAGGCATCTAATTTTTCAGAACTTATTTCCCTATATGAAAATAATAAGACTACATGCATTTTCTTCTTCTAAGCTTTGTCATAAAGGATTAAAAAAAAAAAAAAAACACTGACAGTTTATGTAAAAAGTACATGACCATACAGATTGTCTGCTTTACACTTTGATGTCTACTCCTGTATGTATACTGCATAACTTGGCACCATGTTGTATAGCCCTCAGAGCATGTATTCAATATTTAAATGAGTTAAAACAGTAAAACCAAATCATGAAGAGCACTGAATTAACTGTAGCAATGGATTAAAAAGGAAAAATAATCTTTGAACTTAAAGAGCAAACAATGTAACTAACCATCTTTTGATTTATACTTAAATTCTTATGAGCGCCACCTATCTCTATGACACTCTCTCAAGACGGCAAATCTTGGAAGACTGGCTTCTCTGTAACAGTAAGAATCTACGGCCATTTCGTCTAATTAGTGAAAATAAACTATAAGGGGGAAAAAACTCTCCCACATAAGCTTCAAAACTTGAAATATTTACCTGACGGACTGCCAAAGCATATTTTATTCCCAGCAGACCACCATGTCTAACTTCCCATTGTTCTTGTGTAAGTAATTTTAGCAGCACATCCACAGTCTTATGAACTCCTGTTTCGTTCATGTGTTTTAAAACCACACCTAATGTTTGAGCACAAGTTTCACGAACTGGTGCCACAACCTACAGACGAAAAAGGAAGAAAACTCATATTTGCAAAAAACGTATTTTGTAGAATTTGAAATTTGATTGGGCAAAGCCTCCCTTAAATGATACTTACTTCATCAGAAACAAAGTCTCCAAATCTGTCTAATGCAAAAACACAAAGGAGTCTAATAACCAAGTCTTCCAACCACTCTTGATGCTGCTGAATCATCTGTTAAAATATAATATATATATATATATATATATATATATATACACACACACACACACACACACATTTTTTTAACATAATTTTTTTAAAAACAAAGATCATACTTTGTACTGGGGACTTGGGGGACACCTTAGGTCCAAAATCAAAAATAAAAAATGGGGACAGATTTTAGCTGTAGGAACAACAACCAAAAAGTAGAATAGTCCCAATTAATGTCTTTAATATTAAACATATCTCATATCCCCTTTGATCATTAATTCAATTCAGATATACTATATCACAATTCTTAAAATTCATGGATTGTATTATGTTACTCGCACTCCAAGAGAAATTAAGAAACTAATTACTTAAGGTTGTTCTCATATCAAGCACACCGGTCATATATCTATTATTTATACTATTACCAGTGTCTCCAGGCAATACCAATTATGTTGCTCACTGACCTCTCAACTAGCCTCTTATTCATCTTACTCTACTTTTCAATCCATTGTATGATATTTACCTTTTCATATCTCTTCCTCTTATTTACCTCTCATTCCTACTTCACGGCACATACTCGTTACTTCCCTACATTGGAAAAAGATGCCAACTATTAATACTTGGTGATAATTGTTGCATTAATACACTTACCTCTTCTAAAGTGCTGTCACCCATTTTACCACCACTTTTCCCATGAGCTTTAAGAATTTCCCTAAGTCCAGTGCCTGCACCATGTCGAACCTGAAAAGAACAAAGAAGCAAATGTCAGATGTTAAATGTTTAAGAAACAAAGTTTGATTTTTCTTCTATACGAAATAGGGATACTGGATTTTTAAGAAATTAGAATAAACTAAGTGGAACTTTACAAGAATGTATTTTTCTTCAACTATCTAAGAAGAATTACACATATACATTTCAGACTGCTTTTGGTTATATGGAATTTTTTAAAAATCAAGCAAGAAAACAGCTATTCTAAAATCCTTTTGAGATATAAATCCACATTGCTTTCACTCCCTTATCCTCTACCTTCATTCAGCACTATCCACAGCAAGAGAGAGGAAAGAAAGTATCGTATAGTGTTTTTGTTTGTTTGTTTGTTTTTCGAGATGGAGTCTCACTCTGTTGCCCAGGCTTGAGGGCAGTGGTGCAATCTTGGCTCACCGCAACCTCCGCCTCCCGGGTTCAAGCGATTCTCCTGCCTCAAGCCCCCCAAGTAGCTGGGATTTCAGGCGCCCGCCACCACGCCCGGCTAGTTTTTCTATTTTTAGTAGAGACAGGGTTTCTCCATGTTGGCCAGGCTGGTCTCAAACTCCTGACCTGAAGCGATCTGTCCGCCTCAGCCTCCCAAAGTGCTAGGATTACAGGCATGAGCCACCACGCCCAGCCCAAGGTGTTCTTTATAATCCCAACACATGTATTTTCAAAATATGTGCATCAAAACTAAGCTCCAGGCTGGGCGAGGTGGCTCACACTTGTAATCCCAGCACTTTGGAAGGCCCAGGTGGGCAGATCACTTGAGCTCAGGAGTTCAAGCAAGACCAGCCTGGCCAAAATGATGAAGCCCCATCTCTAATAAAAATATTTTTAAAAGTAGCCGGGTGTGGTGGCACGCACCTGTAGTCCCAGCTACTCAGGAGGCTAAGCCAGGAGAATCGCCTGAACCTGGGTGGCGGAGGTTGCAGAGAGTCAAGATCGTGCCACTGCACTTCAGCCTGGGAGACAGAGTGAGACTCCATCTCAAAAAAATCAAAAAGTGAAAAACCTAAGCTCCAAAGCTACCAATGATAAGTGAGTGCCAAAAGAAGACAATACAAATAAAATGTCTTATGATTAATGCATCACTATACCCCTGGGGATAAATCACCTTTCTGTGAGAAGGTGAGGCTACTTTCTGCAGTGTCATCAGGAAAGGAAAAGAACAAGCTATTGACACTGTGCCCACTTCTTAACACCCCATGAGTTATGACTTGAGTAACTTTAAATAGAATTACACCAAGGAAAGGCAACTAAAAGGTATTCTAAATAAATGTTTTTTAAATTACACAGAGGCCAACAGAAGGGAGAAACAATGGTTTGAAACTACCAATCCTCAACTTCAAGCAGAGGAACTTCACTCTTCTCTTCTACACATTGGGAACTGTTCAAGATGTTCTCTAAAGATTTCTGAGGCTAAAAAGCTGGCTTGGAAACTACTGCTCTTGATCAATCAAAATTGTCCACTTCCAAAGGAAAGGAAGTATTTTTTTTACTGCCTGGGAGAGATATGCAAGCCTTTGGATTATAATTTAAAGAACGAAAAGAAATAAACAATTCACTAAAGAATATGACTGAAGGATATGAAAGGTGAAAATCAATTTATAGTTTTCTATTTAGGTCAATGATATGACGTGCCCTGAGTCCTGAGACAAACAGAGAAGAATAGGGACTCTGACAAAGTATATTGCTCTTGACATTGTTCCCTTCATTAGCACAGAAAATAGAGCTGAGAAAAACTGTAATGAAGAAATCTTACCTCCCAGGAGGGATTAAAAAGGTCATTGCAAAGTTCTTCACAAAAGCTTTCCAAAGGCCATTCATTTGTCTGAATAAGAAAAACAGAATTACTACTAGTTCAAAAGGTCTATTTTATGCTAACAATTTAAGTAACTTAATAAATTTTATTTCTAGGTCTAGTAGTAGCAATCAGGCTTTTAAAAATTTAATTTTTTTAACTAATTAAGATATATTTTTACTGATAAAATTTCTCTCAATAGATTATTCAATACTTTCAATGATATATTAGTTTGAAAAAGATTTATAAGCAATTTTTTTTTTTTGAGACAGAGACTCGCCCTGTAGGCCAGGCTAGAGTGCGGTGGTGCAATCTCAAGTCACTGCAACCTCGGCCTCCCGGGTTCAAGCGATTCTCCTACCTCAGCCTCCCAAGTAGCTGGGATTACAGGCACGTGCCACCACGTCTGGCTAATTTTTTATATCTTTAGTAGAGACAGGGTTTCACCATGTTGGCCAGGCTGGTCTCAAGCTCCTGACCTCGTGATAACGCCCGCCTCGACCTCCCAAAGTGCTGGGATTACAGGAGTGAGCCACCGCTGCTGGCCCAAAGATTATAAGCAATTTTAATGGATACTTTAGAGTCTTTCAAGAGTACCTCTTCAATTAAGGAAGAGCTGTCTGGAATATTATCAATCAAGACTTTGGAATCATTTGCAGACTGATTAATAACAACATTTGCTATTTTCCGTCTCTTTTCTTCTGGCTCCCCATCAGTGCTATCATTGCTAAAAAATAAAAGTCACCATTTAGAAAATGAATAAAGCGTAATGTGAACCACAATGAATGAAATGAATAAAAGATAATGTGAATCACAATGAATTTAAGATAATCCATCATTTAAACAAATGTTTTACACCATATTCTGCTTATATGATTTACTTAAAATCCCATGTATCAAACGACTAACTGCTTAAAATTTTTTGAGCAAAATATATTCTAACTACACTATAGGTTGGTGAATTCTTTTTTTCAAATTGGATCTTGAATTTAATAGGCCATTTTTCCCTCCTCTCTACAATCAGCTCATCATCTTTTTTATAACCTGCATATAACCTGCATCTGGTCCAGCATAACATTAACGTTTTTAGGCTTTTATATACTAGAGAAAACTAATATACTGAGCAATACAGTATAATCTTACCAGTTCTTGAAAAATATGGAGATAAACAATTGACCAATGAAAAAAGGATATAGAAAATTTGAGGAAATGTTCTATTATGACTTAAAGACCAAAAATTTTGAGGCTAGCCTAATACTGGAAAGGAGAGGACAAGTCAAACTACTTTCATTCAGCATTTAGAAAAGAAAAACTTAGCACATTTTAAAGCATATACAGCATTATTTTCTATAAATACTTCTCCCCTCTCTCCATCTTAATAGTGAAATTTATTTGGCCAACCATTTTTTCTATAAGGTGATAAAAGAAATCTGAGCCTCCCTCTCATTTCCTATTACTCTTCCCTTAATTATCTCCACATCTAGCCACATTAGTAGGTCACCTTAAGTCCCTGAACTTGTTAGGCATGTTTCCCCTTGCAGGCATTTGTCCTTGTAATTCCCTCTATTTGGAAAGCATAACATTTTCTTAAACTATTTAAAACTATTGAAACTTTTCCTAGATATTCACAGGACTAGCACTCTCATTTCTTTCAGATTGTTACTCAAAAGTCACCTCTAGGAAGCCCTCCTAGACCTTCCTATCTAAAATTTCAAACTCTATACCCCAAAAATATTTCACATGTTCCTTCCCTGTTTTATCTTCTTTTCCTTAACGCTTAACATTATCTGTATTTTATATATATACACACATATATACACACACACTGTATTTTACTTATTTATTTCCCATCTTTCTTTCCCTCCAGACTATAACCTCCGAAGGCAGGAATTCTTCTCTATTTTATTCACACATGTCCTCAGGGCCTAGAACAATACCTGGCAAATAGAAGGTATTTAATAAATGTTTGTGAATGACTCATGAACTCTGAAAAATAAAGTCGAATATTTCCAACATTCAAATCTTTGGCTAAAAGTGCTTGTATGAATAAAAACCAGTAGAAAAACTTATTAGGTTACTATATGATCTTAATGAGCTGTTAACTTTTAAAAAATCTTGTCATTAACAAGCTGAATAAAAAGTTTGCAGTTAAAGATTTACCCTCAAGTATAAATTTCTACCAAGTATATGTTTATTATTTATCCCCCTTTGTGCCTAGCTTTTAAACACTAAACACTTTTTAGCTTTATGTGAATACATATAACAAAAAGTTCTGTCATTTGCAAATCCTATTTTCCGAGGCTTTTTATTAATTCAGCATTTATGCAAACATTTCCTGAGCACCACTAAAGATTCTTATTTAACAGATCTGAGTGGGACCCAAGAATATACATTTTTGGCCAGGTGTGATGGCTCAAGCCTATAATCCCGACACTTTGGGAGGCCGAGGAAGGAGGACCACTTGAGCCAAGGAGTTAGAGACCAGCCTAGGCAACATAGGAAGACCTTATGTCTACAAAAAATTTAAAAATTAGCCACACATGGTGGTTCACACCTGTAGTCCCAGCTACTTGGGAGGCTGAGGCAGGAGGATTGCTTGAGCCTGGGAGTTTGAGGCTGTAGTGAGCTACGATCGAGCCACTGCACTCCAGCCTGGGCGACAGAGACTGCATCATAAAAACAAAAACAAACAAAAAAAAAACAGCATTTTTTTTTTACAAGGTCCTCGAAGAGCACCTGAAGGAAATAGTTTTGAACCACCCTTTGAGAAATGCTGCTCCAAGCCATGCATAGATGATCACTTTTAGTAACTTATGAAGAAACAGAGGACAGTGACTTTACCCACACAGTTCTTTTCTTCAACAGGACTACATAAACTAGCCTAGATTATCATTGGCTATTTAGCATAGCCCCAGCTTAAGGCACAGGTGAGGTAATATCGTGACAATACCTCCCACTTTACTAAGGGAGTATTCTTAACTTGTGGTCCTTAGACACCTCTCTGATTTCATTCTCTATCACTCTCCTGTGCACTCATCCCAGTATAGAAGGCCATACTGCCCTTCTATTTGTTTCTTGATTATTCCATGTTTAAGGCATTTAAACTTGTTTCTTCTGCCTGGAATGCTCTCCCCTTTGGAGATCCTCAGCCCTCATTCAAAACTGATAATTAGTAGGAAAAAAGTCTGTACATGTGGATTTTTCTGGGGAAGTGGTCTCAGTTCCTAGTACAATGAATACTCTCTGACAATTGAGTAAGAGAATCCAAACAGTACTCCCCAGCTAAATATGTCAGCAGAATGTTTCTATAAATCAAGCAGACACAGATTAAAGCCACAGAGCCCTCTTGTTTTAAGTGAATAGGCAAAAAAAGATTACTACCTCTTCTCATTAGTTTCCACTGCATCCCTGGATCTCTGTTTTGCAAATAACTTGGCCATTCTTTTAGCTTTGTTCTTTTGTCTATTGCTCATTCCTGCTCGAAACTCTGAGTCAATCAATTCAGCTGCCTGAAGAGTCTAAAAGAATAAAAGAATGCTGAGTTGGAACTTTTGAAATTAAAATAAGTACCTATAGTCTCAGCCTCAGAAGAAGACCAAGTCTATAAATTTCAGTATATATACATCGATCACATTCTTTTTTGACAGGTTCACACTCTTTTGTTGTATGACTGTACCATAATTTCAGTCTTTTCCTCCCTTTTCTCTGTTATTCCAACTCCCAACAGATACACATATGCTTCTTAACTTTTTTTATGCTACATTATGAGGCACAAATGTATGATCCTAACCCATAGAGAAGGCCTTGAAGAGGTAAGACTTCAAAATAAAAATAATATCACCAAAAAGTTATGAGAATAAATGTCAATAGAAGAAACTGATCATCACCATCTGCTGAAAAAAATAAATAAATAAATTATAGCCTTAAGTGATTGGTCCAGCATGCTATAGTCCAACTTAGCTCATATGCCCCTTTCCTCTTAACTACTTACTGTCTACTCTTTTTGCTCTTTTCCATTCACAGAAGACACTATAAAGTCTGTGCGTTAGATTTTTAAGCTCAAGCCTAAAAATCCCTTCTGTGCCTAACCAAAAGATTCAACTGAAATTTATACTTCCACAAACAGTTAAGGTCACTGGTGTGGATGTTCTGCTGCAGTCTTGATCAAGAACCATGGGCACATATATAAGCAATGCAGCTGTAATGACCTATGGCAACGATGAACCTCAAGCAACTTCCCCCAAAGGTCCATGATATATAAATCTGGATTTTGCAAACCCCAAATTAGTGTTGCCTATCCCGCACCCAATTAATCTGATCTGTATAGCCCACTTTCTAATACACCTGCCCATTCATTTTCTTACACCATGTTCAATTACCCATACTGTGATCATATTATTGCATTTTTATTCTATTATCCTCTTTATCTTCTAGTTACATCTTACACTTTCCTTTCTACCCCATTTCCTTCTGTTCCTTTCAGGGTGTTGCTGTATTCTGGCCTCTTCATACTCTCTCTTTTTTCTCTCCTAGTATCTGCCTTTCTACCCCCTTGTCTGCAGAAGTTACTCATCATCACTCACACCCCCAACCCTAAAAAATACACTTTACAAATTCTAATGGTTTAAAGTGCCATTCGTATAAAGGCAAATAGAACCATTCTCCACTGAAGCAAAGGAAAAGACCAGGGGAATGACAAGACAGGAGATTCATAATTGCAAAGCAGGAATTGTTAATGCAGCCCATGGACCCCTAAAAGAATACTGGGGGTCAGGTAAAAGAGTACTGAACCGCTTGAGATGTAATATCTCACATGTGCATTTTTCCGAAGAGAGCCACAGCTTTTACTAGAGCTTCAAAAGAGTCTGTGGCATAAAAAAAGTTAAGAAGCACAAATGTATCCACTGGGAACTGGAATAGAGGAAGAGGAAGAAAAGAGTGAAATTATGGTACAGCCACAAAACAAAACAGCATGAAGCTGTCCAAAAAGAATGCGGTCAATCTGAATATACTGACACATTAAGCTGTATGAAGTGAGAAAAGGTAAACATGGCTTAAAAGGAATATATATATACACACACACACACACACACAAACACACACACACACATATACATATATACACACACACAAACACATGCACTTGGTACACACAAGTTTCAGAAATGATGCACAAGTAACTTGAAAATGGTTGTCTATGGGGCATGGAAATGTCTGTGTCCTGTTGGCAAAAAACTTCCTTTTACTTCATATTATATACCCTTTCTCGGTTGTCTTATTTCTCACTTAAAAAAAAAAGAATAAATCATAACACTAAACACTTCTACTATCATATCTGACTATAATAGCCCTTACTATCTCTCACTCTCCCAAAAAATTACTTTTCCCTACATCAAAGAACATACCAAAAAAAGAGCAATTGCAGCAATTAGAATCTTTCAATACCAGTAGTGCCTAAAAGGTCTACTACAACTTAACAGTCCAGTGTCTGGGAGGTAGGTTGAGCTTCTAACTCTATAGAATCTGTCATCAGAAATCCAGTTAAAAAAAGATGCTAAATTATGGTGGCACTAAGCAGCAATGAACAGAGCTAAGTATAACATTTTCTTAAACTATAATTACATAAACAAAATGAAGCAAACCCTTTGTATTATTACTTGCAATCAAATAACCAAACGTTTTACCTACAGGTTGTTTGTTAACAAAGGATGCTGAAGTTGGGGTATAATCCAAATCCTCATCATTGAAAAGTTCTTCAGTACTCATTCCAATTGCTTCTCCCATATTAAGGCCAAGTTTCTTCTGTAATAATTTTCGTTGGCGTGCTATCCTCTCTTTAGGATCCACTTCACCTTTCAACAGAAAAGAAATACGTTTTCTCCAAATCAGTTAAGAAGTTTTCTAATACGTGCACATCAAACTCTATCAAAATAAAAAAATACACAAAGCATCCCTTCTGCCAATAAAACCAACCATATTCATTCATGATCATCTCATAAACTCTGTTACCTAATCACATTGGAAAATACTGGTCTAGTTAACAAAACATTCTGGGAGTTTTCACTGAGATTCCCGCATTCCCCAACTGTTAATTAGTAAATATATATAAAATAATAAGATTCATTCCTGGGCCAGGTGCAGTGGCTCACACCTGTAATCCCAGCACTTTGGGTGGCCGAGGTGGGAGGATCACTTGAGCCCAGGAGTTTGAGACCAGTCTGGACAACGTAGGGAGACCCCATCTCTATAAAAAATAATTAGCAGGGCATGATGGTACACACCTGTAGTCCCAGCTACTCCAGGGGCTGAAGGCGAGAGGCTTGCTTCAGCCCAGGTCAAGGCTGCAGTGAGCTGTGATCAAAACACTGCAGTCCAGCCTGGGAAACAGAGTGAGACCCTGTCTCAAAAAAAAAAAAAAAAAATACATCTCTATGGAAACAAATCAATTTTATTTTATAGCTACACCTGTACCTCCTACGAAAGCTCTCACTGGGCTAAAAAAACATCTAGATTTTGTTCAACAGTAAAAGGGCTCAACAAACAAATGCTTACTCCAAGTGTAGCCTTTATGTATTCTGAGCTGATACAGCCCTAATATCCCAAATAATAAAGAGAATAAAAGTAGACAGGTTTTTAAATGTCTCAAGTAAAACCCTCAATCCTTCGGTGCAAAACAGACAAAACAGAACATACCAAAGGGCATTTAAAAATAAAAATTTGCCCTTAAAACAGCTAAGCTGTAAAAGACAGTTATACCTTACTGAAAAAAATTTGATATTTTAAAAACAATAACGATCTGCTTCTAATAATGGCTGAGTTAGTTCCTATTGGACTAACCCTCTGCACCTAACAAACTGGCAAAAACAGAAAAAACAAACTACCTAAAGGCACCAGGAAAAAAAAAAAAAGGCATTTACTTAGGGGAATTGTCAGTACTTAAAAAGATGGGAATAGCACTAAAAGCTAAAAGCTACAAAAGCGAAAAGCTACAAAAAACAAAAGTTTCCCCTTTTTGTAGCTTTTAGCCTGAAGATAGAGCCAGTACATGAAATGCGTGGCAGCTAAAATCTGAATTAAAAACCTAGTCTTCTTTCCCGCCCCCCCCCACAAAGGACAAGGTCTCTCACTCTGATACCCACGCTGGAGTGCAGTAGGTACAATCATAGCTCACTGCAGCCTCAAACTCCTGGACTTAAGGAGTCCTCCTGCCTCAGCCTTCTGAGTAGCTAGGACCATATGCATGTGTCACCATTCCTGGCTAATTTTTTTTTAATTTTTAATTTTAGAGATGGGGTTTATTATGTTTGCCCAGGCTGGTTTTGAACTCCTGGCCTCAAGCAGTCCTCCTGCCTTGGCCTACCAAAGCGCTGGGATTACAAGCGTGAGCCACTGCACCTGGCCAAAACCCACAGTCTTTCTGGCTTGGCTTGAAGAATGAGAAGAGAGTTAGGGGCCATTACAATCCCAGGAAGTTAGAAAGGGAAAACCCCAAAAGAAAGAGAGCCAGAGAGAAGAGGGCCAAAATTCTCTGTAAACTCAGCCCAAATCTCTGGTTGACCTATGAACTATGCATGCCCAGAGCAGACTCCAGACAATGCAGCTAAAGCTAAAATCTAAAAAGCTAAAATCTAAAAAGCTAAAATTGAGATTTGAGCTATTGTCCAGAGCAAAGAAGAATGAGTTTGAAATTTTGAGTTCCACCAAAGTAAATGTCTGCTAAAACAAGCAAGCAAAAACAAGCAAAACAATCTTTGGAAGAATGTAACAGAATCTAGTCTACACCGCATAACGTTCATAATGTGCAGAATAACTGACAAAATTAAAAGCAAAGAAAAGAAAATGTAACCCATTTTTAAAAGAAAGATAATTAATGGATACCAACTCTGAGATGTCTCAGATGTTAGAATTAAAAGGTTTTATTTAGGGTTTCTGTTTGTTTTTTGAGACAGGCTCTTGCTCTGCTACTCACGCTGGACTGCAGTAGCATGATGACAGCTCACTGGAGCCTTGTCCACCTAGACTCAAGCAATTCTCCCACCTCAGCGTCCTGAGTAGCTGGGACCACAGGCATGCACCACCAAACCCAGTTAATTTTTTATTTTTTGTGGAGGTGGGGTCTTCTCTCTAGACTGCCCAGGCTGGTCTCAAACTCCTGGGCTCAAGACATCTTCCCACTTCGGCCTCCCAAAGTGCTAGGATTACAGGCCTGAGTTACTGCACCCAACCAGAATGCAAGATTCGTAAGCAACTAATATAACAACGCTCAATGTAAAAGAAGATACTGTCACAATGAATGAAAGATAGGATACCTTGGTAGAGAATCAGAAACTATAAAAAAGAACCAGACTGGGTACAGTGGCTCACATCTGTAATCCCAACCGTCTGGGAGGCCGAGGCAGGAGGATTGCTTCAGCCCAGGAGTTCAAGACCAGCCTGGGCAACATGGCAAAATCCCATCTGGACAAAAAATTTTAAAAATATATAGAATTGTACACTTTAAAAAGGTGAATTAAATAATGTGCAAAATATGCCAATATAACTTTTTTTTTTTTTTTAATAAAAAAGAAGTTCTGGGGCAGGCATAGTGGCTCACACCTGTAATCCCAGCACTTTGGGAGGCCAAGGTGGGAGAATCGCTTGAGGCCAGGAATTTGGGACCAGCCTGGGTAACATAGCAAGACCCCCATCTCTACAGAAAAAAAAATAAAAAATTAGCCAGGCGTGGTGGCACGTGCCTGTGGTCCTAGCAAGATGGGAGGATTGCTTGAGCCCAGGAGTTCAAGGGTGCACTGAGCTACGATCATATCACTGAACTCCAGCCTGGGCAACAGAGTGAGATCCTGTCTCTAAATAAATAAATAAATAAATAAATAAATAAATAAATAGTTCTAAAACTGAAAAATATAGTATCTGAAAAAAAAATTTTAAACCACTGGATAGACTTAACAGCTTAATGGAAGATAACAGGACAAAATGCAAGTGAACTTAAAGATAAAGCAATACTGTTCTCACTCATAGGTGGGAACTGAACAATGAGAACACTTGGACACAGGGGGAGGAACGTCGCACACCGGGGCCTGTCGTGGGGTGGGGGGATGGGGGAGGGATAGCATTAGGAGAAATACTTAATGTAAATGACGAGTTAATGCGTGCAGCAAACCAACACGGCACATGTATACATATGTGACAAACCTGCACGTTGTGCACATGTACCCTAGAACTTAAAGTATAATAATAAAAAAAAGATAAAGCAATACAAAGTACCCAATCTAAAGAACAAAGAGAAAAAAGATATAAAGAAACAAAAGCCCAAATATGAAATTAAGAAAACAATTCTATTTACGATAGCAACTTGTATTCTGTCAAGTATAAAATGAAAAAAATTAAAAACTAAATGAAAATGTTCATGCATCATAAGAGTAAATATTGTTAAAACACTAATATTTCCCAAATGTATACAGAGATTCAACAAAATTGCTATCAAAATCCCAGCTGGCTTTTTTTTTTTTTTTTTTTTTTGCAAACATTGACAGACTGGTCCTAAAATTCATATGGAAATGCAAGAGACTCAGAATAACCAAAACAATCTTGAAAAACAGGAACAAAGTTGGAGGCTCATGCATCTTGATTTCAGAACTTACTACAATGCAACAATAATTTAGACAATGTGGTACTCGCGTAAGAATAGACATCAATGGAATAGAATTAAGAGTCCTGAAATAAACCTATGTGTCTGATGGTCAATTGATTTTTGACAAGAGTTCCAGAGCAATTCAATGAGAAAGAGAACAGTATATTCTACAAATAGTGTTGAGACAACAGGATAGCCACATGCAAAAGAATGAAGTTGGACCCTTAACCTCAAAACATATACAAAAAAAACTCAAAATCGATAAAATAACTAAAAACTAAAGCTATAAAACTCTCAGAAGAAAACAGAGGTAAATGAGCTTGAATTTGGCAAGTTTCTTACATATAATACCAAAAACTTGAGAAACAAACAAAACAATACAAAAAAATTGGACTTCATAAAAATTTAAAACTTTTATGCTTCTTACCACAGAGGAAATGAAAAGATAACCTATAGAGCAGTAGAAAATATGTGTAAATCAGGCTGGGGGTGATGGCTCATGCCTGTAATCCCAGCACTTTGGGAAGCCAAGGCCGGTGGTTCACCTGAGGTCAGGAGTTCAAGACCAGCCTGGCCACAACAGTGAAACCCTATCTCTACTAAAAATTAAAAAATTAGCTGGGTGTGGGGCAGGCACCAGTAATCCCAGCTACTGCAGGAAGAAGCCAAGGCAGGAGAATCATTTGAACTCAGGAGGTGGAGGTTGCAGTGAGCAGAGATCACACCACTGCACTACAGCCTGGGTAATGGAGTGAGACTCTGTCTCAAAAAAAAAAAAGAAAAGAAAAAGAAAAAAAGGAAATGCATAAATCACATATCTGGTAAGAAGCTTGTATTGAGAACATATACTCTTACAACTTATAATAAAAGGACAAATAACCCAATGAAAAACGTGCAAGTTATATGAATTGACATTTCTCTAAGGAAGGTATACAAATGGTCAATACATGAAATGAAGTTCAACATTATTGGACATCAGGGAAATGCAAATCAAAATCACAATGAGATATCACTTCACACCATTAGTACAGCTATAATCAAAACATCAGATAATAAGTGTTAGGAAAAGATGTTGAGAAATTGAATGTAAAATAGCAGAGCCACTTTGGAAAACTCTGGCAGTTTCTCAAATGGTAAAATACAGTTACCATATGAGCCAGTAATTCCACTCCTAGGTATCTACCTGAGGGAAATTAAAACATATGTCCAAACAAAAACTTGTACATGAATTTTTACAGCAGTATTTTTCTTTCTTTCTTTTTTTTAGACAGAGTTTCACTCTTGTTGCCCAGGCTGAAGTGCAATGGCGCGATCTTGGGTCACCGCAATCTCTGCCTCCCAGGTTGAAGCGATTCTCCTGCCTCAGCCTCCCAAGTAGCTGGGATTACAGGCATGCGTCACCACGCCTGGCTAATTTTTGTATTTTTAGTAGAAATGGGGTTTCTCCATGTTGGTCAGGCTGGTCTCAAACTCCTGACCTCAGGTGATCACCCGCCTTTGCCTCCCAGCAGTATTTTTCAAAACAGATAAAAGGTAGAAACAACCCAAATGTCCATCAACTAATGAAAGGCTTTTACAAATTGTGGTATTCATACAATGGAATATTATTTGGCCATAAAATGAAATACTACCACATCATATCCATTAGGATGGCAACTATCAAAAAACAGAAAATAACAAGAGTTGGCAAGGATGTAGAGAAATTGGAACCCTTGTGTACTGTTGGTAGAAATGTAAAATGATGCAGCTGTTAGGGAAAACTGAATGGCAGCTCCTCAAAAAATTAAAAATAGAATGACCATCTGATCCAGCCATTTACTTCTGGGTATATACCCCAAAGAACTGAAAGCAGTAACTCAAACAGATATCTGTACATCCATGTTCACAGTAGCATTATTCACAACAGTCAAAATGTGGAATAAGCCTGTGTCCACTGATGGATGAATGGATAAACAAAATTTATATACATACAATGGACTATTATTCAGCCTTAAAAAGAAAGGAAATTCTGTCCCATACTACAACACAGATGAACCTTGAGGACATCAAGTTAAGTGAAATAAGCCCATCACAAGAAGACAAACACTGTAGGATTCACTTACATGAGGCATCTAGAGTAGTCAAATTCATGGAGACAGAAAGAATGGTGGTTGCCAGGGGCTGGGGAAAGGGGGAAATGGGGATTTGACGTTTAATAGGTAGTTTCAGTTTTGCATGATGAAGACTTCTGGAGACTGGCTGCACAACAATGTGACTGTACTTAACATTACTAAACTTAAGTTTTAAAAACGGTTAAGGATGGTAAATTTTTTGTTATATATATTTTACCACAATTTAAAAAACCTGATACATCCCTTAACAGTAATAAAATTTAGAAAAGAAAAAAAAGTACTGATATACGCTGTCATATAGATGAACCTTGAAAATATTCTCTTAGGTAAAAAAAAAACCACCACAAAAGACCACATATTGTATGATTCAATTTACCAGCCACATGCCATTTAATGATGAGTACATTCCGAGAAATGTGTCATTCAGTGATTTTGTGGTTGTTGTCAACATCACAGTGTGCTTACAGAAACCTAGATCATAAAGCCTACAACACAGCTACACTGTATGGTATAGCCTGTTGCTCCTAGGCTACAAACCTGTATAGCATGTTACTAAATACTGTAGGCAACTGTAACGCAATGGTAAGTATTCATATATCTAAACATAGAAAAGGTACAGTAAAAATACAGTAATATAATTTTATGGGACCACAACTGTATATGCAGTCCTAGTCTGTTGCTGACTTAAATGCTGTTATGTGGTATGTGACCAAATATAAAATGTTGAGAATAAGCAAATCTAAAGAGACCAAAAGTAGACTCATGGTTGCTGGGAAGAGGAGGGAAGGAAGTAAGAGGATAAAAGGGTGATAGCTAAGGATATGGGGTTTCTTCTTAAAGTGACGAAAATGTTCTAAAATTGTGGTGATAGTTACACATACCTGTGAGTATACTAAAAACCACTGAATTGTATACTTTAAATGATGAATTGTATAATGTATAAATTATATCTCAATAAAGCTGCTTGAAAATTTTTTTAAAGATTGGTCTACCCAGGAGGGAAAAACACTAGGCATCCAAAAGACTGCTTGATCACAACCCCAATACACTTACACAGAGCCTAAAATTGGTCCTCTCATTCCAGGCGAAGCCCTATTGGGGGAAATAATCTACACAACCAGCTGCAAAGGAAACCCAGACCAGTATGTATACTAATCATATATGGTGTCATTAATATATATGAGGGGACAAACACAGATCAACATTTAAAGAAAACCTAACTACAGGGTTTTAAACAAGCACTGTTCAGCAAGCTGTGACTTACTAGCACTAAAAAACTGAGTTCCCAAGAAACTGCAGTTCCCAATCCTGGTTACATATCAGAATCACCTATAGGACTTTTCTTTTTTTTTTTTATTTGGAGACAGAGTTTCACTCTTGTCACCCAGGCTGGAGTGCAATGGCCACGATCGCAGCTCACTGCAACCTCCGCCTCCCGGGTTCAAGCCATTCTCCTGTCTCAGCCTCCAGAGTAGCTGGGATTACAGGCACCCGCCTCCACACCCAGCTAATTTTCATATTTTTAGTACAGACAGGGTTTCACCATGTTGGCCAGGCTGGTCTCGACCTCCCGATCTCAGGTGAACTGCCCGTCTCGTCCTCCCAAAGTGCTGGGATTACAGGTGTGACCCACCACGCTGAGCCAGGCTTTTCTTTGAAATACAATTACCTAGACTTCTTCATAGATCTATGAAATAAGAATATGGCAAAACCAAAATATATATAATTTTGATCTCTGATAATGTCCATGAATACACTAGTAAAGTTAGTAAACTTACTATTTAGTGATATAAATGAAAAGATTTTGAAGAGTTTTACCTCCATTATTAGAAAAACTATGCTTTTCCAAAACTTAAGCAAATTATCCTCTTAATTCTCTGCAAAAATAACTAGATCTTTTAATAGAAACCATACTAAACAAGATGAAATGAGTATTTGACATTTTTTATGATAAAAAAGTGAATATATTAATAAGCCTCTAAATGACGATTAATTAGCAACAGAGTGTTATTCTGTTTTGTTTTTTACTCAAAAATGCAAATTATTTACTTACAAAAATCCATTTAAAACATCAAGGTTTTTTCCCCACTCCAGGCCATTATCTTGAATCGCCAAAACAGTAATTTTATATTCAGATAGATTCTGTAAGTTTAAAAATATTAGGACAATACCTATCCGGTATTTTTTTCTTCTTATTTTGAGACAGAGTCTACCTCTGTTGCCCAGGCTGGAGTGCAGTGGTGTGATCTCGGCTCACTGCAACCTCCGCCTCCCAAGTTCAAGCAATTCTCCTGCCTCAGCCTCACGGGTAGCTGGCATTACAGGCGCTCGCCACCATGCCCGGCTAATTTTTGTATTTTTAGTAGAGACAGGGTTTCGCCATGTTGGTTAGGCTGCTCTCGAACTCCTGACCTCAGGTGATCCACCCACCTTGGCCTCTCAAAGTGCTGGGATTACAGGTGTGAATACCTATCCAAGTCTTATTTTTCACTCTTAGTTTTTGCGTTGGACACCAGCATGAGTAAACCCAATAATATCAGAAATATGTGATAAAAACAAAACAATCAATCTCTCAAATTTCCAGAATTGTGAAAACACTACCACGATCTATACTAATCCTGATTTTATAATATATTAAACTGGGGCTCTTGGGGAACACTTTATAATTTCCATACTACATAATAAAATTGTTGCTGAAATATTAATATGTATCAACTAATGATGCACATATTCACTTAAAGGAGAAAAAATACTCATATTGTAGCTTTAAACCAAATACTGCTGGGTTACCTCCCATTCATAGCATCCCCCGCCACCTGCAAACTTCAGTTAATTTACATTTCATGACATGTTAGTTTACGTGTGACTAATGAACAGCATACCACAGTGACAAATTAGTCTGAAAAAACAAATTTTAGACTTTCTTCTCAGAACCACTACAGACCTGATTTTTCATCTTGGACTTCAAATTCGGCACCAGCAGATCCCAGGAGTGATGCACCATGTTGTAACAATCTACATATATCAAATCTGTCAAAATTCAATCGCTCTGTAGTAGGTGAATCTTCCATAGAACTTTCGGAAGTAGGTTCTACATGAGGTTTAAAAATATTAATTTGACCATATAGCCAAAGTGTGGAATGAAAGAAAATAGCATATCATTACTTGGGTTGCATGGGTTACACACACACACACACACACACACACACACACAAACTTTTTTTTTTAAGAAGTGAGGTCTTGCTCTGTTGCCCAGGCTGCAATGTAGTGGCATAATCACAGCTCACTGTATCCTCAAACTCCTGGGATCAAGGACTTCTTCTGCCTCAGCCTCCAGAGTAGCTAGGACTACAGGTGCACACAACCATGCCTAGCTAAGTGTTTTTTATTTATTTTTGTAGAGACAAGGGTCTCACCATCTTGCCCCAGGCTGGTCTCAAACTCTGGGGCTCAGGCAATCCCCTCCTGCCTCAACTTCCCAAAGTGCTGGAATTTACAGGCGTAAGCCACTGTACCCGGATAGTAATATTTTGAGAAAAGTAAAAGTGTAGTAAGTAGAAAAGCTACTGTGGGTTTATGATCAGTTCTTAGTTATCTGTGAATAAGTTGGTGGTTCCTTTTCCACAGACCATCAGATGTTAGTGAGTATATGTGTAACTGTGTCCAACCACAAAAGCAAAATGTTATTTATATAAAGAAATTGCATTCCCATGTTAAAATGTATATGTTAAATATCATGCTGTCTCTACTTACTGTTAAGAGTTTAAAAATACTAAGGTAACAGCATGAGTTTATTACAGTGCTCAGTTAGAAGACAAAAATATTCGCAGAATGTATTCATGAATAAGGCTAATAAGAATCATCCCTCCCCATACCTGAGGAACAGGCTGAGCCACAAAGCAACTATGCACTCAACAGGACTCAGTTCTCATACTCTGGGCAAATAAGAATCTCCTGGTAACTTGCTAAAATCACATATCCATGTGAGGTCTAAAAACATCTATAAAATGTTCTGTATTCCTTCCTCAAAAAGCTGTAAGTTATACATGTTAAAATATAATTACTTACTGACTTAATAGTTTGTTTAGCTGGCATCTGCATGAAATTCATCTGTAAACTAAAGTATAACTGCTTAACTTAAAAGGAATTTCTATTAGTATTTTAAGTTTTCTAGTGATGATAAGCAAATTCATTTAGTAAAAATTTTAAAGCTAGTTAAAAATTTAATGCTAGCTTAATGCGAGTTTTTTAAAAAAATTAAGTCTTTTAAAAACGGAACTAAGTTGTACCATCTTTACATACCAAACTAAGTGGGGATAACAAGCTGAAAAGGAAAAGGCTCTTTTCTAAAACAAGTTATAACTTCTCTAGTCACACATTTCATTTAATGAGAGAAGACAAATTAACAAAATAACTCAAAATAACAGGTATCAGCAAATATAAAGCAACAGTATTAGGCAAGCTAAGACTTATGATAAAAGTGATGTTATTAAAGGGAGTTGAGGCCGGGCACAGTGGCTCATGCCTCTAATCCCAGCACTTTGGGAGGCTGACGTGGGCCTCAGCTTGAGGCTAAATCATGCTTGAGGCCAGGGATTCAAACCCCACCCCCCCGAGCCTGGCCAACAAAGCAAAACCCAATCTGTACTAAAAATACAAAATTAGCTGAGCATGGTGGTGCACAACTGTAATCGCAGCTACTTGGGAGGTTGAGGCACAAGAATTGCTTGAACCCAGGAGGCGGAAGCTGCAGTGAGCCAAAACTGCACCACTGCACTCCAGCCTGGGTGACACAGTGAGACTCTGTCTCGAAAAAATAAAATAAAATAAAATAAATAAAATAAAACAAAATAATAAAATAAAATAAAAGTCAGTTGAAAACGAATCTAGTTGTACCATTAAATTTTGATTTAATTAAAATGTGCAGCTTTCCAGCTTTTCAAAAGCATGTAATTTGTTTTTAAATGTCATTACAGGCAATCAGAACACATTTTTTCCCACTACAAAAAATCCAAAAAAGGGCACATAAAAAACAAGACTTCACATTCCAAATATCCATATATAATTGTGCTTAAATGTAGAAAATAACTACCCTATACTATTCTCCCAGCAACAAGAAAAAAAGACTTTCAAATATTTACACTGTACTGATTTAACTTTTTTTAGAATGTCAATTACTTGAAGGGAAGTAATAACCCTTGTAAATCAAGCATACTGTAGAATTTGTAATTTAAAATGTATACAAAAACATTTTCTATATCCAGTAGTTTTTTTTTTTTAATGTGGTGAAAAATCACCTTATTCAGTATCATTTCCTGACAAAGCTGTACCTAAAAGCATGGAAATTAAGACTTTAAAATTGAAATTATTAAAATACAAAACGCATATTATAATTAATTCTACAGTTAGGTTTTTACTTAAAACTACTTTCTCCACTTAAAAGCACCTTGTCTGGTTCTCGGCACTGGATTCCACTCAGGTACATTTTTCACTATAGCTTCAACAGCTTGTCCTGCTGCAATCCGGGTATCCCAATTTGCACTCCTTAAATATATCAACACCTTAAAAATTATAAAATAAAAGTTACGTATACAAAAATATTGTTTGCGCAAGGTAGCCAGAACAGAGAAATACAAATTTACTTGTTATTAATGTGTAATTTGGCAGCCATCCAAATACATATAAAACACCTTAGAATTATTAAATTCATTTACAAGATTCTATCATTCAGAGAAAAATCACTACCACCTTAAAAAGGGGATTTAAGAAACCTGTGGCCAGGCACAGTGGCTCACACCTATAATCCCAGCACTTTGGGAGACCGAGGTGGGCAGACCACCTGAGGTCAGGAGTTCAAGACCAGCTTGGCCAACATGGTGAAACTCCATCTCTACAAAAAATACAAAATTAGCCAGGCATGGTGGCACACACCTGTCATCCCGACTACTTGGGAGGCTGAGACAGGAGAATCACTTGAACCCGGGAGGCAGAGGTTGCAGTGAGCCGAGATGGCGCCACTGCACTCCAATCTGGGCAACAAGAGCAAAACTCTGTCTCAAAAAGAAAAGAAACTTGTAATAAAAGAATGTTTAAGTGCATTTTAAAAATAACACCCATTTTACATACTAAAAAGCAAAATACATATTATTCATTAAGTCCCATTACTTAATACAAAGAATTGAAAGTTATAAAATCTCAAGTTTAGTATGGTTGTAAGATATAAGATCAATACACAAAATCAATTGTATTTCCACACATTAAACAATCTGAAAATGAAATTAAGAAAACCATGCCATTTACAGTAGCATCAGAATGTAGAAAATACTTAAGAATAAATTTATCAGAAGCAGTGTATGACTTGTACAATGAAAGCTAAAAAACACTAAAAATATTGTTGAAGAAATTAAAGATCTAAATAGACACCTTGTGTTCATGGATTCAAAGACTTCAGATTGTTACAACAGTAATATACTATAAATTAATCAAGAGATTCAACACAATTCCTATCAAAATCCCCCCCCCCTTTTTTTTTTTTTTGCAGAAATGGAAAAGCTGATCCTAAAATGTATATGCAAATGCAAGGGACTCAGAATTACCAAAGCAATCTTGAAAAAAAAATTTAGTAGACTCACACTTTTTTTATTTTTATTTTTTAGAGATGGGGTCTCAGTGTTACCCAGACTGAAATGCAGTGTCTTAGTCACAGGTGCAATCATAGCACACTGCAGCCTCAAACTCCTGCCCTCAGACAATTCTCCTGTCTCAGTCTCTTGAGTAGCTGTGCCTATGGGCATGTACCACCATACTTGGCAACATACACTTCTTGACTTCAAAACTTTCTACAAAGCAACAGTAATCAAGACAGTGTGGTACTGGCAAAATGATAGACATACGAATCAGTGGCACAGAATTAAGAGTTCATAAATAACCTGTGTCTATGGTCAACTGATTTTCAACAAAGGTGTTGAGACAATTCAATGGAGAAATAATAGTCTTTTCAACAAACGGTGGTGGGATAACTGGAAAGCCACATGTAAAAGAATGATGTTGAACACCCAGCTCATTAACATACACAAAAATTAACTAAAAAACTGACCACAGAACCCAAAAGTAAGAGCTAAAACTATAAAACTCTTAGAGGAGAACTTAGGGGTAAATCTTTGTCACCTTGGATTAGGCAATGGTTTCTTAGATATGACACCAAAAGCAGAAGTGATGTTCAAGAAAGTAAAAAGACAGCTCATAGAAGAGTATATTTCCAAATCAAATATCTATTTCCTAATCATATACCTTTGTATAGTTTGGATACCTTGTATATGAAGAACTATACCATATGAAGAACTTTCGCAACTCATAATAAAATGATAACCCAATTTTAAAATGGGCAAGGGATCTGAGTAGACATTTCTCCAAAGAAGATATACAAATGTATTGCTTCTCTGCTTTTTGGCTAAGATCAAGTGAAGACATACAAATGAATAATAAATACATATGCCTGATATCATTAGTCATCAGGGAAATGCAAATCAAACCCCTTCATATCCAGCAGGATGGCTATAATCAAAGTCAGTCAAGAAGTATTGACAAGGATGTGGACAATCTAAGTTCTCATACACTACTGTTGAAAACGTAAATAATGGGACCATTTTGGAAAATAGTTTGGCAGTTCCTCATAAAGTTACCATATGGTACAGTAATTCTACTCTCAGGTATATATATACTCTGGAGAATGGAAAAAAAACCTCCAAAATTTTGTACACAAATTTTCATAGCAGCATTTTTCATAATACAGTAGCCAAAAAGTGAAAACAACCCAAATATTCATCAACCAAAAAATCAGTAAGATGTACACATGTATATCCACACAATGGAATATTATTTGGCAATAAGAATGAATATACATGCTACAATATAAAAACATTATTTTGAGCAAAAGAAATCGATCACAATAGATTACAATTCATTTTATATAAAATGTTCAGGATAGGCAAATCTTCCTATAAAGTTAGTTTAGTGGTTGTCGAGGATCTGGGCATGAGTGAAGGAGTATTGAAGAGTGACTGCTAGTAGGTATGAGGTTTCTTTTTGTGGTGATAAAATGTTTTAAAATTAGAGTACGGTGATGGCTGCTGTACACCATGTTAATATACTAAATACCACTAAATTGAAACTCATGGTATGTAAATTATATTTTAATAAAGCTGTTTAAGAAACAAAACCGGCCAGGAGCGGTGGTTCACGCCTGCAATCCCAGCACTTTGGGAGGCCAAGGTGGGAGGATCACGAGGTCCAGAGATCAAGACCATCCTAGCCAACATGGTGAAACCCCCTCTCCACTAAAAATACAAAAATTAGCTGGGCATGGTGGTGCACGCCTGTAGTCTCAGCTACTCGGGAGGCTAAGGCAGGAGAATCGCCTGAACCCAGGAGGCAGAGGTTGCAGTAAGCCGAGATCGCGCCACTGCACTCCAGCCTGAGACTGTCTCAAAAAAAAAAAAAAGAAAACAAAACCAATGGGCAACAGGAAAACGCTGACAGCCGAGGAAAAAGGAAAGACGGTGAGACAGTGCTAAAGGCAAACTTCGCCTCTTTGGGAATGATTTGATGGTAGCCAATATGCTGAGGTCTGAGTGAAGAAGACCAGAACTCACTGGGAAGGCTGGAAAACTTTTCTCAGTTCAGCACAGATGAGGCCTGTTCATTGTTTCACAGTTTCAGGTCATTCAGTCCTCCATTTCTTCCCCTGGGCTAAGGAGAAGAAAGGTGTTGCCTCTCTCTGTCACCAACTTACACACGAATACTGCCTAATATGCATCCTTCTTCATTCTAAGAACGTGGAGCCTGTAGGTATCAAATCACTGTCTCTCCATCTACATCCTAGTTAGAAAGTTCTGATAATATCTAAGTGGGAATTATGTTGGAAAGAGAGTCACTGTTAGTCCTTGTGGTAGCAACCACACAGTACAGATGTGTATGCTGAGAAAGGGCTTAGAACTCCCACTCATACTCAACAGAGATGGGCAGATGAGAATGAAAAAAGGGGGTCAAACTGAAAAGAGAGAGAGATCCTGAGGCTCCCTATATCTGGGCAATCATATTGCTCCCCTACCCTATCCTGTATCTACCTCCCCAACTCCCCTCCTCCTATACAAAGCACTCCTGCTTTACTCTGCACATCAGGAAATTAAATGTGTAGAATTTGCCACTTATTACCATACAGGTACACTTCAATACGCATACAGAGTTTAGTAAAAATACAGCAGTTGCTTAAGGGAAGAAAATGGACTAGGATTATGAAAACACTGATACACCAAAGCAGAAAGCCTCCATTTTCAAACAGCTGATAACTTAGAATGTAACAAGACTCCAGCTTCTCATGTATTTCAATCATTGCCCATGAGTACTCATCCATTTGAAGACTACCAACTATGATATAATTATTAGTCATTAAGAACAAGTTAGACTACTAACAAACCAGATAAACAACTTAGTTTATTACCAAACTGGGACAGATTCAAATTTGTGCCACAGGCAAAACGATCTATACTCAAATCCCTTAAGCTACTAAACTTGATTAAAAAAAAAAAAAGTTTAAGTCTTGTGACCAGAAAAAAAAAAGAAATAGCAAAAATGTTTAAAAATTAAGATGATGTTTACCTTTATTTTTGTGTTCCTATCCATGAATAAGTCTCTACAATTGTATTATGCTAAAAGAAAAAAAAAAGTTCTTACTTTAGACAGGAGATTATTTAGTTCATGGGGATGAAGCTTCACCACTTCTCCAAGTTGCTGTGCAGCAGCTTTTCTTGTAACAGGAGTAGTGCCAGTATCCAGTAAAATAAAAAGGCGATCTAGCCTGAAATAACAAAAATACAATGGTTATTCTCAAATGCTTTTCCTCGTATGTACAAGTTTAAGTCAATAAACGTACTGAGCAGATGCTATGAATGAAGACCTACGCTAACATAAATGAGCCCCGGAAAGACATTATGGTGAAATAAGCCAGACACAGAAAGATAAATGCCGCATATTCTCACTCATAAATGGAAGCTAAAAAGTCGATCTCAGAGAAGTCAAGAGTAGAATAAGTGGTTACTAGCAGCTGGGAAGGGTAGGAAAAGCAAGAGGGATGGGGGAGGCTGGTTAACCGTCTATTTACAGCTAAATAGAAGAAACAAGTTCTAGTGTTCTGTGGCACTGCAGAGTGACTAAACAACAATTTACCGTATATTTTCAAATAGCCAGAAGAGAGGCATTTTGAATGTTCCCAACACAAAGAAATGATAAATGTTTAAGGTGAATAATATGCTAATATGATCATTACATTGTATATGTGTATGAAAATATCACACTACTCCCATAATAATGTACATTTATCTGTCAATTAAAATAATACTTTTTCTAAAATTGCAAAAATAAAAATAAAAGTGACCTATGCTAGGACTACAAGAGATGCCTAATCTCTACTCTTAAGGAACTTGCTACTGGGGTTGAAGGGAGCAGGTAAGTCAAGTACAATAAGATACATGGCAGGAAAAAAAGTACAAAGTGCTTTGAGGATTATGAAAGAAAGGAGCGAATATTATATCCCCAACTATGTAATACTGAAAAGGCTTCATAAAATAAATGGTGTATGAGATGGATCTTAGTGGTAGAAAATAATTTTAACACTGGTGGAGATTAGGTGGTGAAAGGGAAAGGGGAAGAAATACCCGGAAGAAGGAAAACAAGAACACAACAATAAGAGAAGGGAGAGTATATTTAGGGAAATGAATAACAGTTTGGTTGCAATTCAGGGTACACTTAAGAGAAGAGTGGGAGATACAGCTACAGAAGTAGCTGGAACCCTACCGTGGAGACCTTTTAATGAACTTGCAACCATGAAGGTCTTGGGTCAAGAAACTAATGGAACTGAAACTATGCTTTAGGAAGATTAATCTGGCAGCAGTGTGATACATGAAGTAAAATGGGAGGAAACTCAGCTGGGCGTGGTCATGTCTGTAATCCCAGCACTTTGGGAGGTGGAGGTGGGAGGATCACTTGAGGTCAGGAGTTCGAGACCAGCCTGGCCATCATGGTTAAACCCCATCTCTACTAAAAATACAAAAATCAGCCAGGTGTAGTGGCATCCACCTGTAGTCCCGGCTACTAGGGAGGCTGAGGCAGGATAATTGCTTCTGAATCCGGGAGGCAGAGGTTGTAATGAGCTGAGATTGTACCACTGCACTCCAGCTTGGGTGACAGAGTGAGACTGTGTCTTAAAAAAAAAAAATTAAATCAAAATAGATTAAAGTCTTAAATCTAAGACCTCAAACTATGAAGCTAGTCATACAAAGAGAGTAATACAACACAGTTAATTTCTAATGACATTCTAAAATTAATTTACTTTACACATACACTATACACAGACATATCCAATCTTTTGACACCATATTTCTCCTTCCTCATTCAAGGCTATCTAAACACTTGCCTTTACCCATTCATTCACTGGCTTTTGCTATAGGATTGGTGAACAGTCAGTCAGACAGATAGTAGGACCAAGAAAGGGGAAAAAATGGTTTCTTGACCTACTTTTGTCTTGATACCATCCCCCTTCTATCCTTATTCAATCATCCTTTCTCCAATATCTCAAATCAGTGTTACTAATCCATTCCCTTCTTCCAATATGCAGAGCTCTCTCTCTACTGAGAAAATAAACTGCTTGATCTCCACTCTCTAGAACACTTTAACTGCCAAGCATCTTGAACAAGTGTTTAAAATATTATTTCCTCATCATACACAATTTAATCCATATAAATCAAGGTTCCATCTTTCTACACCAAAATACCACACCTGAAGGTCACCAATGAACTCTTAGGCTCCAAATCCAATAGTTTTTTACAAGGTCAATTTTTCTTGACTCTTCTTTGACAGCTGCGACCAGCAAGCACCCCATTCTTACAATACTTTCCTTCCTAAGTTGCACATTATATTACCCTGTTCTCCAAACTCTTCTTTCCTTAGTTCTCCTATTCTTAATACTCTTAATATGAATATCGGGAGAATACTCATATTCAATCCTTGACTGCTCAACTCTCATCAGTTTCTCCCTGAGGAAACTGTATACTGTTATTTGTTTAAATTATATCCAGAACAAATATTCCCCAAATCCAGGCCATCTGAGAGTGCCAGTTTCACACTCCCAACTGCCTTGTCATCCTGTTGCCAGATTAACTTCCTAAAACGCCCCCGAATAAATCACTACCTTACTTTAAAACTTTCAATGGCTCACACTTACCTACCAGAAAGTAATCCAAAACAAAAAGTATCTCCCAAATGTGGGTATTTTTGGTTTCCACAATTTTACCTATACTGTTTCCTCCACTCAGAATGTCTCTCACACCCCTTCAAGCTAGGGTTACAGTGGCTCACCCCTCCTCAAGGGGGTGGTTTCCTGGCCAGTTTCTGCCAGATCCCCAGAATGGTCACTGGTTGGGGTTGCAGTGGGTATGTACTCTGCCTCACTGCAACAGCAGGCAGCTGTGCAGATATAATGGCCCCATGTGTGAGACTGGGAACTGTTGGTGGGAGGCACAGCTGAGAATATGGGTATATCACCTGGAATTTAACCAGATACACCACTAGAGGTGATCTTCGGGTGTGCCTGAGCTTGCTTCTCTAACAAGAGAATAAAATGTGCTACAGCAAACAAATAAAGTATTTTTCTCTTTGTTCAACTGTTCAGCTAGCTCCCATCCAACAGGATTCAGCTGAAGTTCTTCACCTTCTTGAAACCATTTCAAACTACTATGCAACAGAGATTACTTCCTTTTCTGAAATCCACATGAATTCTCATCTTGAACAGCTACTTAAGTATTTATTATATTTTTTTGTGGCATCTCTCACATTAATTTGTCACATGAGGTCTAATTTTCCTCATTAGGCTTCATCTCCTTCAATCATTCTTTTTGTCTCGCACAACACTTTGCACAGTATTCAAATATTTGTTATGTAGTTGACATTTACTGTAACTAAAACTATACTTAAGGAAAAGTTCAAGTTTCTTGGGGACAAGTTTAAGAACCAACTTTAAGGAAAGAAAAAATATTTTATATTACCTTTTTTTTTCCTGCTTCCTTTGAGAAACATCCTTAATCTGTGACAGCAGTTTTACATAAAAAATCAGTTGGTAATGTAATGTTTCAGTAACTGAAAAGATCAGCACAGCAGTACTTCAGCCTTCTGAATGAGGCAGTTACGCTTGTCCCAAATAGCAAGCTGAAAAATGCCATGCAATAGGCACTGTATTCCTTCAATAATTTCCATCCTTCTTAAACTTTTCCTTTGGTCCTCTGCTACCCAGCTTCACTTAGAACTCCTGCCCAAAGACCTTAGACTCCTCTCTAACCTAATTGCTGATACTGTCCCACAGACACACAGTTCCTCTTGATTCTCCTTTTTGCAGATCCTTTTATCCCAATGCTATGTCAGGTCACCTCTGCTCTCCCACCAGCCAAATGCCCTGAGGGTAGCAGATCAGCTCATTCTCTCATCCATTCCAAGCCTGTTTATCCTTACTTCTTCCACTTTGGATGGTAACCAAAATTGCCTCCCTGAATAGAGGAATGGAGACACAAGAATGCTTCTTTGATTCTCTTGATTTAAAGCCACTTTCGTAGTTCTCCATTCCTCTCTTCAGGACAGCAGATTGGACACCACATAAAAGGAAGAACAAAGAGATGAGCAGACAAAGATCTGACAAGAGGGCAGTCTGACCTGTTATCTCAGGATAGCCAGCTATGAGGCAAGCAGGGTAAGCATCAGGGCCAGGCCACGGTGGAAAAGGCTGGTACAGTGAACTTGTGGGGAAGAGGAAAAGAACGTGAGACAGAGTCAGTATTATGTTGGAGGGTAGACAGGGCCCTTGGTGAGGGAGAGGTCTGAAGGAAGCTAGATGGTCAGAAGAGAAGGGAAAGTTAAAAGGAGGGCTGACTGAGGGAACACAGTACTTACTCCCATACTACTTTTGGCTAAAACTTCTGTTGCACACAGCTAGCAGGAAAAAGTAACATTCTTCATTCTCTGAAGGATAGACAGACAGATGGAGGAGACACAGGTAACAGATGTCAAGTTGCATGGAAGGTACCAAAGACTATAGAAGATAAGTAAAACATAAGAAAATTATATTTTGTAATATCCACTGGTTATAAATTTATTGAGAATAAGAAATCTGGCCCATTTTCAATCTGGATGTCAATTCCGAGAATTAGCTAAACAAGATATGATTCATGTAACCTGTGATTTCAGGCAACTGTTCTAAAGACTGCCTAGAAAAAGGAAAGAGTACATAGTAGTAGAGGTTATGCTAGCAGTTGCAATCTAACCCCTCTCCTCTCCAGATGTTTGCATTATGTTAATTCATAACAGTAAAGCCATAAAAATAAACAGAAAGAAATGTCATGCATTTTAAACAATAAAACATGTCCTAGATTACTACGTCATAGTTAATAAACAAATACATACTGTATTTCCACTCTAAAACATCTCGGGAGGGGAGGGGCAAAAAGCCTCACTGATATTTTCAAAATATATTTAACCTCTCTGATAAATTAGGAAAGGTCAACTGACAGAATACCTCAAAAAGACAGCTTTGTGGCCTTAACTAAAAAAGCATGACCAGTCAAGAGTAGCCATTTAGTTATACATTTTTTACACGTGGCAAAAGTACAGTAAAATTTTAAATATAGATGATTTGAATGTTTACTTTTCTGTGTTACTCAGGAAGTAAGGAAAGATAATGACCATTACTTAGTATAGTGTACAGTGTGTACTTAATACGTGGAACTTAGTACAGTGCACATATTATCATTAAGGTCAAAAGAAACAACTTCCAACAAATTCTCTAGTGTTTTTAAACATATACTTTCTAGGTCATGTTGTGGGTAATTTGAAACTATGTTAATGTTATGTTGTTTTAAACATAAAGATATCACACAGAACACTAAGAATCAATATGAAGGTGTGAAACCATACCAAAGCCAGGTGTAAGGGCAGGTGCTTGCTAGATAAGTTACCCCACTCTACCCTGGACCATAAACTCCATGAGAATGGAGAGTACAGTTTTTTTCTCTGCTATACCTCTAGCACCTATAACATAGAAAGCACTCAGTAAATATTGGTTAAATGAAGAATGGTGAAAATGTACAACCAAGCTATGCTATTTCCTTCAAGACATTTTTTTCTACCCTCCATCCCTGATCGAACAACCTATAGCCTCTTGCATGACTTTATCTTAATGACAAAACATAGTACATACTAATCTAGGTTCTTTAGCAGCAGTATGGGTGGTTTTAAAACTTCTTATTAATACATATTATGTATTAATATGTAAAATTCATAATACATTTTAAAGTGTATTTTTAAATGGTTAGAACAGTCTATTTTTATGTGTGTCACAATTAAAAAATTTTTAAAATAATAATTCAAACTAGTACCTTGAGAAATACGCCAAAGAAATAAGGAGGAATTTACCATTGGGATTGAAATGGAAAAGCTTTGATTAATGCCTCTTCTACTTTTTCTAGTTTATCTCTAAATTTTTAAAGTATGAGATATTTGATGAATTATAATTTACAATAGTTCCTTCTGTCATCTTATAATGGATTGAAATTAACAATAAGGGCCAGGTGAGGTGGCTCATGCTTGTAATCCCAGCATTTGGGAGGCCAATGCGGGAGGAATGCTTGAGGCAAGAGTTTAAGACCACCCTGGCCAACACAGAGAGACCTCATCTCTATTAAAAAAAAATTATTAAAAATAAATTAACAGGGAGGAATAGGCCTGGAAAACCTGTGTTGTCCTTTATTGGTAATTAAGGTAGTTTTTTCTACATTAACATTTTCCTGTCCAGGACCCACTGAACGTCCCCTACATCAAGAAACTTCCTTTTATTTGACAGAATAGGCCTGTTGAAACAATGTTGCTCTGAAGTATCAACAGTGCAAAGAGAAAATTAACAAAATTGAGCAAAGGTCTGCTATATGTAGCAATTTGTTTCTTCCACAAGAGGATGTGTTTTTGTTTTTTCTGAACCCTTTCTGAACACTGTAACATTTTCAAATGCAAAGATATGTGAGAAATCTAAGGTATGGCTTTTAAAACAGTCATATTATAAGTACTGTCTAGACATTTTAGACATGACCTTTACAGCACAGATCGCTGAGGGAAAACTATATATTTCTGAAACTTTCTCTAGCTGATTAAGGAAAAACTATGTTCCTATTAACTAGCCAATATACAATGATCAGTTCCATTAATTGTGGCATAAACAGGCAAAGGTAGCAAAAACAAGCTGTTTAAAAAATTGTATTAAGTCATGGTTCCCAACACAGCTACAGATTCCCCACCAATGAATAAACCTAAACCAGGCGCAGTGGCTCACACCAGTAATCCCAGCACTTTAGGGGCAAAGCCACGTGGATCACTGGAGCCCAGGAGTTTGCAACCAGCCTGGGCAACATGATGAAACCCCACTTCTACAAAATATACAAAAAAAATTAGCCAGGCATGGTGGTATGCATCTGTGGTCCTAGCAACTGGGGAGGCTGAGGTGGGAGGATCACTTGAGGCCGTGATTGTGCCACTGCACTCCAGCTTTCCAGCTTGGAGGACAGAGTGAGACTCTGCCTCCAAAAACAAACAAACAAACAAACAACAAAAATGCCAAAGAAATCCATCTCAGGTTGCTTTTTTTGGGGGGCGGGGGGGGGGGGGATGGATTCTTGCTCTGTTGCCCAGGCTGGAGTGCAGTGCTGCGATCGCAAAGGTTGCTTTTACCGTTGGTGGCAAAATCCCAACTAAGTAACACATGATAATGAGAAAAAGCCCCATAAAGCAAAATAATGGTGTTCAAAAATATAACACTTATTATTTAAATTATTCACAAGAAACACTGAAAGCCTGTAACATACACTAATTTGTTTTTTGCTGAGGTTGACTTTGTGGAAGCAAGTCAAGTAGCTAGTGAATGACTAGCTGACTTTCCGGCATCCGCATCTTAAGGACAACATTGTTCTCTACTCCTACATTTGGATTTTGGGTCTTTTACTAAGGGTTTAAAAGAGTCATATCATTTTCCAGTGATATTTCACTGGATTTGACAGAGAACTTCAAATGCTATGATTGTATTTACAATTTTAGAGAGTAACAAAGTTATTTTTGCAAGATGTAATTCAGCTACAGATCAAGAGTTGGCCATGCATTTCATAATCTGCCACATTCTTACAACTGAAAGTACAGTAAAACCAAGCCTATTAAGCAGGGTCTAAAAAATTTGACCACATAAAATACATCATATCAATTTTGCATTATAAATGGCCATGCTATCACAGAATTTACTATATTATAAACTTCAAAAATTATTCTAATTGCCTTCCTATAGGAGATAGCTTTAAAAAGAAAAAAATATTCCGATGATTGTTAAAATTAGAAAATGGCCAATATTAAAAAGCTATAGTGAAAGTTTTCCTTACTGCAAAAAAAAAAAAAAAAAAAGAAAAAAGGCAGTTAAACTCAAAAGTACTCACTGAAAAACACTGGAAATAGTCTACTATGCACAAATTACGGTAAAATCATACTCCTACAAATGTAGGAGTAGAGAACAATGTTGTCCCTAAGATGCGGATGCTGGAAAGTCAGCTAGTCATTCACTAGTTACTTGACTTGCTTCCACAAAGTCAACCTCAGCAAAAAACAAATTAGTATATGTTACAGGCTTTCAGTGTTTCTTGTGAATAATTTAAATAATAATTGTTATATCTTTGAATACCATTATTTTGCTTTATGAGGCAACTCATATGGCAACTCAAAAGGTACCAAAGCAAGAAGCAAAATCATTCATTCATTTTTTTTTTAAATGTACTGAACACCCACTAGGAGCCAGGCATTCTGAGCATGGAAAAATCAAAGACACATTTCCTTCTCTCAGAGTTTATGTTAATCCAGCAAGTAAGAGAACAATTAACCAATTACAAAATATAAATATTATGACTGATAGGAATATGTATTGGTGCAAATAGCTCAGATGAAGTAAAACCAGAGAAAATGTCCTGAACAAGGTAATATATAAGCTTAGATCAAAAAATTGAGGCAGGTGGATCGCCTGAAGTCAGGAGTTCGAGGCCAGCCTGACCAACATGGAGAAACCCCATCTCTACTAAAAATACAAAATTAGCCGGGTGTGGTGGTGCATGCCTGTAATCCCAGCTACTCGGGAGGCTGAGGCAGGAGAATCGTTTGAACCCGGGAGGTGGAGGTTATGGTGAGTCAAGAACGCACCATTGCACTCCAGCGTGGGCAACAAGAGCAAAACTCTGTCTCAAAAAAAAAAAAAATCAAACAAAAAAACACACTAAGGTCAGAACTAGCCATACCTGAGATGGGGCTAAGAAGTGTTCCAAAGATAAACAGTAGGGGGTAACAAAATGAATTCTGGGGAGGGTGGAGGATAGAAGAGAGAAGAAGGTGAAGGGGAAGTACAGAGAAGTTGACACAAGATGAATCTAAAAAGATGACACAGGAACCAGATCACAAAGGACTTGGTAAGATATGTTTGTTTGAGAATGTGGACTTTATCCTAAGGCAATAGGAAACAACTAAAGGTATTAATTAGAAAGATTACCATGTTCATGTTCAAATCTTCAAATCAGTAAATAATATGACTGAAGCGAAGAACAGATTGAAATGAGATGCCATGGAAGGCAGGAAAAGGAGAGAGGCTCCTGTCTTGTACTAAACATGTCCAAATACCAAATACATTGATACATAAACTTACTATGAGACTTATCAGGTGATACAATGTTCAAGGAGATGAGTACTTCCTTTCCTAGGGTTGAGTGTGTATTTTCAAAAGATTGGATGTAGCTTTACAGTGACAAAAGGGAAGCGTCTCTCTAAAGGTGTCTTGGACTAGAGATGGTGGCATGTTCTAGGATTGTGGTAACTGGTATAGAAAGAAAAATGATCAGCTGGAGAAAGATTAGAAAGGCAGAATATACAGGATTGGATTTGGTAACTGGCTGGACATGGGGTGTGGGAGGAAAAGGGAAGTCAAAGAACATTCTCAAATTTCTTGACCAGACAATTGAGGGAATAATGGTACTAACTTACTATTTCCCATCTGTTGGAAATTCTGGTGGAAATGTCCTAAAAATATTACAGTTTCTCTTCAGTTATGCATATGAAATAAACAGTGCAAAAAATATTTTAGATTTGATTTTAGCATATGATTTTTATCTCCTGGGCTATTTTCCACCTATTTTACGTAAAATAGTATTAAAATGAGTCTGCACCAACAGGAGAGAAAGGAAGTTTAGTTAGCACAGAACTGTGCTTCGTGCATGGAGAAGGCCAGCTTGAAACTAAAATTTGCCATTCAAAGAAATCCACAGGTGAAAAAGTCAAGAATTGACACTATCCCCAAAACACACAAGTGTCTCAAAATGTTTTCCTTGGGCTTACTACTGAGCCCAAGGAAACTAAGCACAGAAATAGCTCTTCCATAAAAACATGACAGGCTTTTAAAAAAGTGAACGAGAAAAAAATCCACAGAAAAAGAGTGCTACTCTTTGAAACACAACATCCAGAACAAAAGACAGTACCTTCAAAACCCACTCAGTCATTGAGAAATATTAACTGTCCTAAAATTCCGTAAAGAGATTAGTGTTGGCTGGGCGCGGTGGCTCACGCCTGTAATCCCAGCACTTTGGGAGGCCAAGGCCGGCGGATCACGAGGTAAGGAGATCGAGACCATCCTGGCTAACACGGTGAAACCCGTCTCTACTAAAAATACAAAAAACTAGCCAGGTGTGGTGGCGGGTGCCTGTGGTCCCAGCTACTTGGGAGGCTGAGGCAGGAGGATGGCCTGAACCCGGGATGCGGAGCTTGCAGTGAGCCGAGATCTCGCCACTGCACTCCAGCCTGGGCTACAGAGCCAGATTCCTTCTCAAAAAAAAAAAAAGAGATTAGCGTTGCCCGAAAATTAGGTTCTTTTTAAACACTTTCATTTTGTCTTTATAAAGCTACATCCAATCCTGTGAAAATGCACAGGTTGCTCTAAGAAAAGAAGTACTCATCTCCTTAAACACTATTACCTGATAAATGTTATATTAAGTTTACATATCAATGCATTTACAATGTATATATTCATGCATTTATATGGGAGGTAACAAATTAGAAGATACACCTTTCTATATTTGCAAAAATGTAAAATGTCACTTGTATTCTCTCAAGGCAGTTTTATTTAAAAAAAAATTTCCTCACATTGAATAGATTATAAAATAAAAATCAGATGCCCCATACTACGGTACCTAGCAACCCCCTTCACCCAACTCCCATGGGCTTCTCCCACACACTATTTCATCAGTCATCTAGGGAGTCTGTAAGGAATGGGTTATCCTTTCCCTTGCAAAACAGATAAAACTTGTGCACTTAATACGCTCAAAGAATGTGTTCAGTTAATTATAAAAAAATGAAAACTATTTGTTTTCATCATTTATTCCTTCAGTCTATATGGTAAAAGAATCCAATTCTCATTAAAAGTTACCATATCAACTCTAAGGAACTTGGTGAATCCATCCGATCACTATCACAGAGGAACTATCCCTTAATTACATGTACAGAGGGTCACCAAATTCCGCTTACAAAAGCTTTCCAACCATTCTATCATACCGGAGGAAAAAGTAATGTTTCTCCTATAGCTATACAAATAAATGTCGTTAGTTTTTCTATAGTTTTCCTGGGCTTTCCTGTTGACAGGCAATATTTCAAAAGAATATAAGATCTGTGATTTATCTTCCACGCCTTAGTTACGGAAAATGATGCTAATACGATAATTGGCTTAAGGTTACAACGCTGACGTTGGAATGTTTACTGCCAAACAAAAGGAGAAATTATACTTAATTTTAAAAAACATCTCAGGAAAGAACATACCCCTAAAAACGTAAATTAAAACTGGTAACATAATTAGACGGTCTCTTAGATAATAGTAATTCAGGTTTCCCCTCCATCGACAGTAACTACCAAGTTTTCCCATGAAATGGAGGTTAGGGACCAGCCTTAGAATACTGAGAAAGATAAGAGACTCCCCTAGAATCGAAAGAGGGAAGAGAAACCAGAGAACAGAAACATGGTGAGGAAAGAGAAAAAACAGCTCTAACGTGCCAAGGGGTCTATTAACAAGAAAAAGGCATTATTGAACCGATTTACCCAGGAGTAACCCGAGCCCAAACCCCCGCCGACCACGGGGCGAACTCCGAAGTCTACTGAAGAAAGCTCCAGAGCCCAGTGACAATGAGAACCGCTCTTCTCTAGGAGTGGGGGCTCTAAGAGGAGACCATGCCTTCCCTGAATCGCCTTCCAGTTTGCTCGTCAGGAGCAAGACCCACCTGGAGACCGCCATGGCCGGGCGCCGGCGGTTCGGAGCTCCCCGCGACCTACGCGCCGCGCAGCTGAGGCGCTAGTTTCCAGAGAGCTGAGCGGCGCAGGCCCAGGCCGCGGAGCACAGGGGAGCGGCCGGTGCGGCGTGGGGCGTTCCAGCGCAGGCCCTCGGGCATCTGCCCTGCCGCCTACCCGAGCTCGTCCCCGCGGCGGCCGGTAAGCAGGGGTCCAAGACGGTAGCGGAGGCGGCAGTCCTCCGACCCGCACGACTTCAAACCGGGTACCCTCAGCTCCGCTCTTTGCTGACGCGGGCGTCGGCACGCACAACTGAGCGTCAGCGCGCCGGAAGTGACGTAAGCTCACCGACAGGAGCTTAGCTCGGCGCGAGCGCCTTTGGTTTGGCGGCACGCGCCTAAATAAAAGCGCTTTGTGCTGATGTGGAGAGGGTGTCTAGTCTTAAAACTAGGGAAGGAGGTGAAGTAAGGGTCCCCTTATTTGACAGAGAAGGAAAAAGGCGATTTAGTCCAAGTCCTGGAACTTCGAAAGCTTGGTTTCTAATTCCACACTACCCAGATTCTGCTTCCCACCGTACTGCATCTAGGAAGCAAGATCAGAAGGACCTTAACATGCTCTTGTCCAGGTGGTGAAGCCAGTGGGAGGAGTGAAAGCAAAAAGTCGCTATGACACTGAAGAAATGGCTCAGATGTTTGTCATTATTTGCCAGAAGTTCTGCCTAGGTATTGGAGAGAAGGTCTTCTGACCAACGATTTTGCCAAGTTTGATTTCTCAATTGTTTATGTTGTTTGTACCATCATTTTCTCAGCCAGCCAGATTTGAAAACTACCATTTTTAAATTTTTGTTCCTTTGGGGGACTTATCTGGCTTTTCAATATTTTTAAGTTCATTAGGCTTTTAAACACTTCTGCCAGGCCCTTATCATCTTACACTTGATTTTTTTTTTTTGACCGAGTTTCGCTCTGTCGCCCAGGCTGGAGTGCAGTGGCGCGATCTCGGCTCACTGCCAACCTGCGCTTACCGGGTTCAAGCGATTCTAAATGTGCCTCAACCTCCCGAGTAGCTGGGAGGCACACGAGCCCCACGCCGGGCCAATTTTTTGTATTTTTTAGTAGAGACGGGGTTTCGCCATGTAGGCCAGGCTTGTCTCCTGCTCCTGGCCTCAAGTGATCTGCCCGCCTCGGCCTCCCAAAGTGCTGGGATTACAGGTGTGAGCCACTGCGCCCGGCCCTTAAACTTGATTTTTATGCTAGTAGTCAAAATAATATTTCTCCAATTTTCAGTTCAGCCCATTTTATAGGCCAACAGATTAATCTTCAAAAAACCTCACTGCTTTTTATCATGTCGCTCCTATGCTTATAAAGCATGTCCATTGGCTTCTCATTACCTGAAGAGGCTATGTCTCAATCCTTGAGTCTGTTTTTCATCTGTAAAATGAGGCTAATGAGAAGTACTGCAGAAGATTGTGGGAATAAAATGAGGTCATGAATCTAGAAGAGCTTACAAGAACTTTGTAAACCATAAAGTAGTATATATGTATGTAAAGAGAAAGAAACTAACAAGTACCTGCTGTGTGCTGGGCACATGACATGCATTATCCATATAATTTGTAGGGAAGCCTTGAAAAGTTAGTTTTAATCTTCGTAGACAAGGAAACTAAGCTCAGAAAGGTTAAGTAATTTGCCTCAAGATTCAAGCTAGTAATAATATTTATTGTCCAGTCATTCAACAAATGTTTGTCACCTCTCTGTATCAGAAACTCTGCTTGGCGGTGTTCATGCTATTAAAATCTAATCAAGTTGATGTTCAAGATATCTTTACATTTTCACTTTAGTCACCTACTTGCCTCATCAGTTTATCTCCCACCATTCAATAACAAGCAGATACTTTTTACTGATCGTGTACAGCAATCATTTAGCCAAAATTAAGCACCTACCATATGAGAGACTGGAACTTCTGAAGAAACCAGAACAGACAAGGTGCCTACTCTGGTTGAATTTACATTAAAAGGAAAGGAAAAAGAAAATAGATAAACATTGAAAATATATTTATGTGCTATGTAAAGAGAATGATGGAATTAATGGTATGATTAAAGACCTACTCTTACTGGGTAAATCAGGGAAAAACAGGATTAGCTTAAGCTGAGCCCTAAATGACAAGAGGTAGCTAAATGTGTGACAATCTGGGAGCCTTCCAGGAAGAGGGTATACGTAGTGCAAAGGCGTAAGAGAAGTCTGCTCTGTTGGGAAATGAGATGGGAGAAGTAGAAAGGGATCATCGTAAGGAATTTGGACTTTGCTCCATATGAAGTAGAAAGTCATAGAGTTTTAAGCAAGTGAGTAAAATGATCTTAGTTATATTTTTTAAATCTTTTTATTATCAGATAATTGGGTATATAGTCTAAATGGCATTAGAAGAGAGGAAAGGACTGGTGGTGTAGATTTGTAAAGGATAGTGTAATAATCAAATATATTGATATTGGACCGGCTTGTTTTTAAATCCTTTCTCACCACACTGAATCGCAGTGTCTCCAGGGGGAATTTTAGAACCTCTCTAAGCTTCATCTGGGAAATGAGGATAATAATAGTACTCATAGGGTTGCGGTGATGATTAAATTAATGCACATAAAACATTTAACCAAGTGACTGCCACGAGAAGCCCTCAAAAATATTATTAACTACATTGCTTACTGTTTTTGTTAACAATGGAAACTTGAGTAAGTGGCAATTTCTAGTCTCAATTTATTCAGCTGTGAAACGGGGATAATAATAGTACCAGTTCACCACCGTTATCTATACCAGTTCATCACCCCTGCCAGATGGTTTTCTGAGTTAAGAATTATTTAGGTTTTGAAAAGAAATCCAATGAATATACCTTGTATTATGCAGCATCCCAACAGCTTGTAGGGCAGTACTCTATAATCAAATATATTTATAGAGCTGCAGCAAAATGTATGACTAACCATACTAAGAGGAATAAGTAAAAGACTATAGATAGGCATATGCCAGTTCAGGCCAGGATTTGCTGCCAAATATATATATTTTGAGATGGCATTTTGCTGTTTCCAAGGCTGGTCTTGAACTCCTGGGCTCAAGCAGTCCTCCCATCTCAGCCTCATGAGTAGCTGGGACTATAGGTGAGTTTTTAAAAGTGTGGTTTTCAGACCATTTTCAATTTCAGAATTGTAAATAATAGATCATGAACCTGTACTTATAGAATTGTCATAAGGAAGAAATGAGTTCATACATGACACACTTAGAAAATACTAAGTATTAGCCAGGTGTGATAGTTCATGCCTGTCATCCCAGCACGTTGAGAGGCTGATGTGGGAGGATCGCTTGAGCCCAGGAATTCGAGACCAACCTGGGCAACATAGGGAGACCTCATGTCTACAAAAAAAATTTTTTTTAATTAGGCTGGGTGCGGTGGCTCATGCCTGTAATCCCAGCACTTTGGGAGGCCAAGGCAGGCAGATCATGAGGTCAGGAGATGGAGACCATCCTGGCTAACACAGTGAAACCCAGTCTCTATGAAAAATACAAAAAATTAACCGGGCATGGTGGCGGGCACCTGTAGTCCCAGCTACGCGGGAGGCTGAGGCAGGAGAATGGCATGAACCTGGGAGGCAGAGCTTGCAGTGAGCCAAGATCACGCCACTGCACTCCAGCCTGGGTGATGGAGCAAGATTCCGTCTCAAAAAAAAAAAAAAAAAAAAAGCCAGCTGTTGGTGGCATGTGCCTATAATCTTGGCTACTCAGGAGGCTAAGGTGGGAGGATCCCTTGAGCCCAGGAACTTGAGGCAACAGTAAGCCATGATCATGCTACTCTACTCTAGCCTGGGTGACAGAAGGAGACCCTGTTTCAATGAAAAGAAAAGACTAAGTATTAAATAAATATTAACTATTATGATTAACTATTTTAGTTATTATTATTTATAATAACTAAATGTACACCATTAAGTGAACAAATATTCACATTATAGGAGTTAAGGAAGGAGAAGTGATAACGAAAAAGCTTATTTAGTGAAATTATTGCTAAAAAAACCTTTCAAGTCTTGGGACAGATATAGAGGGGCAGATTCATAAAACTGAAAGATCCCCCAATAAATACAGCCCAAAGACATCCTCACCAAGGCACATAATAATCAAACTGTCAAAATTTAAAGAAAAATAAAGAATTTTAAAAGCAGCAAGAGAAAAGTGTCAAGTCACATATACGGGAATCTCCATTAGACTACCAATAGATTTCTCAGGAGAAACCTTATAGGCCAGGAAAGAATAAGATTATATATTCAAAGTGCTGAAAGGAATGAAGAAATGAAGAAGAAATAAAGTTTTTCCCAAACAAGCAAAAGCTGAAGAAACTCATCACTACTAGGTCTGCCCTACAAGAAATGCCTAATGGAAGTTTCTTTCTTTCCTTTTTTTTTTCCTTCGAAGTCTTGCTCTTGTCCCCCAGGCTGGAGTGCAATGGCACAATCTTGGCTCACTGCAACCTCCGCCTCCTGGGTTCAAGCAATTCTCCTGCCTCAGCCTCCCGAGTAGCTGGGATTACAGGCAACTGCCACCACACCTGGCTAATTTTTGCATTTTTAGTAGAGACGGGGTTTCACCATGTTGCCCAGGCTGGTCTCAAACTCCTGACTCCAGGTGATCCACCTGCCTCGGCCTCCCAAAGTGCTAGGCTTTCTTGCTTTCTTCCTTTCTTCCTTCCCTTCCTTCCTTCCTTCCTTCCTTCCATCCTTCCTTCCTTCTTTTCTTTCTTTCTTTTTTTGACAGGGTCTTGCTTTGTTGCTGGAATTCAGTGGCACAATCATGATTCACTGCCACTTTGAATTCCTCCCAAGTAGATGGAACTATAGGCATGTACCACTGTGCCCAGCTAATATTTATTTATGTATTTATTTACTATAGAGATGGAGTCTTGCCATCTTGCTTAGGCTGGTCTCAAACTCCTGGACTCCAGTGATCCTCCTGTCTTGGCCTCCCAAAGTGTTGAGATTATAGGTATGAGCCACCATGCACAGCCATGGAGTTCTAGTATAAACAAAATGATGATAATAATTATTATGAATACAAATGAAAATATAAAACTCACTAGTAGAGATAAATATATAGATAAACCTAGAATACTCCAGTACTGTACTGGTGATATGTAAAGCATACATATCTCTAGTATAAAGGTCAAATGTCAAAATGGTCAAAAAAATAACAAAAGCTACAATAAGTTGTTAAATAATATACAATATAAAAAGGTGTAAATTGTGACATCAAAAACACAAATTGTGTAGCTGGGCATGGCATATGCCTGTAAACTCAGCTACTCAGGAGGCTGTGGTGGGAGGATCACTTGAGCCTAGAAGTTCAAGGTCAGTCTAGACAATGTAGCAAGACCTTGTCTCTTAAAAAAAAAAAGAAAGAAAGAAAAAAAAAACAGTATGTAGAGGAGAAAAGTCTAGAGTTTTTGCACGTAACAGATGTTATCAGCTAAAAACAGTTGACTATAACTATAAGATGTTTTACGTAAGCCACATGATAACCATAGCAGTTATGCAAACAATAAAGAGAAAGAAAACAAAGCTTAGTACTACAGAGGATTATCAAATTTTTTTAATTAAAAAACAAATAAAGGTGCTACAAAACAACCAGAGATAAACAAAGATGCTAAAAAACAACCAGATATAAAATAACAAAGTAAAAATAGTAAGTCCTTCCTTTAATAATAATCTTGAATGTAATTGGACTAAATTCCCCAGTCAAAAGACATCGAGTTGCTAAATAGATTTTTAAAACAAGACCCAACTATATGCTATCTACAGGAGACGAATTAAGCTTTAAGGATACCCACAGGCTGAAAGTAGAGATGAAAGAAGGTATTATATGCAAATGGTAACCAAAAGACAGCAGGGAGGCCAGGCATGGTGGCTCACACCTGCAATCCCAGCATTTTGGAAGGCCAAGGTGGGAGGCTCGCTTGAGCCCAGGAGTTGGAGACCAGCCTGGGCAATGTAGGGAGACCTCATTGCTACACAAAAATTTAAAAATTAGCCAAGCATGGTGGCATGCACCTGTAGTTCCAGCTACTCAGGTGGCTGAGGCAGGGGGATTACTTGAGCCCAAGAGGTCAAGGCTGTGGTAAGCAATGTTTGTGCCACTGCACTCCAGCCTGGAAAATGGAATGAGACCCTGTGTCAAAAAAAAAAAAAAAAAAAAAAAAAAAAAGCAGAGCTTGCTATACTTACATCTGATAAAATAGACTTTGAGTCAAATCCTGTCACAAGAGACAAAGATGTTCATTATTTAATGATAAACAGGTCAATCCATCAAGAGGACACAATGAGCGTAAATATATATGAACCTAACATTGGAATACTTAAATACATAAAACAAATATTAATGAACATAAAGGGTGAAACAGACAGCAATACAATAATAGTAGGAGACTTCGATATCCCACTTTCAACAACTGATAGAGCAACTGAACAGAAAATTAATAAGGAAATACTGGACTTGAATTGCACTTTTGGCCAAATGAACCTAACAGATATACAGAGAACTTTCCACCCAACAGCAGCAGAATACACATTTTTTCTCTAGTGTACATGGAACATTCTCCAGGATAGAGCATATGTTAAGCCACAAAACTAGTCTTAACAAGCTTATAAGGTCATATCTAGTATTTTTTCAGACCATAGAGGTATTAAACTAGAAATCAATAACAGAAGGAATCTTTAAAAATTCACAAGTATGTAGAAATTAAGCAACATGCTCTTGAACAATCGATGGATCAAAGAAGAAATCAAAAGGTAAATTCACAAAAATCTTGAGGCAAATAACAATGGAAACATAACACATCTGCAGCAAAAGCAGTTCTGAGAGAAGTTTATAACAACAAATGCCTGCATTAAAAAAGAAAATCCCATATAGTTTAACATTATGCCTCAAGGAACTAGAAAAAGAAGCATAAACTAAACCCAAAATTAACAGAAGGGAGGAAACAATGAAAATCAGAACCGAAATAAAACAAATAGAGAACAGAAAAACCGTAGAAAGAATAGAACTAAGAGTTGGTTTTTTGAACAAATAAATAAAATTGATAAATCATGTAAGAGATAAAGAGAAGACTCAAAAAATCAAAGTGAAGAAATTAAAACAGATGTCTTAGAAATAAAAAACAAGATTATAAGGGACTATTATGAACAAGTATATGCCAATAAATTGGATAACCTAGAAAAAATGGATAAATTCCTAGAAAAATACAACCTACCAAGATTGAGTCAGGAAGAAATAGAAGGCATGAGCCGACTAATAACAAATAAAGAGATTGAAGTAGTAATAAAAAACTGGGAGCAGTGGCTCATGCCTGTAATCCCAACACTCTGGGAGGCCAAGGCGGGCAGATCACCTGAGGTGAGGAATTTGAGACCAGCCTGGCCAACATGATGAAACCCCATCTCTACTAAAAATACAAAAATTAGCTGGGCCTGGTGGTGGGTGCCTGTAATTCCAGCTACTTAGGAGGCTGAGGCACAAGAATTGCTTGAACCTGGGAAGCGGAGTTTGCAGTGAGCCAAATGAGCCAATGCAGTGAGCCAGTGCACTACGGCCTGGACGACAGAGCAAGACTCCATCTGAAAAAAACCAAGAAACGCCGGGCACGGTTGCTCATGCCTGTAATTCCAGCACTTTGGGAAGCCAAGGCGGGTGGATTACCTGAGGTCGGGACTTCAAGACCAGTCTGATCAACATGGAGAAACCCCATCTCTACTAAAAATACAAAATTAGCCGGGGTGGTGGCGCATGCCTGTAATCCCAGCTACTCGGGAGGCTGAGGCAGGAGAATCGCTTGAACCTGGGAGGCGGAGGTTGCAGTGAGCCGAGATTGCGCCATTGCACTCCAGCCTGAGCAACAACAGCGAAACTCTGTCTCAAAAAAAAAAAAACAAAAAAACAAAAAACCAACAAAAAAACAAAAAACTGCCCAACAAAGAAAAGCCAAGCCCAGGACCAGATGGCTTCACACTGAATTCTACCAAACTTTCAAAGAAGAATTAATACCAATGCTTCTTAATACAACTCTTCCAAAAAATAAAGCTAGAGGGAGTATTTCCAAATAAACTTTATGAGGCCATCTTCACTTTGATACCTAAGTGAAAGATATCACAAGAAAAGAAAACTATAGGACAATCTCTCTGATGAATATTAATGCAAAAATTCTCAATATGATATTAGCAAGCTGAATTTAACAATACATAAAAAAGATCATACATCATGACCAAATGAGAATTATCCTAGCCATGCAAGTCTGGCTAGGATAAGTGTAACATATGCATATCAATCGATGTGATAGATTTAACAGAATGAAAGATTAAAAACCACATGATCATCTCAATTGATTTGGGAAAAGCATTCAATAAAGTCCAACATTTTTTCTTGATAAAAACTCACAATAATTTAGGTATAGAAGGAAAGGTCCTCAACATATTAAAAGCCATTTATGAAAAACCCACAGCTAACATATAATATTAGTTCCTCATATAATCAATGGGGAAATACTGAAAGCTTTTCCCCTAAGATGTAGTAAAAGACAAAGGCAAGGATGCCCAGTCTCACCACTTCTATGTAACACGGTACTAGAAGTACTACCAAGAGCAATCAGACAAGAAAAATAAGAAGCGTCCAAATTATAAAAGAAGTAAAATTATCTCTATTACAGATGACATTATCTTATTTTTAAAAACTTTAAAGATTTCACAAAAACCTATTAGAACCACTAAATGAATTGAGTTTCAGGATACAAAATGAACATACCAAAATCAGTAGCATTTTTATACACATAATGACCTAACAGAAAAAGAATGCAAGAAAACAATCCCATTTATGATAGGATGAAAAAGTAAAATAAAATCAAATACTTATGAATAAATTTAACTGACTGAGGTGTAAAAATTACACTGAAAACTGTAAAACATTCATGAAAGAAATTGAAGAAGACACAAATAAATGGAAAGCTACCCCATGCTCATGTATTAGAAACATTAATATTGTTAAAATATCCATACTACCCAAAGCAGTATGCAGATTCAACACAATCCCTACAAAAATCCCAGTGCCATTCTTCACAGAAATGGAAAAAGCAATCCTAAAATTTGTATGGAAACATAAAAGACCATGAATTACCAAAACAATTCTGAGAAAGTAAAACAAAGTTGGAGGCATTACACTTCCTGATTTTAAATTATATTGAAGCCTATAATCCCAGCACTTTTGGAGGCTGAGGCAGGAGGATTGCTTTAGCCCAGGAATTTGAGACAAGCCTGGGCAACATAGTGACACTGTGTCTCTATGAAAAGTAGAAAAAATTATCCAGGTCTGGTGGCACATGTCTGTAGTCCCAGCTACTCAGGAGGCTGATGTGGGAGGATTGCTTGAGCCTAGAGTTTGAGGCTGCAGTGAGCCATGATCATGCCACTGCCTTCCAGCCTGGGCAACAGAGCGAGACCCTGTCTCAAAAAAAATTATATTATAAAGCTTTAGTAATCAAAACAGTAATGGTACTGGCATAAAAACGGACACATAGAACAATGGAACAGAATAGAGAAGAAATAAATTCAAACATATATGGTCAACTAATTTTTGATAAGAGACACAATGGGATAAGGGTAGTCTCAATAGTGCTGGGAAAACTGGATTTCCGTATGCAAAAGAATGAAATTTGATCATTATCTTACACTATACAAAAACATCAACTCAAAATGGATAAAGAACCTAATTGTAAGACCAGGAACTATCAAACTCCCAGAAGAGAACATAGGGGAAAATCCCCTGGATATGGACCTTGGCAATGAGTTTTGGACATCACACCAAAAGCTCAAGCCACAAAAGCGACAATAAATAAATGGTACTACATGAAACTAAAAAGCTTCTGCACAGCCAAGGAAACAATCAACAAATAAGTGGCAGCTACAGATTGGGAAAAAATATCTGTGAACCATATATCAAATAAGGGGTTACTGTCCAAAATTTATAAAGCACTCATACAACTCAATGGTAGAAAAACAAATAACCTGATTTAAAAATGGGCAAAAAGACCTGAATACACATTTTTCCAAAGAAAACATGAAAATCACCAACAGGTATATGAAAGGGTGCTCAACACCATTAATCATCAGGGAATTGTAAATCAAAACCACTATGAGATACTACCTCACACCCGTTAGGATGGCTATTACCAAAAAGTCAAAAGATAAATGTTGGCAAGGATGTGGGGAAAAGGTTGTACACTCTTGGTGAGAATGTAGATTGGTACAGCCATTATGGAAAACAGTATGGAGATTTGTAAAGAAATTAAAAATCAACTACTATGTGACCCAGCAATTCCTCTTCTGGGCATATATCCAAAGAAAATGAAATGATCACCTCATAAAGATATCTGCACTTTCATGTTAATTGCAGCATTATTTACAATAGCCAAGGTATGGAAACAACCTAAATGGGTAAACAAAATGTGGTATATACATACAATGGAATATTATTCAGACTTAAAAATGAAATAAATTCAGATACATGCTATAACACAGATAAACCTTGAAGACATTGTGTTAAGTGAAATAAGCCAATCACAAAGGACAAATACTGTAGGATTACACTTACCATAAGATATCTAGAGTGGTCAAATTCACAGAGACAGAAAGTAGAATGATGGTTGCCAGGGGCTGGGGGAAGGGAGGAATGGGTACAGAGTTTCAGTTTTGGAGGACGAAAGAAAGTTCTGGAGATGGATAGCTATAATGGTTGCAGAACAGTGTGAATCTTTTTAATGTCACTGAAGAGTACACCTAAAAATAGTTAAAACAACAAATTTTATGTTATGCATATTATGCCACAGTTTTTTAAAAAATAACTCCCCTTTTCTGATATTGCATAATATGTCTATGTGCCCTTACTTTTTACTCTGGGAACAGTGTTTGTGACAGCGAAGCATGGTCTCTGGAGTATCTCTTAATTACAGCTTTCAGATAATAAATTTTTTTATTGCAATTAGAGCATTATGCCACAAGATGTCATTCTTTCATTAAAAATGGTACCAATTCGGTTCAGTAGTTGTTAACAAAAAGTAATGCCAAGGCAACAGACAAAAGCCTGGGATTACTCATCCATGCTTCACATATACAAAGACAGTTTTCTGGGAAAGAAAGGGCTTCCAAGTGTGAAATGTATTAATTAGCTACTCTTATTTTTGAAACTTGTTAATGTTTCTAATCTTCATAGGTACAAATTGGTTTTCATTATAAGTTGAATTGGTGTAATTTTTTTTTTTATTTTTATGTTTTTTGTTTTTTTGAGAAAGAGTCTTGCTCTGTTGCCCAGGCTGGAGTGCAGTGGTGTGACCTCGGCTCACTGCAATCTCTGCCTCCCGGATTCAAGTGATTCTCCTGCCTCAGCCTCCCGAGTAGCTGGGATTACAGGCGTGCACTACCATGCCCAGCTACTTTTTGTATTTTTAGTAGAGATGGGGTTTTGCCATGTTGGCCAGGCTGGTCTCGAACTCCTGACCTCAGGTGATCCACCCGCCTTGGCTTCCCAAAGTGCTGGGATTACAGATGTGAGCCACCATGCCCAGCCTGAATTGGTATAATTAAAACATAACTAATAGTAAAATACAAAGACAAAACATAAAGATCACTGATCACTGAAAGATGTAAGTGGTTTTATCACTAAATGATGTGTGAACCTGGACAAGTTATCTAGTTTCTCTGATTTTACCAGAGTGTTAAAAACTTCCTTTCTGAAGTCAATATACATTGCTATATATTTAATATATACTACTATATATTTAAACATATTCTTCTAATTCTAAAGTATTTTGGTTTTTATAGTAGTAACCAAACTATAATTGTTCAAATATAATACTAACAGGAGTTCAGTAATAGAAAATGCTATATGCAAGAGGACATTAGGAAATATAATAAGAATTCCTGATATCTTGAGGAAGTATTTAAGTAAAATATTTACTTGTGTAAAAAAATTACAGTCAGAGGTATAAACTTCTGCAATTAAAAAAAATCACATTTATTAATGAGAACATTTTTAAAAGATGATGGAATATTCTGAAGTTTTAAAACAGCTTTGCTAAGGGTCATTTCTGTGTGTCACTTTATTTCTTTTTATATAGCTATAGTATATTTAAACAATAATGCTGTCTTTTATAAGGGTTTGTCTATTTACCTATTCTTTACTCAGACATTGATGTAGACCTTGTCAGATTATTCTGAGTATTGTTAACAGTGCCTTTTTGATGGAATTCACACTTTTTGGCTGTCAACTTGTGCCATATACACACAAAATTTTGTGGAAGGCAGTTTTAATTTTTTGAAGAACATCTGTCAAAATTTAAGAAAACAAATGTATAAAATTCCATTTTTTCCAGTGTTTAGCATTTCTAGTAAGCAGTGAGGTTTTTTGTTTGACATACAGTGATGATGGCATTATTGACAAGCTATACATGAGACTGCAGATTATACTGAATCATGTTAAATGTACAGAAATAAAATATTAGATTTATATCAAACTTTCGCATTTGAACCAGTGGGGAAAACCCCACAGAAATCAGTAAGTTAACATTTCAATGTCTTTCTTATTTGACTAAGTGGAAAGAGAGTCTTTAAAATGTATAACCTGCCATTATGTAATTTGGTTTCATTTTATTCTACCTGTTGTGTGAGTTTAGTATATTTAATTTACTTTGTGTTACTCTACATACTGTTTATTTTTGTTACAGTTTTTAATTGAAGATGGACTCTGAAAGTGGTATAGGACCAGTGTCTTATTAATATCATTAATATATTAAGAGGAGCCACACAAAACCCATGACAAAATGAATGGAAATATTCTTTCTAAAAATTTAGAAAATTTTATACTTTTGCATTTATTATGTAAAATTATTTGTTTTACAATATCAAAATTTTTCGTTTAAAGAAAAAAATGCCATGAAACATTTGAACTGATGAGCCACAGAACTTCAGTTGAAATTTTTTTCACTTTTTAGCATGCTAAATATACATCTCAGTTTAAATATTCTGTTTAATGGCCATTTATAAATTCAAGCACTACCACTGGTCAGTTTTGTGTGATAGAATAAAAATATGTTACCTGCAGTGTAAGTATAGCACACTGTCAAATTCTTTTCCTTAAGGTGCACAGTAAATGTACAGATAGTTATAGGCCACTGTTTTTGCAATGTAGTACATTTCTAATCTATTATTCCTAACCTATTATAACTGTTTGCAGAGAGAAAATAATTGAATTTTTCTAATAATCTGTAAAATTATGCTAACTTCTACAAGTAGGCTTCTAAATAAAAATTTTAAAAAGAGCAAAAAAAAAAAAAAAGAAAGAAAAAACAGCTTTGCTTGGTCAGCACTTTGAGAGGCTGAGGCAGGTGGCTCATCTCAGGTCAGGAGTTCGATACCAGACTGGGCAACATGGTGAAACCCCTTCTCCACTAAAAATTAGCTGGGTGTTGTGGCAGGCACCTGTAATTCCAGCTACTGGGGAGGCTGAGGCAGGTGAATCGCTTGAACCGGGAAGGCAGAGGTTGCAGTGAGCCGAGATAGCACCACTGCGCTCCAGCCTGGGTGACAGAGTGAGCTCCCGTCTCAAAACAAACAAACAAACAAACAAACAAACAAACCCCCGCACACACACACAATCCCCCCCTCCAGAAAAAGCAGCTTTGCTTAAATGTAACATTTTCAAGATTCAAGAACACATTCATTCTCTCTCTCTTTTTTTTTTTTTTTGAGAGGCAGTCTCGCCCTGTCCCGGGTTCAAGTGATTCTCCTGCCTCAGCCTCCTGAGTAGCTGGGATTACAGGCATCTGCCACCACGCCTGGCTAATTTTTGTATTTTTAGTAGAGACGGGATTTCACCAGGCCAGGCTGGTCTCACATTCTTAACTATTATACCATTTCAATTGGTAATCTTACCGTTCAACTACTATAATACAAATAATTTTTTTAAACTTCTAATTTTTGGAGGACCCTTATAACTGATTTCTAATACCTAAAAATAATAAAAAGCCCAAATGTCCACTCCTGGGTGAACTGCTGGGCACTATTGTATGTTAATAAACTAGGATATTATATTTTTATTAGTAGTAACAATTATTAAGATTGAGAGTCTTAAGAAAGGCTATTGGAAATAATAGGTAAAAATGTAGAACTCAGAATATGAGAAATAGAATGTAAATGATATAATTGTGTAAAAAATGCCTAGTTTAGAATACTGAAGTTTGTTTTGTTTCATTTTATTTAACTTTTAAAACTTAGATCTTTTGTTTAATTTTTATTTTTTGGATGGTTAAGTACATGAAAGAAGAAAAACTTGGTTAATTTTGCCTGATTATTTTAAACATTGGAAGCAAAATACAAGATTTGTATTTCATACTACAGGACCGCTTCCATCATCCATCTGGAGAGACAGAGAGAGAGAGGGAGAGAGAGAGAGAAGCGCGGCGGTGATAAGTCTCCCAGTGTGAGAGAAATCGGGGAGGGGCGAAGAAGGGTAGGCCTCTTCTGTTCCATTGATACCACGTTCATTCACAGGGAGCCGGCTAAAACAGACTACTCCCCCGTGCAGTCGTTCCCTCTACCCTAATAAGGCTTTGGCGCCTCTCCCAGAACTCGGTAAGTTCAAAGTGTAGTAAAGTGCATGTTTCCAAGGAATCATCTGAAATGATTTTGTAGATAGTTTATTGCAGGTTGGAGAAGGGAGAAAATGAAGGAAGGGGTAGAGGGGGCAATTATCACGCATCGTTTTGCTATCGTATTTGCAAGGGGAAGAAAATCTCAATGCATACATGGTTCGAAAGTGATTATTTAGACAGTAAGCAGTTTCCCCAGGAAAGCTCCTCAGAGGGTCTCCTCGCAGGCTGCAGATTCTAGAAAGTCTGCGGAAGAGTAGTTCGCAGGTGCATGTGTCTGGGCGAAGCGCTGCGTGTGGCTCAGTTGGTGGCAGTCTCTGCCTCTGTCCGCAGGTCCTGGGGAATGCTCTTTGCCTGGTCCAGCCCCGACAAACGTGGTCTGAGAACAGCGGAGCGCGGAAACCGCGGAGCATGACTCCTCCGAAGCTGCGAGCGTCGCTGTCGCCGTCGCTGCTGCTGCTGCTGAGTGGTTGCCTCCTCGCGGCTGCTCGGAGGGAGAAAGGGGCGGCTAGCAACGTGGCGGAGCCGGTCCCCGGGCCCACTGGCGGCTCCTCGGGTCGCTTCCTCAGCCCCGAGCAGCACGCGTGCAGCTGGCAGCTCCTGCTGCCCGCCCCGGAGGCCGCAGCGGGCAGCGAGCTGGCGCTGCGCTGCCAGAGCCCGGACGGGGCGCGCCACCAGTGCGCCTACCGCGGGCATCCGGAGCGCTGCGCAGCCTACGCCGCTCGCCGCGCGCACTTCTGGAAGCAGGTGCTGGGAGGGCTGCGCAAGAAGCGGAGGCCCTGTCACGACCCCGCGCCGCTCCAGGCCCGCTTGTGCGCGGGCAAGAAGGGCCACGGCGCCGAGCTGCGGCTAGTGCCCCGCGCGTCCCCGCCCGCACGCCCCACCGTCGCGGGATTCGCGGGGGAGTCCAAGCCCCGGGCCCGGAACCGGGGGCGGACCCGGGAGCGTGCGTCCGGCCCAGCCGCTGGGACCCCGCCTCCCCAAAGCGCACCGCCCAAAGAAAACCCCTCAGAGAGGAAGACCAACGAGGGCAAGAGGAAGGCGGCCTTGGTCCCCAACGAGGAGCGACCCATGGGGACCGGGCCCGACCCCGACGGGCTGGACGGGAACGCGGAGCTCACGGAGACCTACTGCGCTGAGAAGTGGCACTCCCTCTGCAACTTCTTTGTCAATTTCTGGAACGGCTGAGACTGCCTGCCGGCTTAGGGAGGGTTGATGGGGGAGGCGTGGGGAAGGGAAAGCTAAGGGCGTCTTAGACCGGGGGGTACTGTGATAGAGATTGGGGAGAAGTCCAGGTTCTCGAATGGGGGTGGGGGCAAGGGTAAGGGTGAGATGCTTGGGATGAGAGTGTAAGGGGTATGGAGAATCTCTGGGATAGCAGAGAAGTTAAAAATTTTGAAAAGTCTCAGTCCTGATTAAGAGCAGGAAAAATAATGGAAACAGAAATAGGCGTACTTTAAATGTGCAAAAACTGGAGACTGGGGAGAGAAATCGATGCAGAGGGAGGCTGAGAATAAGGGGGAGATAGAGTGACTAAAGTGATGTGAGTCCCATGTGGGGAGGGGGATGCAATGTTTATTGTTTAACATTTCTATTAAATGCAGCCATGAGCAATTGCCAACCTGAGCCAGGTTGAATCAATGTCTTCTCACTTAATCAGCTAACAAGACTGCAGACTTTTTTTCCGTTTCTGAATTGGTATAAACTTGGATGCGGCGTGGTGGGTGTCATAGATAACCTCTATAGGGACAGAAGCCTCACAGGTCAAAACTGGCTCCAAGGAAAGTTTTGCAGAATGATTTCCTTTCCATTCTTTTAGAAGAGCTACCTTTTTTTTTTTTTTTCCCTGACAGGGTCTGGCTTGCCCAGGCTGGAGTGCGGTGGCTAGTCACAGGTGTAATAATAGGCACTGCAGTCTCCAACTCCTGGCCTCAAGGGATCCTCACATCTTAGCCTCCAGAATAGCTAGGAGTAGGAGTAGCTGGGACTACAAGCATGCACAGCTGCACTTGGCTTAGAAGTGCTACTTTATTTTTATTTTTGAGACAGGGTCTTGTGTCATCCAGACTGGAGCAGTGGTGCAATTATGGCTCACTGCGGCCTCGACATTCCAGTCTCAAGTGATCCTCTGCCTCAGCCTCCGGAGTAGCCAGGACTACAGGGGTGTGCCACTAGAAGTGCTACTTTTTAACGAAATGGTGACTAATGTTCTGGAACTTTCCCATTAACCTTCTGCATTTAGAAGGAATTATAGATGTTGAGTGCTCCAGTAAACAGTGATTCTCTTTATATCTGATTTTTTTTTTTAAACAGCTAAAATGTAAGTATGTATCTCAGAGTCATTTTGACCATTATGGAAGTTGTATCTCTCTGTTTCATGTAACTAATTATTAATATATTTCATTTTTAGTGTGATGTAATGAGAGACTGTGTGTGTATGTTAGGTGCTCAATAAAAACTGTATGGTTAGATTTAAAGAAGTGGCAAGGCAATGGAAATTCTACCTGCATTTGATCTACTTCCAAGTACACCTTGAATTAAGTTCTTAAACACATCTTGAATTGCTGGGAAAAGACAGAAACTAAGAAGTTGACATAAAGCAAGAGTCACAAACTGGCAGCCACCTGGCCTTATCATTGTTCTATTTGATTTGCACCCTGGTTCTCTTTCTTTTTCCCTTCCTCCCCACCTTCCTCCCATCCATTGTTGAATCTGTGGATGCAGAGCCCACGGATGTGGAGGGGCAACTATATATATGTTTTTCCATTATATATATAAATGTGTGTGTGTGTATATATGTGTGTGTGTGTTGCAACCACTTATTTGGGAACTTGAAGTTAAATCCTCATGGTCATTCCCTTAACAAGGTGAGATCGCTTTATTCTGAATATTTTGGTCCTCCATTTGAAGCATACCATTGCATACTATATTAAAACAACAACTTCATAGTCCTTGCACCCTAAACACCTATGATCTCAACACAAAATTTGTTCATAATCAGTTAAATTCTAATTCTTCAAATAAGAGTAAATCATTACTTTATTATTCTCAACTCTACAAGTTACATATGGTGGCAGACTATAAGTATATAATATAGTTACTTACATGATCCCTACCTCCTGGTATTCTCACCTCTGTGTATTCCCCTTTCTTTGATTATGCGCAGGGCCTGTGAATTGCTTGTAAGCATGGTGGGTACACTATCATCTGAAAGATGTATCTTAGTTTTCCACATTCTGCTGATTGAAAGAAAACCCTGGGTAAGTTCCAATCTTGCTATTCAACAGGACAAGGTTCAAGGCCAAAACAAGAGTCCCAGAAAAGGTCAAGCTAGAAGCAGCAGGGAGTCAGGCCAACCTGAGTAGAAATGAACAATGGAGGCTCTAGGGAAGAATCAATTTCCTTGCCCTTTCCAGCTTCTAGAGCTGTCCACATTCCTTGGCCCTTGGTTTTCTTCCATCTTCGAAGCCAACTATCATCTCATTCCAACCTCTGTTTTTTTTTTTTTTTTTTTGAGACGGAGTTTTGCTCAGTCGCCCAGGCTGGAGTACAGTGGCGCGATCTCGGCTCACTGCAAGCTCCACCTCCCGGGTTCATGCCATTCTCCTGTTTCAGCCTCCCGAGTAGCTGGGACTACAGGCACCCGCCACCACGCCCGGCTAATTTTTTGTATTTTTTTTTTTTTTAGTAGAGACAAGGTTTCACCATGTTAGCCAGGATGGTCTCGATCTCCTGACCTCGTGATCCGCCCGCCTTGGCCTCCCAAAGTGCTGGGATTACAGGCGTCAGCCACCGCGCCCGGCTCCAACCTCTGCTTTTATCATCACATCTCCTTCTCTGACTCCCTCTTTCTTGCCTCGCTCTTTTTTTTACTTAAAAAGACGCTTACAAATACACGGGGCCCATTCAAATAATCCAGGATAATTTTTCAATCTCAAGATCAGTTGGTTAGCCGACTTAATTCTATCTGTAACCTTAATTTCCCATTGAAATCTAATGCAATTTATCCCAATATATTCACAGGTTCTGGGGATTAAGATGTCAACACGGGGCAGGGGTGGGAGAAGTGGGGGCGGCGGGGGGGAAGTGGGAGCATTATTCTGCTTACCACAAGTGGCTACATCCAACAACGTAAACTCCAAAACAAAGGAAAAGGATAAAGAGGGACATTATATAACGAGAGAAGGATCAACTCACAAAAAAGACAACAATCCTAAATGTGAGTGTACCTAACAGTGCAACAAAATACATGAAGCAAAAACCAATAGAATCGAAAGGAGGAATAGATAAATTCGCTATTTTATGTGGAGACTTCAACGTTTCTCTTTCAGTAATAAATAGAAAAAGAAGATAGAAAATCGGTAAGAATATAAAAGACCTGAACAATACTATCAACAAACTTGACCTAATTGACCTTTCTGGAATACTGTATCCTATAACAGCAGAACAGCAGACTACACATTTTCAAATATGCACGGGACATTCACCAATATAGGCCATATTCTGGACCATAAAATGAATTGCAACATATTTAAAATAATTTAAATAATACAAAGTATGTTCTCTGACCATAAAGGATTTAAGTTAGGAATCAATGAAAGAAAGAGATTTGGAAGTTTTCCAAATATTTAGAAATCAACATACTTCTAGATAACCCATGGGTCAGAGAGGAAGTCATAAGGGAAATCAGAAAATATTTTGCACTGAAAAATTATTCTTCTGCCTAGAAGTTTTAAGATTCTCTTTTTTAGGTAGGATTTCATTGTTTTCTATGAGATGCCACTTTTCTTTGAAATACTATAGTGTTTTCACAATGAGATGCCCAGCCAATGAGGTCATGAAATCCATTTAGTGCATTAAAAAAAAAAAAAAAAGGACAAAAGAAAATAGAATACAGGCCGGGTGCACTGGCTCGTGCCTGTACTCTCAGCACTTTGGGAGGCCAAGGCGGGCAGATCATGAGGTCAGGAGTTCGAGACCAGCCTGACCAACATGGTGAAACCCCATCTCTACTAAAAATACAAAAATTAGCCAGGCATGGTGGCACGTGCCCGTAATCCCAGCTACTCAGGAGGCTGAGCCAGGAGAATAGCTTGAACTGGGGAGGCGGAGGTTGCAGTGAACCAAGATGGCACCACTACACTCCAGCCTGGGCAACAGAGGAGACTTCGTCTCAAAAAAAAAAAAAAAAGAAAAGAAAAGAAAATAGAATATAAAATGTCGGGCCGGGTGCGGTGGCTCACACCTGTAATCCCAGCCTTTGGGAAGCTGAGGCAGGCGGATCTCTTGAGGACAAGAGTTTGAGACCAGCCTGGCCAACAAGGTGAAACCCTGTCTGTACTTAAAATATAAAAATTCGCCTGTAATCCCAGCACTTTGGGAGGCTGAGGCAGGCGAATCACCTGAGGTCAGAAGTTCTAAACCAGCGTGACCAACATGGAGAAACCCCAACTTTACCAAAAATACAAAATTAGCTGGGCATGGTGGTGTATGCCTGTAATCCCAGCTACTCGGGAGGCTGAGGCAGGAGAATCACTTGAACCTGGGAGGCAGAGGTTGTGGTGAGCCAAGATCACGCCATTGCATTCCAGCCTGGGCAACAGAGCGAGACTGCAACAACAACAACAAAAAAAGTGGCCGGGCACGGTGGCTCATGGCTCACGCCTGTAATCCCACCACTTTGGGAGGCCGAGACGGGCAGATCACCTGAGCTCAGGAGTTTGAGACCAGCCTGGCCAAGTGGTGAAATCCCGTCTCTACCAAAAATATAAAAATTAGCTGGGCGTGGTGATGGGGGCTTGTAGTCCCAGCTACTCAGGAGGCTGAGGCAGGAGAATCACTTGAACTGGGGAGGTGGAGGTTGCAGTGAGCTGAGATAGTGCCACTGCACTCCAGCCTGGGCGACAAGAGTGAAACTCCGTTTCAAAAAAAAAAAAAAAAAAAAGAATATAAAATGTTGGCCTGGCACGGTGGCTCATGTCTGTAATTCCAGCACTTTGGAAGGCCAGGGCGGGCAGATCGCTTGAGCCCGGGAATTCGAGACCAGCCTAGACAACACGGCAAAACCCTGTATCTACAAAAAATTTAAGAAAAAAAAAAAAAAAAACTTTTGCCAGGCGCGGTGGCTCACGCCTGTAATCCCAGCACTTTGGGAGGCCGAGGCTGGCGGATCACGAGGTCAGGAGATCGAGACCATCCTGGCTAACACGGTGAAACCCCATCTCTACTAACAATACAAAAAATTAGCCAGGCTTGGTGGCGGGCGCCTGTAGTCCCAGTTTCTCAGGAGGCTGAGGCAGGAGAATGGCATGAACCTGGGAGGCGGAGCTTGCAGTGAGCCGAGATCACGCCACTGTGCTCCAGCCTGGGTGAAAGAGCAAGACTCCGTCTCAAAAAGAAAAAAAAAAGGAAAAAAAAACACTTTTGCACTAAAGGAACATAGGACATATCAAAATTTGTCTATTGTAGCTAAAGCATTACTTAGAGATAAATATAGAGCATTAAATGCACATATTAGAGAAGGTAGTGGCAGAGCTAGAACAGAAGCCAGCTCTCCCCAGGCTTTCTACGATACAGCATTGCAGGCGTTTCAGGATGAGAGTTTCTTCACGGCTCTTGGTGGTAAACTGCCAGTTATTCACCCCAAATCTAGTCTCACCTTTTTTTCCCTGAGTGCATGCCACCTAGCCAGATACATTTTCTAGCCTTTCTTGCAGAGAGGTGTGATAAAAATGACCAAATTTTTTCCAAATGCAACTTCAATTTCAATGTGCTTTAAAAGATATTGCTTGCCTTGAACTTTCCTTTCTCCTCTCTAAGAGGTGGGACTTAGATGCTCTTGCAATTCAACTTTAACCATGCAGAGGAATACATTACCCTAGAGGATGACAGTGTAACAAGATGGAAGGAATCTGAGTTCCTGAACAACCTGGTGGAAAACTGCCTCACCACTCTGCATAGGCTAGACCTTTATATGAGAGAAAAACAAAATGTACAATAAATACTCATTATTTGTGGATTCTGTATTTGTGATTTTCCCTACTTGCTAAAATTTATTGGTAACTCCAAAAGCAATACTCATTGTGCCTTTGCAATCATTGGTGGATACACACCTGCAGAGAGTGGTGAAAAATTTGTCATCCAACATGCTTGTTCCCAGCTGAGGTCAAAGAAGGCATCACTCTGCCTTTTTGCTTCAGTTCTAATACTGTAAATAAGTCTCTTTATCATGGTTTATTTAGAGCCACATTTTTTGCACTTTTGTGCTCTTTGTTAGTAATTTCTCAGTTTAAAATGGCCCCCAAACACAGTGCTAAAGTGTTATCTTGTGTTCCTAAGCACAGGAAACTGTGATGTGCTTTAAAGAGAAAATACATGTGTTGCTAAACTTCCTTCAGGCATGAGTCACAGGCATGAGTCACAGTGTTCAACGTTAACGAGTCAACAGTATATATTAAGTAAGGTGTCCTTAAACAGAAAAACCCATAAAACAAATTGTGATTGAATGGTTGATGAAAAATGTTGTGACCAAAGGCTCATAGGAACCTAATCTTCTATATTCCCCAGGAGCAGTGGTTCTGTATTTGCTAAGTCAGTGTTCACACTGACTTTACAGAACATCACTACTGCAAATAGTGAGATTCAACTGTATTTCTTATTTAAGCCCCTGTATTCTGAGATTATCATTTACCTTAACTAATATAAGATTCTAGTGCAGTTCCTGTTAGTCAAAAATACTGTATTTATTGATTCTAAGGTATACTTTGTATCATCAGTGTCCCCATACTGCACACTCAGAAGGGGGTAACTGGAGTTTAATGAAGAAACTATTTACAAGAGTATAGAATAAGGGACTGTACTGGGGTGAATAGGCCTCCAAAGATCCACATCCTTCTCAGAACCCCAAAATGTGACCTTATATTGAAATAGGGTCTTTGTAATTAATTAAGATCAGGTCATACTAAAGCAGGGTAAGCCCCAAATCCATTTTTGACTGGAGTCCTTATAAGAAGAGAAAAGACACAGAGGGGGAAGGCCACGTGAAGAAGGAGGCAGATACTGCAATTATGTATCTACAAGCTGATTAATGCCACAAATTGCCAGCAACCACCAGGACCAGAATAGTCTTAGGAAGGAGTCTTCCCTAGTCTTCATGCAGAGAGAGCATGGCCTTGCTGGCAGCTTGATTCCAGGCTTCTAACCTCCAGAACTGTGAGAGGATAAATTTCCCTTGGTTTAAGCCATGTGGATTGTGGTACTTTGTTAAGGCAGCCCTAGGAAACTAATTCAGGGGCTAATAAGTCACAGTGGGACACCTCGGACTGTAATAGGGAGATGATATTATCAGCCCTGGACCCAAAGCGGGAAGGGCAGGAGTGGCTTCCAGAACCCAGAGAAAGAGAGAGAGATCAAACTCAGAACTGTGGGGGAAAGGGTCTCTCAACAGGAACTATAGTCTTAGGTACCTAAAATGTAACCATTGTCAAAACCTTGGTCTATAGGGAGGGACCCAAGAGAATAAATACCTTAAGCTCTCTCTCCAGCTACCCTCCGACCTTCTGTTTCCCCTTTCCATGGACTGAACCTGATTAGAAGCCAGAGACAAGGGCATCTGGGTGCTACAGTGCTTAGTGGTCAACCTTCTGGGCCCAGAGCAGGGTAGATGGAGAAGGGTGGAGAGTGCATCTGTAGGAACAAAGACTATTCGGCACATGTTTTCTCCCTCACATTTACATCTGAGGTCATCTTATAATCAATGGCATGTCATCGTTTAATTGGTAGTATCTTTGTTTTTTGTTTTGATACAGAGTCTCACTTGCTCACCCAGGCTGGAGTGCAATGGCGCAATCTCGACTCACTGCAACCTCGGCCTCCCGGGTTCAAGCGATTCTTGTGCCTTAGCCTCCCAAGTAGCTGGGACTTCAGGCATACGCCACCATGCTCGGTTAATTTTTGTATTTTTAGGAGAGATGGGATTTTGCCATGTTGGCCAGGCTGGTCTTAAACTCCTGACCTCAAGTGATCTGCCTGCCTTGGCCTCCCAAAGTGCTGGGATTACAGGTGTGAGCCACCACACTCGGCCAATATCTTTTTACTTCTTAGTGCTACATTAAAAATGGCATGTATTATAACTGATAGAGTCTCAGGCTCAATAAAATACATTAATAAAAGTAATGTTGGTTATTCAGGATTGACAGAAATATAGACATATGAGACCCTGTTCTTTGTGTCCTGTCCAGGGAAGGGAACAGGAGTAATAAGTGAAGAATATTAACAGTGCAACTCAGATGACAAATGAATACTTTACAACTGAGTATGTACAGGTTTGGCTGATCTGTTGAGGACTGGACCAGAGGGTGTGCCCATGGCCCATAGCATGAATATGACACTGGACCAGTATCACTGCTGCTCATTTCTGGTCAGACTATAGCATTATGTCCCATTCTAGGGCAAAGAGAAATATAGAAACTCTGAAGAGTATTCATAGGAAAGCCACAAAGATGTAATGTCTTTGAGGAAAGGTATATCGCAGTGGGCCCTCTAGGAATCAGCTGGCAGGAGGTACAGGGGGAAATGAATGTAGGGGGGAAAGGGAAGAGGGAGAGAACCTGAGTCAGGTGCAGGGCAAGTAGGAGGAAGGAGGATAGGGTAGGAAGAAACTTAGCTCTGTGCAGCTCAGAAAATCTCAGCTGTGCTAGTGGGGACACCCAGAACAGAGACTGCTCATTGGAGGAGGCTCACATTGGACAGGCCTCATTGGACAGGAATGACCTGGTTCTAGATCTCCCATGAGCACAGTCATTGGCTGGGAGTGTCCCAAAGAGACTATGCTCTTGGTGAGAATACTGTGGTGGATTCTGAAGTTGCTGCTGCCGGACATGGTCAGCTAGCTACACTCCTCACAGAGGCACTCGCTCAAAGGGAGATTTGAGCAGTGTACTCCCCAGCGCACTCCCCATAGCTACCACAAATTATTAAAAACAGACTAAAGCTTTGGTTTGGCTGGGGCATTATTTGGGTGTTTTTTCCTCCCATTATCATAAAAATGATTATAGGCAAATTCTACTAAGAGTATGCGTGATGGAGACCAACATGCCTGAGTTCAAATCTTGGTATTACCACTACCCAGCTCTGTGACCTTGGACAATTCATTTCATCTTTTTGAGCCTCAGTTTTCTTATCTGTAACGTAGAGTTGTTGAGAGGATTAAAAGAGATGCTCATGTAAAGCTCAATGTCTGGCATGTTGTAAGCATGTAATAAATACATCGTTAGGGCTCCAATTTCCTTTAGTATACCAATAAAGACATCTAAAGGTAATTTTCAGTCTTAAAGAGCACATATGCAAAATGGTGATCAGCAACTCTCCATCTCAGCTGGGGGCAGCATAAAAAGAAAGAAGCAGCTGGGTGCGGTGGCTCAAGCCTGTAATCCCAGCACTTTGGGAGACCGAGGCGGGCAGATCATGAGGTCAGGAGATCAAGACCATCCTGGCTAACACGGTGAAACCCCATCTCTACTAAAAATATAAAAAATTAGCCTGGCGTGGTGGCGGACACCTGTACTCCCAGCTACGTGGGAGGATGAGGTGGGAGAATGACATGAACTCGGGAGGTGGAGCTTGCAGTGAGCCAAGATCACGCCACTGCACTCCAGCCTGGGTGAAAAAAAAAAAAAAAAAAAGAAGCAAGAAATCTGTAGTTACAGAAGAGAGAATTGTCTGATGATGAGAGCTATACACAGTACTCCTATCCCTAATGTGGAAGCATGTGGGCTTGTAAGACCTCCTTCCATGTGTAGGACTTGAAAGGAGATGAGACTGCATCTGTCCAGGAGTTCATATGTGGTCTCGCAGGCGAGGGGACCACAGCTGACCTCCCAGGTCCATGGCTTTCTTATAACTTCAAAGAACAATTTTCTTTCGTTCCTGGCTAAAGAAGCTGTAATGCTTACAGCTGCAGGGCTTTGGTGAACTTACCCCGAGTTTTGTCCCTCTTGTGACCTCTGGTTCACCACATTCAAACTTTTCCCCATTACAAAATTTAAAAGCAGCCATGAAAGCAGGCCACAGTCCTCCTCTCCCTTTTAAAGCAAGATGCCTACTTTGGCCATATTAAAATTACTGAGCGGTTGTCATATACAGACAAGTAGTTTAAAATATAATGAAATATATCATTAATAATAGCCACACAAGGTAAAATATACTGAATCACTCAACAAGAAATATGCATGAGGTATATGAAGAACACAGAAATACTTCTGAGAGCAGAAAAAAAGATTCAAATAAATGAAAACATGGATTTATTATGATTATTAGATAAGAAACCTTAGTGTTTAAATAAGTGTCAATTCCCTCTGGATGAATGTATACAATTAAATATGGTTACAATAAAACAATAGCAATAGGATTTTGAGAGTGTGAGAACTAGGCAACCTGACTCTAACGTTCCAATGGAAAACCTAGGTAAATTGGGGGGCTGGAGGGATGCAAAGTTGTATGTTTCAGAGACAGAGAGGAAAAAAAGAATGCTTTCATTAAGGCGTACAACATAAAATGGCTAAGTACAGACTCTCCCAAAGAAACATTGACAATACAGTGAAAAACAACGTAAATGGCCTTGGGGGGCTCTTTCTAGGTAGCCACGGGGACTCTCTGTAAAAGACCGGAAGCTTGGAAACAACACTTCAGTTGATAGTTGCTGCCTTTGAGCTGGGTGGTCATGTGATCGTGGTAGGGCTGAAGACCCCAAACCTTTGATCCGTATGTTCTTTGTTCCCGTGCACAATGATTACAATGAGAAAGATTATCCTCCGAATCAAGACAGGGATAAGGCCCTTGTGCCTTGATTTTAAGATGTGCAGAGAGAGATGAAAGAAACACTGCCAGTGTGGAATCCCCACAAGGGTGAGATGTCAAAGTTGATGCTTAACGATGGGTAGGTATTCCTTGGCTATTTTACAGGATAAAAATAGTTATCAGCATTTAGAGGCAGCTATTTACTCTCCTTTCTCCTCCTCCTCCTCCTCCTTCTTCTTTTTTTTTCTTTTCTTTTTTTTTTTTTGAAATGGAATCTTGCTCTGTCGCCCAGGCTGGAGTGCAGTGGCACAATCTCTGCTCACTGCAAGCTTCTGTATTAGTCTGTTTTCATGCTGCTGATAAAGACATACCAGAGACTGGGAAGAAAAAGAGGTTTAATTGGACTTACAGTTCCATATGGCTGCCGAGGCCTCAGAATCATGGCGGGAGGCAAAAGGCACTTCTTACATGGCAGCAGCAAGAGAAAATGAGGAAGATCCAAAAGCGGAAACCCCTGATAAACCCATCAGATCTCGTGAGACTTATTCGCTACCACAAGAACAATAGGGGAAACTGCCTCCATGATTCAAATTATCTCTCACCAGGTCCCTCCCACAACAAGTGGGAATTAGAGGAGTACAGTTCAAGATGAGATTTGGATGAGAACACAGAGCCAAATCGTATCAGCTTCCCACTGCAGGACTGGCATCAATATCTGGCTCCTTCACCGGTGATGATAGTGGGCACAACTCTCTTCATTGGTCAGAATCTCCTTTGCCTTCTGCGGTTTCTGAACAGTCTCCATTGCTTTGGAATTTTCAGATGCTTGTTGGGGTGGCATTCCACAGCTCTGAACTTAAATTCTGCCAGGATTTGTTCAACAGTTCTGGTGGCTGGGAAGTCCAAGATCAAGGCACTGGCAGATTCAGTGTCTCGTGAGGGCCTGCATCCTTATAGATGGCTCTCTTCTCATTGTAACTTCACAAGGCGGAAGGGGTGCTTTAGCAGCATTTAAAAGGCACTAATGTTGTGTGCATGAAAGTGGCTGTAAGGTCAGTTTTGATACATATTTCATCAAGATGTGACATCCCCAGCCAGATCCAGAAAATATTGCATGCAACCTTTGAATTATTCCAAAGAATTGCATGGCTATTGACACAGCTGAGGCCATGTCTCCTGAAATAAATTCAAACTATGCACTGTGCTGTCCAATAGGGCAGCCACTAGACACATGAGGTATTGAGCATTGGAAATGTGGATAGTATGAAACGAGATGTGCTGCAAACATAAAATACACACTAGGTTTCAAAAGAGGAATGTAAACTATCTCATTAAATAAAAAATATTAAAATATATGTATATATATGTATGCTCTTATATATATGTGTGTGTATATATGTGTATATATATATCTCTCTTAAGATGGAGTCTCACTCTGTTGCCCAGGCTGTCGTGCAATGGTGCAATCTCAGCTCACTGCAACCTCTGCCTCCCAGCTTCAAGCGATTCTCCTGCCTCTAGCCTCCCGAGTAACTGGGATTATAGGCACGATCCACCACGCCCAGCTAACTTTTGTATTTTTAGTAGAGATGAGGTTTCACCGTGATGGTCAGGCTAGTCTCAAACTCCTGACCTCAAGTGATCTGTCCACCTCGGCCTCCCAAAGTGCTGGGATTACAGGCGTGAGCCACTACGTGCCGCCAAAAATTTAAAAATATTGATTGCATGTTGAAGTGGTAATATTTTAGATATATTAGATTTAATAAAATAAATTGTTAATCTCACCTGTTTATGTGTTTTTAGTGTAACTACTTGAAAATTTAAGGTTGGGTGCGGTGACCCATGCCTGTAATCCTAGCACTTTAGGAGGCAAGATGGGTGGATTGCTTGAGCCCAGGAGTTTGAGACCAGCCTGGCCAACATGATAAAATCCTATCTCTACAAAAAATACAAAAATTAGCTGGGCATGGCCGTTCATGCCTGTAGCCTCAGCTACTTGAGAGGCCAAGGTGGGAGGATCACCTAATCCAGGTAGGTTGAGGTTGCAGTGAGCCATGATCAAGCCACTGTACTCCAATGAGATCCTGTTTCAAAAAAAAAAAGAAAAGAAAATTTAAAATTACATGTGTGGCTTGCATTATATTTCTGTTGGACAGTGCTAGTGTAGAGCACAAAGAATGCTTCTGGATTTTTGGCCAAAAGTCTGGATGTACATTTTTCTCTTTACCAAAGGTGTTAGCACCATTATAAGCCTGCCCTCAGCAATGTTCTAAATCAGTGCCTACAACTAAAAGGTTTGCTTCTTTTTTCAATTCTTTAGGCAACAGGTTTTGAGTTAAAACCTGTACTTTTTACCATAGGCATGAAACTAATGAAACACCAATTTTGATTTTCTTGTTTTCTTCTGCCAGTTCAACATACAAAGAATAAGTGTTAGTTGTTCAACATGCCTTTTGTTCTTGTTACAAACTAGTTGAACTATCACTTTCTAAAATTATATGTATGATTTTCAACCTAAATGCCCATCAATGACAGATTAAACAAAGAAAATGTGGTACATATACACCATGGAATACTATACAGCCATAAAAAGAATGAGATCATGTCTTTTTCAGGGACATGGATGGAGCTGGAGGCCATTATTCTAGTGAACTAACGCAGGAACTGTAGCGTCCAGCTCTATGGGGCTCAGCAGGTGTTCTCCCCGTGTGCAGAGACGAGAGATTGTAATAAATAAAGACATAAGACAAAGAGATAAAGAGAAAACAGCTGGGCCCCGGGGACCACTACCACCAAGATGTGGAGACCGGTAGTGGCCCCGAACGGCTGGGCGCGCTGATATTTATTGTATATAAGACAAAGGGGGCAGCGTAAGGAGGACTAATCTTATAAGTGATTGAGAAGGTGAAGCAAGTCACATGATCATAGGACAGGGGTGCTTTCCCTTTTATGTAGCTGAAGGAGAGAGAGAAGGCAGCATACGTCAGCATTTTCTTCTATGCACTTATAAGAAAGATCAAAGACTTTAAGACTTTCACTATTTCTTCGACCGCCATCTACTACGAACTTCAAAGAGGAACCGGGAGTACAGGAGGAACATGAAAGTGGACCAGGAGCGTGCGCATTGAAGCACAGCACCACAGGGAGGGGTTTAGGCCTCCGGATGACTGCGGGCAGGCCTGGATAATATTCAGCCTTCCACAAGAAGCGGGTGGAGCAGAATGTTCCCTGACTCCTCCAAGGAAACGAGACTCCCTTTCGCGGTCGCCTAAGTAATGGGTGTCTTCCCAGACACTGGCATTACCACTTGACCAAGGAGCCTTCAAGCGGCCCTTATGCGGGTGTGACAGAGGGCTAACCTCTTGCCTTCTAGGTCACTTCTCACGATGTCCCTTCAGCACCTGACCCTACACCCGCCGGTTATTCCTAGGTTATATTAGTAATACAACAAAGAGTAATATTAAGAACTAATGATTAATAATGCTTATAATAATGATTGATAATTATCCATGATCATCTCTATATCTAATTTGTATTATGACTATTTTTATTCTAACTATTTTCTTTATTATACTGAAACAGTTTGTGCCTTCAGTCTTTTGCCTCGGCACCTAGGTAATCTTTCGCCCACAAGGAACAGAAAAGCAAAACTACATGTTCTCACTTATAAATGGGAGCTGAGCGATGAGAACACATGAACACAAATAGGGGAACAACAGAAACTGAGGCCTTTTTGAGGGTGGAGAGTGGGAGGAGGAAGGGGAGCAGAACTATTGGGTACTAGGCTTAGCACCTGGGTGACTAAATAATCCACACAACAAGCCCTTATGACACAAGTTTACCTATATAACGAACCTGCACATGTACCGGCAAACCTAAAATAAAAGTTAAACAAAAATAAATAAAATTATATGTTTTTTTCTCCTACTTTATTGTCCATTAAATTAATAGTTTCATTTTGACTTCTTCATCCACATGGTAATCTTTTATTATTTCTTAACTATCTTCCATGTTTGGCTGTTCTAGTTTTAGCTTTTGAAACCATTTTTACTAAATCTAGAAATTTCCCATTATTTCTGTAAATATTGTGCTGTTAATACCATGAAAAGTGCCATTGTGTTTGGCTAAGTATTGAACATTTATTATTATTTTAGGAATATTATATCAATGTTTTTTATATTGGCTTTTAGTTGTTATTGTGGAATACTGTCAATTGCTGTTTATTCAGCTTTTTTTTTTTTTTTTTTTTGCAGTTCCAGTGATTCATGTGATCCTTTTATGCACAAGTGATAGTCATTTTCCTTTAATAGAGAACCTAAATGTGTCCTTTCACAAGTCTCTTCACTGGCCAAAGCTAATCATGAAGATAGTTGTGAAACATGAGAGTAGCTGCAGAACTTTGGCTTTGTGCTTAGCATATAAAAATGTCTAGTTTCTCCATCTGAAGGAATTTTGATGGAAAATGAAATATTAAACTTTCTGCCAAGCTGGGTGCGATGGTTCACACCTGTAATCCCAGCACTTTGGGAGGCCGAGGCAGGTGGATCACTTGAGGTCTGGAGTTCAAGACCAGCTTGGCCAACACGGTGAAACCTCGTCTCTACTAAAAATATAAAAATTGGCCGGGTGCAGTGGCTCACACCTGTAATCCCAGCATTTTGGGAGGCTGAGGCCGGCAGATCACGAGGTCAGGAGATCGAGACCATCCTGGCTAACATGGTGAAATCCCGTCTCTACTAAAAATACAAAAACAAAATTAGCCGGGCGTGGTGGTGGGTGCCTGTAATCCCAGCTACTCGGGAGGCTGAGGCAGGAGAACGGCGTGAACCCGGGAGGCGGAGCTTGCAGTGAGCCGAGATCATGCCACTGCACTCCAGCCTGGGCGAGAGAGGGAGACTCTGTCTCAAAAAAAAATATATATATATACGTAGATATATGTATATATTATATATACATGTATATATGTATATATTATATGTACATGTATATATGTATATATTATACGTACATATATGTATATATATTACATACATATATACGTATATATGTATATATGTGTATATATATGTATATATGTGTGTGTATATATATATGTGTGTGTGTGTATGTATATATATATATATATATATACACACATATATATATATAAATTAGCCAGGCATGGGGGCACGCACCTGTAATCCCAGCTACTTGGGAGGCTGAGGCAGGAGAATCACTTGAATCCTGGAGGCAGAGGTTGCAGTCAGCCAAGATGGCACCACTGCACTCCAGCCTGGGCCACAGAATGAGACTCCATCTCAAAAAATAAAAAAATAATAAAAGTCGTAATGCAAGAATCTACTGCATTCCTAGTATCAGAGAGGAAGGACATGACAAGTTTACCCTTTCTCATTCCCAAGGATTTCTGCCGACCAAGTTCATCATGCTCTGGAGTAATTCAGTTGCCAACATCGGGAGCAGTCACCTGCAGTCCCTTTTGTTTTGAGAACATTGGACAAGAAATATGGAGAAGAATTTCCCTGGGGACTAAACAGTATGGCCAGGTCGTGTTGTACTGGCAGACCCAAGCCCTCCCAAATGATGGACGAACTTTTGTGCTCTTTAATATTTTTTTTGTAAATGTGTTTGTGATATGCAGGACCCTCTCCAGAGCAGGCTTAGGCAGTGGCCCTTCTCATCTGGCCATAAGGGTAGTACTGCTCCTCTTAAAAGCTTGTGCTACTGTCATGAGCATGAAGGATGCACACACACTGACTCATTACCCTTGTGCAAGGTCACCTCTGACCTTTACTGCAGCCTTTTCCCAGGCACCAACCCCTTAGATAGGGCCAGGAAGCCTGGAACTGGCACTGACTTAAAACAGAGAGGAGCTGTATTCTACCCACATGCCTAAGAATGAAATCTCCAAAGGCCACTGCTTTGTTTTCCAACTTGTATGAAATCTAAATAGTGCTCCAAAATGAAATCCTTGTGCCTCCAGAATTGTAACACATATACTTGTTTTAAAGTCTTTATCATAAAAGCAAAACAAAACAAAACAGAACAAAACAAACAAAACAGAACAAAACAAACAAGGAAGAAACAGCCAGGCATGGTGACTCACACCTGTAATCCCTGCACTTTGGGAGGCCAAGGAGTGGAGGATCACTTGAGGCCAGGAGTTCAAGACCAGCTTGGGCAACATAGGAAGATCCTGTCTCTAAAGAAATAAAAAAAATTTTAAAAATTAGCCAAGTGTAGTGACATGTGCCTGTAGTCATAGCTACTTGGCAGGATCACTTGAGCCTAAGAGTTAAAGGCTGAAGTGAACTATGATCATGCCACTGAACATCAGCCTAGGTGACAGAGCCAGATGCTGTCTTGAAAAAACAAAAAAACAAAACAACTCAACAATAATAATTCTTATCATTTTTTTTAATTTACAAAGCATTTTTTGTACATCCTCTTCTTATCTACCTCATCTGATGGCATTTTGTGAATGAGAAAAGAGGTTCGGAGACATTCAGTGACTTCTCCAAGGACACAAAACAGAGCTGAAACTTGAACCAAGGTCTTTCCAATACAGCATAGCTGTCTCATCATCAGGCCATAGACCTTGAACATCCTCCACCAAATACTTCAGTCCTTTAGTCTCTGTTAATCCGTTGTTTCTGCTCAGCCAGAATGCCTTTCTACCAGTCCCAAATTCATAGCCTTCCACATGCATCAGAGCTTCTGCCTTAATGAGGAGGAGCCACTTTCCATGCTTTTGTTAGACAGAGGGGCCTAATCCCTTCCATCTTTGCCTGCAGACTCCATCACGGTAACTCTGGCTAACATAAAGATGTGCCTGATGAATCATCACCTTCTTTGTAAGATGATGGTGCCAGCCTCTATGGGCAGACCCAAAGTCAGTTCATGATGATGCTTAGACCTGTCTACCACAAAATGAGAAAAACAAGGACAATATAGTGAATTTTGGTAGCACTGAATTGATCAGATTAAGGATTATTCTTTATTCTGTGATTATGTCCTTTTTTTTTTTTTTTGCAGGGGTGGAGGCAGGTGGGTTTAAAATATCCTTTTTTTTTTTTAATAAAATGATGATGCTAGTATTATAGATGGTAGTTTGAAAAGTTTAATGTCTTCACTTGGCAAAGTATCAAAGTGGCAACCTTATGTCTTTCCCCAAAATGTCTTAGAAGGTTTTATTAGTCTTGGAATTCTAGACATCTGAGAACTACTGGCTTGGGGGATGATTTAATATTTTCTGACTCCCTAGAGTGTCACCAGTGGTGTTCTATGCCTCAGTGAGGTAGTAGCTGATATGGGTTTCCTAAATGACATTTAGTGAAAATATTGGCCTCGTGCTTAATATAGGCACATGAGTGTCACCACTTTCTACCAAACGACTTATGAAAATAGTGGCACAGTAAAGTAATCTGATGTATGGAAATACCTCCCAATTTTACAGGCTCTTCACGTATTAAATAAAGGGAGGGCTCTGGAGAAGCTAAAAGTCTCAAAGGTAGTATGTCGTACTGAGCAGGGATCCCCAACCTCCGGGTTGAGCTTGGCCTGTTAGGAACTGGGCCGCACAGCAGGAGGTGAGTGGCCAGCGAGTGGGCATTACCGCCTGAGCTCCACCTCCTGTCAGAGCAGCGGAGGCTTAGATTCTCATAGGAATGAGAACTATTGTGAACTGTGCATGCGAGGGATCTAGGCTGAGTGCTCCTTATGAGAAATTAACTAGTGCTTGATGATCTGAGATGGGACAGTTAGTTTCATTGTCTTCCACAAAACCGGTCCCTGGTGCCAATAAGGTTGGGGACCACTGAGAATGTAGACTATGGAGTCAGATAACCAACGTTCAAGACCCAGTGATGTCTTGCCATGTCACACTTAGGAGACAAATTACTTATCCTAAGTCTCAATTTTCTCATCTTTAAAATGGAAGTAATACTAATGATGCTAACTTTATAAGACTGTTCTGAGGATGACATATGTATAAAGCACTTAATATAGTGTTTGCTGTATAGCTAGCACTTGATAGACATTTGTTATAGATAGGCGTGGAGAAAAAGGCAATGGGGTTAGAGGGAAAGAATTCCGAGGTCCACATATGGGATAAGAAGAGCAACAGGGCTTGTGAAGATTTAAATTTTTTTTATTTTTATTTTTGAGAGGGAGTCCCGCTCTGTTGCCCAGGCTGGAGTGCTGTGGTGCAATCTCAGCTCACCACAACATTCGCCTCCTGGGTTCAAGTGTCCCCTGCCTCAGCCTCCCAAGTAGATGGGATTACAGGCACCCACCACCACGCCCGGCTAATTTTTGTATTTTTAGTAGAGATGGAGTTTCACCATGTTGCCAGGCTGGTTTCAAACTCCTGACCTCAAGTGATCCACCCACCTCGGCCTCCCAAAGTGCTGAGATTACAGCGTGAGCTACCACACCCAACCTAAAAATGTTTTTAATTGTCATCTAACAAGAGAAAAGAGAATGGTTAGGCTGGGTGCGGTGGCTCATGCCTGTAATCCCAGCACTTTGGGAGGCCGAGGCTGGCGGATCATGAGGTCAGGAGATCGAGACCATCCTGGCTAACACGGTGAAACCCCATCTCTACTAAAAATACAAAAATTAGCCGGGCTTGGTGGCGGGTGCACCTGTAGGCCCAGCTACTCGGGAGGCTGAGGCAGGAGAATTGCTTGAACCTGGGAGGCGGAGGTTGCAGTGAGCTGAGATTGCGCCACTGCACTCCAGCCTGGGCGACAGAGCGAGACTCCATCTCAAAAAAAAAAAAAAAAAAAAAAAGAAGAAGAAAAGAGAGTGTTTTAATTTGGGTTTGGGCAGGGCTGTTGTAAAGCAGCAGAAAATCATCAAGATCTAAACGGGAGGTAAGAAAAAATGAAAAGACTAAATGTCTTTATTTATGGGACATTTGACTCTGGAAGAGAAATCCTGGGAAAGGGGGTTTTATTGCATCAGACCCCCGACCAGGGAAGCAAATGTGGTCTGCTTAGGAAACCTCCCTTTTTTTGTGTGTACCAGAAGCTCAGCAACAAATAATTTCCCTCAAAAGCCTGGTTTTTAAATGTGCTAACTAGACACAGTTCTAGAATAACTACAGCCCCCAAATTTAAATTCCAGAAATATGCTATACAGGCTGAAAATAATTAAAATTTAAAACAAAATTATCATAAAAAGCAAATAACATAACGAAATGCAATGCATGAATCTTTAACATATTCTGGATTTAAAAAAAATTTTAGTTAAAAGGCATTTTGGGAAAAATAAGAAAATTTAAATGAGGACTATATTTTAGGAGATATTAAATTAGCGTTGATTTTCTTAGGTGTGATAAATGGTGTTGTTGGTACATAAGAAAATGTACTTATTCCTAGTTGCTGCATGTGAATTATTTTGGGGCAAATTGTCATGAGGTCTGCAATTTCCTTTCAAATAATGCAGGAGAGAGGAATCTCTCTATACAGACAAAGGATAGAGCGAGTAGGGCAAAATGCTAAGAAGTGAATTTAGGTGAAGAATCTACAGGTGTTAATTGTATTACTGCACTACACGTTCAACTTTTTTGTAGATTTGCATATTTTCTACATTAAAAGTTTGGAGAAAAGCTAACTGGATCGCGCCTCCACTTACAAATATAAAAAAGTCTTAGCGAAGGGAAGAAAAGTGAAAGAGACAGGGTTCTGCTTCGGTTTCCCCACGTGCAAAGGTGTGGAGGAGGCTGCAGTTTTAAGCGCTTGCCTGGGCGCTGGCTACCTTCTTCTGGCCTCGGTGCGGTGACTTCCAGCAAGGGAAGCCACCTACGTTGCACTGGCTTCGTGGGCTCCACGATTATCTTAAAATGTTTTCTAAATTATTTGAATTGCGATGAGACTATGTGGTTCTGGGGAAGGTAAACATGGCGATTAAATAGTGAGATTTTTAAAAATAACACCAAAAGAGTCACGCGTGCACGTGGAGGAATGTGAACGTGGCGAGTGGCAGCACCGCCCGCGGGGAGATAGATGCTCCGGGCACCGGTGGAGCTGTGAGGGCCCCGGGCTCCGGGCGCTGCGCGATGCTGCGATGCTCCGGGCGAAGCTCCCGGCGCGCACAGGGTTAACGCCGGGCGAGGGGACCGCGCGTCCTCTGCCCGCCCACATTCCTCCGCTGAATGGAGGCGGTGGTCTGATGCCGGTGGGGTGATTTCGCCCCTCGGCGTCCGACCTTCCCACTGGCCAGGCCCGCGCCCCTCCCGGGCCGGCCCTGAGCTCCGCAGTCACGTTACCTTCCCCGCTATTCACGCGGCCCTGGGGTGTTACAAAGAGAGACATTAAGAAGTCTGTGGGCATCGCAGGGGCCCGGAACGTGGGGACAATTACCGTGGCTCTGAAGGCCCCTGTCTCCCAGCCTTGTAATCTGACCCCTGCGATGATGTTACAGGGGCCCCTCTGTTTGCAGATTTGTTTCTTTGTCTTAATTTTGGCAATAAAGTGAGCTACAACTTCAGAAATGTGTGTGTGCCCTTTCATTAAATCCGCATTAACCAAACAAAAAGGAGACACTTTCATTGATTTGCCTTTGTCTAATTTATGAAGCATATTTTACAAAATATAAACCTTTTTAATAATAGGGAGAAAATCAGGTTTTAGGTCTATGGAGACCTAAATGAAAATACATGTTTTCACAAATAATGCTCCAGAACGAAGTCTAATCATTTAACCTTCTCTTGAGATTAACCACATTGTGGGATTTTTTATTTGACAGCTTCAGCTGGCACTGTTTTTAAAAAATCTTATAAAATATATAAAAAATAAAAAAGAGGCCAGGTGCGGTGGCTCACCTGTCATCCCAGCACTTTGGGAGGCCGAGGCGGGCGGATCACTGAGGCGGGCGGATTAGGTGGGCGAGACCAGCCTGACCAGTGTGATGAAACCCCATCTCTACTAAAAATACAAAAATTAGCTGGGTGTGGTGGCATGCCCCTGTAACCCCGGCTACTCAGGAGGCTGACGCAGGAGAATCGCTTGAACCTGGGAGGCAGAGATTGCACTGAGTAGAGATGGTGCCATTGCACTCTAGCCTGGTAACCAGAGCGAAACTCCATCTCAAAATAAATAAATAAATAAATAAATAAATAAATAAAATAAATATAGTAAAGCATAAAAGAGGCCAGGGGCAGTGGCTGACGCCTGTAATCCCAGCACTTTGGGAGGCCAGGTGGATAGATGGTTTGAGGTCAGGAGGTCTAGACCAGCCTGGCCAATATGGGAAAACCCTGTCTCTACTAAAAATACAAAAATTAGCTCAGTGTGGTGGCGCTCACCTGTAATTCTAGCTACTGAGGAGGATGAGGAATGAGAATCGTTTGTGCCTAGGAGGTGGAGGTTGCAGTAAGCTGAGATTGCCCCACTGCACTCCAGCCTGGGCAACAGAGCAAGACTCTGTTTCAAAAGAATAAATACATTAAATTAAAAGAGTGTAAATGCTTCACTTTTATTACATGACTCAATGACCATAAAAATTAGAGACAGTGTGATTAAGTGGGCGTCAGTCCATTTTATGTTGCTATAACAGAAAACCCAAGACTGGGTAATTTATAAAGAACAGAGATTTATTTCCTACAGTTCTGGAGGCTGAAAAGACCAAGATCTGGCAACTGCGTCTGGTTGGCTTCCAGTGCGGGTCCCATGCGGCAACATCACATGGCATAAGGCATCATAGGGCAAGGGGGGTGGGGGTGCACTGAGACCCAAACTGGCTTTCATAACAGACTTACTCTCATGATAACTAACCCACTCCTGTGATAACCCACTAAGCTATTCATCCATCAATGGATTAATCCATTCATGAGGGCAGAGCGCTTCTGACCCTAATCCACCTCTTAATATGGTTATATTGGGGATTAAGTTTTAACATGAATTTCAGAGGGGACAAACATTCAAACCATAGCAGCATGCAAAACAAAATGACATTTATTATTACTAGAGAAAGTAAATTAGCATGCACAGAAAGAGTGAAAGGAAATGTCCAAGGAGAATGTGAATTTACTCCTTCAATTAGTACTTCAAGGGCTCATGATGAGCCAGGCTCTGGAGAATGAGCGGGCCATTGGTCCTGCCTTCAGGGATGTCCCATTCAACCAGAGGAAGAGTGTTGAATCAAGTGGTCCATATCACCAAGGCCAAGTACCAGGTGCTGCAGGAGCCCCTCAAGGAGCGATACTCCACGGGTTCGGGGTCACAGCTGTGTGAAGACGGGGGAAGAAGGAGAATTCCGGCAGGTTTCCTGAAGGAAGAAATGCTAAACTGAAACCTGAAGAAAGAGCGGAAGTTAGGCCAGTGGGTCTCCAACACTGCTGGACGTTGGAATCACCTGGGGAGCTTTAAAAAACTCCCCACAATCAAATCATAATGTCTAGCGTGAGAGTCTGGGATCAGAATTTTCCAAAAAACATTCCAGGTGATTCCAATGAACAGCAAAGTTTGGGGAATTACTAAGGCAAAGGGAGGGAAGCTAAGGTTTTTAGGTTTTCTCAAGGAAAACACTTGGCCAGCAGGCATGGTGCAGGTGCTAGGATATAATTGTTCTTTGATTCGTCCTTCTGCTTCTCACTGCCCTGCCTCTAGTAAGCACTCAGGAATGTTTACTGATACTGGAACAAAAGCTAATAAAAATTTAGATGTATCCAAAAACCAGTCCTTCCTCAAGAATGTCTTTTAGCACTCACTGTTGATGAGTTAGGGTCTAAAATGTATAATGGCAGGCTCTCACAGAAGGACATAAAATCCAGCATTTTGGCAGCTAGGGGAAAAAAATCCCTCTTCTCTCAATTCCTGTTCTCCATCTTCAGTCATTGCTATAATTGTAACTTCACAGGCAACCATCCAAGCAATTTTGTTTCTATCTTCAAATGGCTTCCCCCTCTTTATTAAAAAAAAGCGCAAGGCCTGCCAAAATTCAGAGTATTTTAATTATGAAAGGTCAAGAACAGCCTAAACAAGAGGCCACAAAAGAAAGAATATTCCTGCTGGTGAAGGGAGACAAGGTATGGGGGCTGGAAGCAAGGGCCCTCCCTCTACCCGGGGGCCACATTTTATGCCTGCTGCTCTCAGAGAGCAGGATTTGCCCATCACTGTCTCCTGGCTAAGCACACTTTGACATTCTGCTCTGTAATGTACCTTGGCATGAAATGGCCTCTGGCAATTTATCTCCTGCTTTAAATGGTAATTTCAAGCCTACAGGGTCTTTAAATGGGAAACGGGAAAGAAAACCTCTTTTAATCCAGGCTGAGGCAGCCTGCATTTTCATTAGCTCACAGACCACAGGGTAGGAACTCCTTTTCTAGGAGAAGACGGGTCTCTGACATTCTAAGAGATCTATTGAAGCTCAGACTAAGAACATGATGTCACACCACTCAAGCAGCGCCCCAGGGAGCAACATCCCCACGTTGGCTCTATCTTATTATATTCACCTCTAGGGACCTTTACATCTCTCCGTAGGAAAGCAGGAAGGGAAATGCAAAATGGATTCTGTCTTATTGGTCCTCCCCTGAAGCACTAGGTCCAACTGTGACCCCATGGGATTAGCAGGGGGAGTTTTGTGACTTAGATTCAAGCCACAAAAGCTCTCTCAAATGCCGGAGACTCCACGGGGACCAGGCAGGGAACGGGGTGTGGCCGGAGAGGACTTTTTTCATTAGTCCTGGATCACACACAGGCGGTAAGGTGTCTGTGCCTCTGAAGCCAACCCGTAATGCATGATCAGCACAAAGCCCTGAGCAGTGGAAGCTGACCTAACATGACGCAAAGCCTGTTGACAAGGAAGCAGAGCGTGTTTCGTGGAATGTAAGTGTGGGTTTTGAAGCAGGCTGTCCAAGTCTCGCTAGGAGCTGTCGCCGAGCCCTGAAAATCAGTCAGGCTTTTCCAAATATCTTTCCTCTTGGGCACAGTGAGGTCACGCCTCCTCACATTTATATGCCGTTTCTAGTCTGCCAAATGTTTTCACAGACATTACCTCATCTGAGCCTCTTAGCCCCTCTTCCAGTCGCCAGGGCATATGTGATTATTCTCCCTCTTTTAGCAGCATGGGAAACTGAGGCTCAGAGGGAGTAAATGACATGGGGGGAAAGAGCTGCCCTCTTGAGCCCAGAGCTGACTCTAAAGTGCTTTCTATCCACTGGAATTCTTCAAGTCTGGGCTGAATGTTACTTGTATCTGAACCACCAAGGAAGTTCAGGAAAAATATAGATTTCTGGGCCCCACTCTGACCTTCTGAAACTGACCCTCTGGGCAACACTCAGGAACCTTTTTTTTTTTAGAGATAGGGTCTCACTCTGCCACTTGGGCAGGAATGCAGTGGCAGGATCATAGCTCACTGCAGTCTTGAACTCCTGGCCTAAAGCAACACTCCGGCCTTAGCCTCCCGAGTAGCTGGGACTAAAGGAGCAGGCCACTGCCCCCGGCTTATTAAAAAAATATATATATATATATATTTTGTGGTACAGATGGAGTTTCACTAGTTGCCCTGGCTGCAGAAGACTATTTTTAACCTGAAGATTCCCCAGCCGATTCTGGTAAGAATCACTTTTGGTAACTAAAATATATAAGTCAACTTTATATATAAGCCAAAAGCCAGCCTCATGCTTAAGGGAAGAACACTAGAAACATTTCTTTAAAGTCAAGAACCAGATAAGACTGCCCACCATCACTATTTAACATTGTTCTGCAAATAGTAGCTGATGTTATTAGTCAAGAGAAAAAAAAAGTTTAAAAAATTTAAAGGATAAAGTAAAATTATTTTTACTTCCAATTCAGATATTATCTGAACCCAAGAAAATCAACTGAAAAACCATCTCAAACAATAAAAAAATTCAGTAAGATGGGTGCACATAAAATTAATAAATAAAAATTAATAGCTTTCCTATTTATACATAAAAAGCAGTTATAAGATGTAATGGAAGAAAATATTCCATTTATATAATAACAAAAAATATATACCTAAGAATAAATGTAACAATGAGAAGAATTGTTACTTAGAGACACTATTATTATTATTATTATTATTTTGAGACAGGATCTCACTCTGTTGCCCAGGCTGGAGTACAGTGGTGAGATCTCGGCTCATTGCAACCTCCACCTCCTGGGCTCAAGCAATCCTCTCACCTCAGCCTCCTCAGTAGCTGGGACTATAGGTGCATGCCACTACACTTGGTTAATTTTTGTTTAAAAATTTTTTGTAGAGACCAGGTCTCACTGTGTTCCCCAGTCTGCTTATATACTATTCTTGTACAGAAAGATTCAATAATATAACTTAATTTCTTCCTAAATTAATATACAAAATTTTCATGACCTAATAACATGTCAACCTATTTGAGGGATGAAGTGTGAAATTTTACAAACTGATTCTAAAGCCACTATGGAAAAATACATGTGTAAGGATTCTTTTTTTTGTTTGTTTTTTTTTTGAGACAGAGTCTCACTTTGTTGCCTAGGCTGGAGTGCAGTGGCACAATCTCAGCTCACTGCAACCTCTGCCTCCCAGGTTCAAGTGATTCTTCTGCCTCAGCCTCCGGAGTAGCTGGGACTACAGGCGCTCTACCCATCAATGTGATGGTATTTGGAGATGGGGCCTTTAGGAGGTAATTAGATTTAGATAAAGTCATAAGGGTGGGGCCCTCATGATGGGATTAGTGACCTTGAAAACAAGACAACAAGTTTAAGATCAGGGTGCCAGCATGACCGAGGTCTGGTGAGGACTTTTTCCTGGCTTGCAGACAACTGCTTCTCACTGTGCCCCTTGACATAGACGAGGAATTAATTTTTCTTTCTTTCAATCATGAGGGGTGGACCCCCCTCACAACATGTTAGGGCATAGTGAGAAGGCAGCTGTCTGCAAGCGGGAAAGAGGATCCAGAGTGATCCTGTTGAAGCTTAAGTCAAACCATGCCACTGCTTTTGCTCACAACCCTGCAGTGGCTCCCCATTTCACTTAGAGTAAAAAGCTAAAGTGCTAAAAATGCCTAGCTTGATCCTGGGTGACCCACCTTTGCATCTGTGACACGATTTCCCACTCTATCCCACTCCAGCCTTCTCCAAGCACACAGGCAGGATCCCCTGAGGGCTTCTGCAGTTGCTGTTCTGTGCGTAGAATGCTTTTCCCCCAACACTCCCCACGGCCTACTCCTCCACTTCCTTTACAGTTGTTCAGATGCCACCTTCTCAGTGAGGCCTTCCAAACCACCTCATGTTAAATTCCGCTGCACCAGCCCCTTCTCTCACAGCTCACTCCCAATCCTCCCCACCCTGCTCTATTTTCCCCTATATCACTAATCACATTCTAAATTCAATATAATTTACTTACTTGTTTTTATTGTCAGTCTTCCCCCAACTAAAAGGTAAACTTCACAAGGATGGATTCCACTGATGTAGCCCCAGTGTCTAGAATAATGCCTGGCAAATAGAAGGTGTTCAATAAAACACCCGCCAGGTGAGTGAATGGGCTTATATGGTCTTTACTCAGTTCTTTTAAAGTCTGTTCATCATTATATGGAGACAGCAATAGCTAACAGTGCACTACCAGCAATAATGATAACCACAACATAGTTATTTATCAAATGCACTATCAGCAACAACAATAATATCAATAATCATAGTTATTTTTGAAATTTACCACCACTAATAATAGTATCAATAACAGTTATTTTTCAAACTACACTATCAAAAATCGTAATTGGCATGTATCACATCCCTGTACTATGAGCCAGATAATCCCACATAGAAAATATTATTAAATCCATTTTCCAGATGAGGACACTAGAGCTCAAGGGTTAAAGAAACTTGCCCAAGGCCCAAGGCCAGTAAGTGGAGGATCTTTTCTGATTCCTTTTTCCACTGTGTTTGGAAACTCCTAAATGTGCTGGGCTCCTGGCATGCAGTAAGTCCGCCCTGAGGAAATAGGAGTCTTTGCTCACACTCTGTGGGAATGTCATTGGTTGCCTGTACAGAACTGCAGAATGGGTGGGTCTTTCTTCAGTTTTTCTGGTACTTCCAGTCTTGGACCATGTGGAATCACCACTCCCTCCCCACCCCTGCCAGCCTGCAGATTCGGTCAGAGGAGATTTCTGTCCCTAGAGGCAGAAAACTGCTGCAACTTGCCCTCCAAGAGGTGTGGACCAAAGAGGAAGCTGATGAAAATCTAACTGCCTGCCTCAATGTCTCTTGAAATGGATGCTCCAAAGGATGTTTTTACTTAGAATCCCTAATCAGCCGATTTTTAAACAGATTGATTTGAGGAACAGATGGACTCTGGATGAAGCTGTAATCCGGAGGTTGCCACTGATTTCTGTTGACAGTTTTAAACCCCACCTATTTGTCAACAGTGGGAACTCTTCTGGGGGAATGCTCTGTTCCTGAAAGAGAAGAATGTTTCCATTCTGACCACCGAATAAAGAGAGAATGGATCTAGGCAGGAGTGATTTGACTGAAGTTAAATAGGTTTTAATATAAAAAGGCTAGCAGATTCCAATGGAAGTGAATACAGTTGGTCTGTATTTACACACAGGGATTAAGCAAACTAATCCGATGGGAGTCTGTGCCGGCGATTGTTTGGGAGCAAGATAGATCCATCTGCGTGTAAAGAATTGTGAATGAATGAGGATCTATGGCTCAGTGGGCAGGGGGGGCATGGGGGAGACCACCAGTCTGACTAATCAGACATTCACATTTCCCACTGTTTTGTTCTATTGTATCCAAATGTGAGAAGCTGCTCTCCAGTCCCCCACATACAAAGCTCTTTATTGGACTTTACTGTGGCATGATCCCGGCTGCTTTACTCCAACTGCCAGCCTCAGAAGGAGTTTTGCTTGATGGTGTCTGGCAGCTTGGCTTTGCTTCAGTAGATTTATGAGCTGTGAAAGATGGTCAAATTAACACCCTAAGCGTTCCTGATAGGATTAGAGGCCTGCATTAGCATACCACCCTGAAGTACCACACTATCTCTGTGTCTTCCCAGCCCTTCTGGGTGGGGTTTGGAGAGGGTAAGTGGGAGGTGATGCCACACACCCCTCTCCCAGCTGGCAACACAAAGGGTCACCATGTGATTCCAGATGATGTTATTTGGCATTTAATATCTAATGGCAGTGTCTCCCAATCAAAAGAACTGAACTGAAGTGGTGAATGCATCCCTTTTCAGGGCTGGATGCCCATCCTTGCTCTCATGGAGAGAAAGAGCCGTCTCGTCTTTGGGGTGAGATTGACAATCCAACCACCCTAACCAGGACTGGAGTGGACCTTAAAATATCCATTTAAGTCATAATGATTACTGATTGTTCTGATTATAATGGTAACACATATTTATTGTAGAAAATTTGGAAAATGATGAAAAATACAGCAAAGTAAAAATCACCCATCATCCCATTACTTAGAGATAGCTTGCCATTAACATTTTGGTGTATTAATTTATTGATAATCTGTTTTCTATGCATGTAGACAGGTGATTTGTTATTTTTGCTTTAACAAAGTGGGATCATATTGTTTATCCTAAATCTTTTAATATTATATCCAATACATTTTAATAAATTTCTTCTGCTGGGCGCGGTAATCCCAGCACTTTGGGAGGCCAAGGCAGGTGGATCATCTGAAGTCGGGAGTTTGAGACCAGCCTGGCCAACATGGTGAAACCTTGTCTCTACTAAAAATACAAAAATTAGCTGGGCATGGTGACGCATGTCTGTAATACCAGCTACTTGGGAGGCTGAGGCAAGAGAATCACTTGAACCTGGGAGGCAGAAGTTGCAGTGAGCTGAGATCCAGCCACTGCACTCCAGCCTGGGTGACAGAGCGAGACTCAAAAAAAAACAAAAAACTTATTTGGAAAAGGTTATACAATTAATATATATTATATTACTGTATATTATATATTTACTATATATTATATAATGTATATTATATATATATATTTCTTTTTTTCTTCTTGAGACAATGTCTCCCTCTGTCACTCAGGCTGGAGTGCAGTGGCATTATCATGGTTTACTGCAACCTCTGCCCCCCAGGCTCAAGAAATTCTCTCACCTCAGCCTTCTGAGTGCTGGGACCTGAGGCACACACCACCATGCCTGGCTAATTTTTATATTTTTTGGTAGAGATGGGGTCTTGCCATGTTGCCCAGGCTGGTCTCTAACTCTTTGACTCAAGTGATCCACCCTCCTTGGCCTCCCAAAATCTATTTGGAATTTATTTTAGAATATGAGTGAAGTAAGGATTTGACTTAAATCACACCTGGAATTACAGATGTGAGCCACTGCGCCTGGCCTATATTTCTTTTTATAATAGAGATAAGGTCTTGCCATGTTACCCAGGCTGGTCTTGAACTCCTCCTGGGCTCAAGCCACCCTCCCACCTCAGCCTCCCAAAGTTCTGGGATTACAGATGTGAGCCACCATGCCTAGCGTTTTTTTTTTTTTTTTTAAAGGGTCAGGGTCTGGCTCTGTCTCGCAGGCTGGAGTATGGTAGTGCGATCATAGCTCACTATAGCCTCAAACTCCTGGCCTTAAAGTGTCCTCCTGCTTCAGCCTCCTGAGTAGCTGGGACTATAGACAGAGCATCATCAGCATGCCTGACTAATTTTTTGTTTGTTGCTAGAGACAGGGTCTGGTTATGTTGCCCAGGCTTGTCTAGAACTCCTGGCCTCAAGCTTTCCTTCTGCCTTGGCCTCCCAAAGTCCTGGGATTACAGGTGTGAGCTACCATGCCTGGCCTAGGGAAGGTTATTTTTAATGGGTGCATAGTGTTCCATCATATAGAATAAAATATCTCAATTTAGGTTGCATTAGCCAAAGTAATGGGTTTCACTTTAGGGGACAACAGGCATAAAAAGTGTGTACCACGTAAACAAGATGCAGTGTTAAGACTCCTTCCCTGAATTTGCATTACAGGTGATGCTCTGTCTGCAGTCCCAGCTACTCAGGAGGCTGAAGCAGGAGGATCCTTTATATATTATTAAGTTATAATAATAATTAAAATATGTGTTATTATTACAAGAAGAAACAGTGACAATTATTGGAACAATAAAAAATGGTATTTCAAATCAATGGGAGAAGAATAAATAATATAATAAGTGGTTCTAATACAAAAGATTTAGGGAAAAATTAAAATTAAGTCAAATCTTTACTTCACTCATATTCTAAAATAAATTCCAAATAGATCTAGGAGTCAAATATTTAAAGAAAAATAGAGCTAGGGTATGATGAAGATGAATATTTATATGATCTCAAGATGAGGACATATAGAAGAACATGAAAATTAAGAGATATGATTAAATAAAAAATTTTAATTTGATATGTAAAAAATACATAAATACGGCCAAGTGCAGTGGCTCACGCTTGTAGTCCCAGTACTTTGGGAGGCTGAGTCAGTGGATCACAAGGTCAGGAGTTCGAGACCAGCCTGGCCAATATAGTGAAACCCTGTCTCTACTAAAAATATAAAAAATTAGCCAGGCGGGGTGGCGTGCACCTGTAGTCCCAGCTACTAGGGAGGCTGAGGCAGAAGAATCGCTTGAACCCGGGAGGCGGAGGTTGCAGTGAGCCAAGATCGCGCCACTGCACTCCAGCCTGGGCAACAGAGAGAGACTCCATCTAAAAAACAAACAAACAAACAAAAAAACCATAAATACAAAATAGACCAAAATTATGACAATAAAGATATTCGACCTTAGAATTAATGAAATTAATGAAGGTTAAAACAACTTAGTATCAATTTTATCTGTCAAATTAACAATTTTTTTTTTGAGGCGGAGTTTCTCTCTTGTCGCCAAGGCTGGAGTGCAATGGCATGATGTTGGCTCACTGCAACCTCTGCCTCACAAGTTCAAGCGATTCTCCTGCCTCAGCCTTCCGAGTAGCTGGGATTACAGGTGCCCGCCACCACGCCCGGCTAATATTTGTATTTTTAGTAGAGACGGGGTTTTACCACGTTGTCCAGGCTGGTCTCGAACTCCCGACCTCAGGTGATCCACTGGCCTCGGCCTCCCAAAGTGCTGGGATTACAGGCATGAGCCGCCACTCCTGGCCAACAATTTTTTTTTTTAAAGAATGATACTCTGTTGGAGGTGCTAAAAAATTGTACTCTTATATACTACTGGTGGGAGTGTAAATTGAATTCCTCTGTAGGGGCAACTTGTAAATCTACAAATCATAAAATCATAAAGCAGCATTTCCCAGCCCTCCTTTTTAGATATTAAAATAAATAAATAATATTAAATATTGTCTATCGTGTAGTATTGTAGATCAATTTATCCAAGGATCACCATTAATTTTCATAGCAAACCTATGTTTTATATACATAAATCTATAATGATGCCCATTTTACAGATGAGGAAATGGGGGGCTAAATATTTGCAAGTTTTATGAATTTCATTGTCCTGACGCTGTTTCCTATCTGTTTTTCTCATTCGGTTTGATTTGGCCCAAATGGAGATAATGTTAATAGCATTAACACTGCCCCACTCACAAATAAGGCTTAGAGAAAAATCTCTTGCAGCTGCCTTTTCAAATCTTCAGTGACAACCAGAGAGAGTGTGGAAGGAGTGACACTCTGTACTGGGAGGCCCATTGACTGAGTCACATCATCACACCACATACTCTTGGGTCCTGTTAAATGAAGTAACACCCCAGTATAGGGGCAAGGGATGACTGGGGTGGTAGAAGGTTCTATATGTAGTTGAAATTTCATAGAACCTCTAAGGGATGGAGTGAAGCCAAGAAATCCAAAACCCAGTGTGTGAAATAGGTTGGAAAATACCTTCTTATTCTCTAGGAATCTTACCATCAAGGTAGTTCATCCTGTCTCATGGACTATGCCATGTTCTAATATTGGCAGGAATGTATTCCTGCCACTGGATATTTCTTAAAGTATGTATTTGGGTTTGTCATCTTTTACTTTCAAGGTTAAATTTTTGTCTTTGTTGTTTGTGGTATGAAATGGGTTTTCAGTACCCTAGTTCCTAGCCTTATACTCATAGGAAATAAATTCAATTTTTATGATTCAATTAAGGACTATTGCCCAGGAATCATTTAGATTGTATCATTAAATAGGAGGTTGCCTGTAAATCCATTCTCTTAAAGATTCTAATGACAGCCAGCCATTAGAATTTAAAAAATACTGTTGCTTGGGCCTCACTCCCAGAGATTTTGATTCAATCAGTCCAGCATGGACTTAGAGTATTCCCAAGAATTTCTAATATGCGGCCAGAGTTGAGAGCCGCAGTATTTGACTCCTTGTTGCCTTCTCTCTAAGGCTGCTGGCCCATGCAGACAGGAACCATGTTGTCAGTCTTGTTCATGACTGTCTTCCCAGCATTCAGCCTAATGCCAGGGACATTTGTATTAAATGAATCCAATAATGCCCTTGGAGTTCATTGATTAAAGCAGTGAATGGCAGCCTGTTTAGATCCACTACTAGGTTTCAGGGGGGACTAGAGGCCCTGAGAACTGGTTTGAGCCAAGCTTGAGAGTAACTGGAGGAGACAAGATAAACACGTGATGAGCAACCAGGGGATTTTAGCAAGGGTTGGGGGCAGACTCAGCTGGCCTTGAGTGTGAGAAGACAGAGTCCATGTGAAAGGCAATTCTTTATCCCCTGAAGGATGCTGGAATGTCAATTGTATGAGGAAAGTGAGAGGTGAGGCCAATTAAGAGCTTGCAATAGAGGCAGAAGTTGGTTAAGGCTGAGGTGCCATTGGGACACCCATGTTCAGAGCTGTGCTTTTGTTTTTCTATAATTCTAAGCACAACATTGTGCTATAAATCAGAGAGTTCTGGTGGCTACGGTAGTGTTTAAAGAGGAGGCCCAGGGAAGATTAACGAGAACTGGGAAAAAGGAGTAGGTAGGGGAGAGGGGAATAAAAAGTTAGCATGCAACAGTTCTGAAGCCAGAGGGGAGAAATGTTGCTGAATTGGAATTTCTGCAAGTCACTATTTGAAAGGACAAAGGGAGGCCCAAGGGCTGGTTTCTTTAGAAGAGTGTTTGTTTTGTTTTGTTTTTCTGGTCCTGAAGCAAAATCCTAATGGCAGTGCTTGGTGGGAGGGGAAGCCAAAGTGTAATTTTAATGTATTTGTTGGTTTTAAAATATAAATTATTTAATTTTTGAATACGTATTGCTTTCATAGTTCAAAAATATTAAAGTATAAACAGGTATTCAGTAAAGTCTCTCTTCTATCCCTATTCCCCATTTACACCCAATTTTCCAACATTTAATAAATACTGTCGTTTGTTTCTAGTATATCCTGCCAGAAATTTTAATACATATATGAGCACATATAATTATATGTATATATTTTAACCTCACCTTTAAAATTCATATTATATCCACCATCTGCATCTTCTATTTTCTTTTCTTTCTTTTTTTTTTGAGACAGAGTCTCACTCTCTTGCCCAGGCTAAAGTGCAGTGGTGTGATCATAGCTTGCTGCAGCCTCAAACTCCTGAGTACAAGTGATCCTCCCACCTCAGCCTCCTGAGCAGATGGGACTATAGGTGCCTGCCACCATATCCAGCTAATTAAAACAATTTTTTTTTTTGAGACAGGGTCTCCCTATGTTGGCTAGGCTGGTCTTGACTCCTGACTTCAAACAATCCTCCCACATTGGCCTCCCAAAGTGCTGGGATTACAGGCATGAGCCACCATGCTGGGCCATCTCCCTTTCACTCAATGTATCTTGCGGATCTTTTCACACTAGTACATAGAACACATCCTCAGCCTTCTTTACAACTTTACAAATGCAAGGAATTCCATCTTGTGAATGTGTCACCTTCTATTTTACCAGTATCCTATTGATTAACATTGACAATGTTTCAAACATTACCAAAAAAAAAAAAAAGAAAGAAAAATTAAAAAATGTTTCAGCGAACAACTATATGATCATGTAATATTTCTGTGTGAGCAAATATGTAGGATCAATTCCCAGAAGTGAAATTGCTGGTCAAAGGGAATGAAGGGGGAAACCAAAGTGTAATTTTAAAAAGTGAAATGCACACAGTACAGAATTCAAAAGGCAATAGAGTGAAAAGCAAGCCTCCCTTCCATCCCATCCCCTGCCATGCCGTTTCCTTCATAGAAGCAACCAGATTATCAGTTTCCTGTGTATTTTCTCAGAGATTCTTTTTTTTTTTTTTTTTTGAGGTGGAGTCTCACTGTGTCACCCAGGCTGGAGTGCAGTGGTGCAATCTCGGCTCACTGCAACCTCCACCTCCTGGGTTCAAGCAATTCTTCTGCCTCTCAGCCTCCCGAGTAGCTGGGAATACAGGTGCGCACCATCACACCCAGCTAATTTTTGTATTTTTAGTAGAGATGGGGTTTCACCATATTGGCCAAGCTGGTCTCGAACTCCTGACCTCGTGATCCACCCGCCTTGGCCTTCCAAAAGTGCTGGGATTACAGGTGTGAGCCACCGTGCCTGGCCTTTTCTCAGAGATTCTATGCATAATCAAATATACATGAGTTTTTTTTTTCTTCTTCTTTTTCTTTGAGACAGGGTGTTGCTCTGTTGCCCAGGCTGGAATGCAGTGGTGTGGTCACAGCTCACTGTAGCCTTGACCTTCAGGGCTCAAGTGACCCTCTCACCTCAGGCCCACCTCTAGTAGCTGAGGCTACAGGTGAACACCACCATGCCTGGCTAATTTTTGTTTTAAATTTTTTGTAGAGATGGAGTCTCATTTATGTTGCCCAGGCCGATCTTGAACTCCTGGGCTCATGTGATCCTCCTGCCTTGGTTTTCCAAAGTGTTGGGATTATAGGAATGAGCCACTGCCCTGGCCCTTTCTCTTCTTGTTCTGTTCCTTCTTTTTTCTTCTTTCCTCCTCTTCCTCCTCCTCCTCTCCTTCTCCCTTCTCCCCCCTCCCCCTTCCCTCCCCCTCCCCTCCTCCTCCTCCTCTTCTTTTTCTTACAAATGGTAGTATACAAGACATTTTGCTTTATTTTTCTCTTGACAATATATCTTAAAGATACTTGCAGGTCAGTATAGTGTTACTTCAATCTAAAGGGGAATTTTCTAATCATACTCTAGTGTGGTACAGTTGTAATCATTCTTTTTTTTTTTTTTTTTTTGAGACAGAGTCTCGCTCTGTCGCCCAGGCTGGAGTGCAGCGGCGCGATCTCGATCTCGGCTCACTGCAAGCTCCGCCTCCCGGGTTCATGCCATTCTCTTGCCTCAGCCTCCCGGTAGCTGGGACTACAGGTGCCCGCCACCACACCCGGCTAATTTTTTGTATTGTAATCATTCTTTTAAATTTGTTATCATCCAGCTAGAAAACAATTTAACGTCAGTCTGGGATTCTCGTAAACTCACAGACTGAGAGTTGGAAGAACTTGTAGAGGTCACATCTGTTTCTATGATGTGTATAATTTTGGGGTTTGCAATTTTTATTTGCACTTCCTCTCTTGAACTATGATATGGGGAGAAGAAAGATAAATCAAGAAGGTAGAAATTGAAATGAAGCCTCATGTGCTCTGCACAATCTGACTTGCTAAGTCCTGGTGGATTCCTGGAATCTGTCACTGGGCTCCTCACAGCTCTCCTATCCTTTTCAGCCTTCACCTATTTTACACGTTGGTTTTCAGCATAAGATTTTGTTAGGAATAAGGACTTGGGTCAGCTATACTCCCTTGGATTTCAGAAGAGGGTAGTGATGGCCAGAAAAGTTGAGCAACTTGTTCAATTCACCCAACTGCTAGAAGCAAGACCAGAACCTGAGTCTACCAAGCAATTCCCACATCTTTGTCTTCTCACGCCAGGGTTTTTCTCCATTCAAGTTTGCCTGACAGGTGCTCCACCTTCTTAGGACAGTTAACGGAGGGTTTAACGAGCCCCTCTAGATGACATCTGTGCATGTTATCACCACCTGAACCCAAAGAACTGCTTAAAAAGTGGACATTCTGGGCACTCTGGCAGAACCACTGGGAGAGTGTTAGGGGAAGGAGGCAACAGGTAGACATCTGTCTTTTCCAGCAGCACAAAGGTCCAATTGGTACAAGGCCAAGAAAATACCAGATCAAAGAGCTCACAAGAATGGTGAATCAAAACAAAATGCTCCTTGTCTAGGTGTGTTGCATGGTAAAGTTTGTTCCTGACTTAACAATGTTTAGACTTAATGATTTTTCTTCTTTACTGATGGGTTTACTGGGATGTAACCCTATTATAAGTCAAAGAGCTCCTTACCACTTACAATGGGATTACGATTTCTACTAAATCATTAATCCTAACTCATTATAATTTCTATTGAATAATGCTTTTGTGCCATTCTTAAGTCAAAAAATTCTAAGATGAACCATCATATCACTAGCATTAAATGCATGTTTGACATACAATATTTTCGATTCACAATGGATTATTTGGACCTAGCCCCATGGTAAATCAAGGAGCAACTGTATAAATATTACGTCTGGAAGTATCTATTTTGTGTGTGTGTATATATATATATTCTTGTATACACACACAGACTCACACACACACTATATATAGAGTACACACACACTATATATATACACACACACACACACATATATATATAAGCACACACATATATATATATCAAATTTAGATGCCTTTATCAAATGCCTTTCAGAATTCAGGGGGATTGTTGTCTAATTTTTGCCCTGTCAGCTACTGATAAGGTGAATTATATTATTTTCTTTTTTTTTTTTGAGACAGAGTCTCACTCTGTCACCCAGGTTGAAGTGCAATGGCGCAATCTCGGCTCACTGCAACCTCCGCCACCTGAGTTCAAGTGATTCTTCTGCCTCAGCCTCCCAAGTAGCTGGGATTACAGGCATGCGCCACCATGTCTGGCTAATTTTTTTTTAATTTTTAGTAGAAATGGGGTTTCACCATGTTGGCCAGGCTGGTCTTGAACTCCTGACCTTGTGGTCCACCCACCTCAGCCTCCCAAAGTGCTGGGATTACAGGCGTGAGTCGCTGTGCCCGGCCTATATTATTTTCTAGGGGTGAACCAGCCTTGCATTTTTGGTATAAAGTCCAACTGGTCATTATGTATTAGTTTTAAAAAACAGCTTTAACATTTCCATCACCCGAAAGCTCACTCATATCCATTTGCAGTTTATCTATATTCCTACTGGTATTATTCTGTTAATGTTGTGCTAGATTTTGCTTGCAATTAACATTTTGTGCATTAATGTCCACTCCTTTTTCTCTCACCTTGTTGAAGCTTGATATTAATTCTATATGTATTTATTAAAAAATTGGAAACTGTCTACACTCTTAGAACAGTTTAAATAACATTGGAGTTATCTATTCCTTAATGTTTTGTAAGACTCTACCATGAAACTCCCTGGGTCTGGGAATTGTTTGGGGATAGCTCTTTGACAGAATTCTTTCTTTCTTTTTTGGCATCTGGTTTGTTTAGACTTGCTCTCTTTTCTTGGGTTAGTTTTAGTCATTTGTGTTTTACTAGAATATTACCCTAGGTGTTATCTCAGTTCCCAAATTTATTTGTATGGAGTTGAGCAAAGCGGTCTTTAAAATTTTTAAACATTTTTCTTTGTATTTGTGGCTACTTCTCTATCAAAACTTTTTTATATTGTAGATTTCTGATTTTTCTTGATTACCTTACCTATTTTATTCCCTTAAATCGCTAGTTTTTACATTGACTGCTTTTACCTCCAAAGTTGTGTAAGAAGGAAGGCCACTCTGTAAGGAGGGGTGACCTTTTAGTGAAGGGGACAGCTAACCCAGGGATTCTCACCCAGGGCGATTTTGTCCTCCAGGGGACATTTGGCAATGTCTGGGATACTTTTGGTTGTCACAAGGGGCAGCTGTACTATTTGCATTTAGTGATTAGAGATCAGAGATGCCACTAAACATCCGACAATGCACAGAATAGCCCCAACAAGTAATTATCTTCCCAAAACGTCAATAGTGCCAAGGTTGTCCTGAGACTGATCAGGATGGGAGCTGGGAAATAGATGTTTGAATTTCACTCTCTTCCTAATCACCCTCCAACATCCGGCTGATACTCCCCTTGGGTTAAAAGGGGAAAGCCAGAGAACAGGGAATCTGTCCATGTAGCCCATCAAGATTAGATTTCTGGGGCAAAAAGGAGGCTGGAGAACTGTGAAGAGTGGAAAGAGAAGATAGTCATTATATAAACATTGTGATCAGTGTTGTGTTCCTTCGTATGACTCGTGAAGCCGCTGAGCAAGGGTTTCTCTCCACACCTAGATGTCGGAGGAATTTCTCATTTTACCAGTAATGCCAAATGGATTTCAAAAGCACTCACACCAACAGCAATGTATGGGATCCAGATCCGAACACCTGCATTGCTAAGTTTTTTACTTTTGTCAGTTCTGGCAGGTATAAAATGGTACCTTATGGTACCTAGTTTGAATTTCCTTGATTACTAATGAGGCTAAGCGTTTTTTGATGTTTATTGAGTTTCCCATTTTGAGAAACGCTTGTTCACACGCGCCCCCCGCCCCGCGTTTTTCATTTTTTTCTTGTAGTTTTTAGTATATCCTGAATATAAATTATTTGCCCTTTATGTGCTGCAAATATTTTCTCACACTTTATGACTTGTCTCTTTACTTTCTTCTTAGTGGCCTTTGGATTAACAGATGCTTTTAAACTTAATACAGTCAAATTTACCAACCTTTTAGGGTCAGTGTTGTTTGAAGGTCACTTAAAAAGTTCCTCCTTGAATGGCGTGAACCTAGGAGGTGGAGCTTGCAGTGAGCCGAGATCGCGTCACTACACTCCAGCCTGGGCGACAGAGCGAGACTCCGTCTCAAAAAAAGAAAAAAAAGTTCTTCCTTATCTCAAAGTCATTAACAGTTTCTTATATTTTCTTTTAAACCTTTAAAATATTTTGCTATTCACATATGTCCTATATAAAATCTATGTGAAATTTATTTTTGTGTATATATCCAGATATGTATTTTTCCATGTGGATTACCAGCTGTCCCATTACAATTTATTGAATAGTTCCTCCTTTCCTCAGGATCTATAGTGCTACTCTGGTATATAAAAAGCCCTTATAAACTCTGTTCAACTGGTCAAAGACTCTACACCTATATCAATATCACACTATCTCAGTTACGACAGCATTAATTCTATTCTTCATCTCTGGTTCTCCTGCTTTATTTTTCTTCTTCAGGTGCGTCCAGGATACTCTTAACCTTTTACAGATATTTCCTGTTCACCTGATTCTTTGACATATTTTTTGGGGAAAAAAGTGCACGAGTCACCTGTTATTCTTATTTTTATTCGACTGGTTCATTTGTATTACCTTTCTTCAATCTTTACACTTCGATTTCTACTCTTTTAGTGATTATCTTTGAAAATTTAATATGCATACTTGACTTAAAGTCTAAATTTCATCAGCATCTTAAAGCTTCTATTTCCCATACTATTGTCAACTAGTACTTTCATTCCACCTTGTTTTAAAAATCTCAAATCTATTACTTGTGTATTGCAGACAATGCTTATTATAGTGCTTTAAATAGTCCTGTTATAAAATTCAAAAGGAATAAAAGGATATACAGTTTAGTCTTTCACATCTGATCCCAGTGGCACTGAGGTTTCCTTCCAACAGTTCACGTGTATCCTGAAGGAATTTTATTCATAAACAAGCAAATGCATGTTGTACTTTTTCCTACGTATACAAATAGTAGCAAATCATACAGATTGGTCTTGAATATTATTCCTTATCAGTTATATTATTTCAGCCTTTTTACTGACATGTTTGCCGATTTCTTTGTGCACTATGCTTCTTGCATCCTGCTCTTTTGGATTCAACTGCTTTCTTTGCTAAAGAACAATCTACTAGATCTCTCAGCAAAAGAGCAGATGCATTTTTCATCCTCTTTTTTAAGTACTAGTTTATCTGTGTATAGAATTCTAGGCTAACAGTAGTTTCCTCAGCACTTCTAAGTTATTTTGTCTTCTGGCTTCTGTTGCTGCCACTGATCTGCTGTCAGTGTATTAATCCTTTGTCTTTTCTAGTAAGTATTTTTTTTCTTGTCTTTTGATGCTCTGCAGTTTCACTATGTCTAGTAGCAGACTTGCTTTTATTCATCCTCCTAGGTGTTTCTTAAGCTGCTGCTTCTTTAAAGATTCATATTCTCTATGAATTCTTGGGTATTTTTCAAGTCTCTTCCCTCCCCTATTCTTTATGTTGTATCTCCTCATTCTATTCTGTCTCCTAGCCCTCTGTATTTCCCATCTCTTCTCTCTGTGCTACAATCTGTGTTTTCCACTGTATCTTCTAGTTCCCCAATTCTATCTTCAGATATGCCCAGTCTGTAATCTGTTTGAGTTTTTAATTTCTAATTACATATAGTTCTAAAGACTTACTTTTTCGAAGACTTTGCCTTCTTCACAGCGTCATCTTAATGGTTTTAATGATTTCTTTTATTCCCACCCTCAACCCAATCATTTTAAACAATATTTACTTCACTACTTTGTGGGAGGTGCTAATCCTCCAAGATTGTCTCTACTGATTTGTGCTTACAATACACTGTTTTGGATTTTTGATGAGTTCATCTGAGTGAGGCTTTTTTCTAGACAAATATGATGCAGACTGGATTATGGGTATGTCTGTCTGTGTGCTCATATCAGTAATTTTAAAACAGATTCCTGTGGGTTAGGGATTTATATACTTTATATTTTGAGCTTCTTAAGATTTCATTAGAATAAAGGAATTAGTGGCTAATACATCTTGCAGTTTTAAAATTCTATGCTCTATGTTTCCGTGACAAGTGGGAAAACTCAAGCCATTAATTCTGGAATATTCAGGGAAATATTAATTATAATAACCAGTTACTGGCAAGTACAATGCTTAGTAGCACAGACAGAAAATCATTTATTACTTTCTACAACCTTATAAAGTGTTATAAAAATCTTAAAAGGTACATAATTTGTTCAAGATCACAACGATGGTGAGGGGTAGAATAAAAATTAAAATCCATATACATCTGACCTTACAGCCCAATCACTTAATCACTATTTATTCACCCAACGAAAAATTTACTGAGGAACCCTATGTGCCAGATATGCTAGGTGCTAAGTCTACTGGTATACAAAGCAGATGTGAAACCTTTCAAATTATCTGTGAAGGATCAGTTTCTTTCTAAGTTTCCAATCCATTGCAGGCCAATATTTCAATTAAAAATAAGAAAAATAAATTACAGCAATGTCTTGCTATAAAAGTTTTTAAAAGTTTACCCTTACTTTTTGTATTCATATCTCCATGGGCTGGTAACAATATCAGTTCGCAGACCAATCCCATCGGCAGATCACACCTTTGTATAGTGCTGCTTTGTAGTATGTGGGCATACTGCTTTGAGGGGCTCTGTATATATTTGTGTTACGGAAATGACAGCTGTGGGTGGGTGACAAGGTGGAGACATCACTTCTAATAATAATGGCTTTATGTGAAGAGCAGTAATTAAGTATTTTAGGTCATAGCCTGTCTAAACTAGTCAGCACAAAAGGGCAGGAGGTGTGGAGACACAGGAGACAGGGAAAGGCATATTACAATTTAATTTTATAGAAGTCTGACAGTTCTCCTGGTGAAAAATGAGTACCACCACTACTTGCTTCCTTTGTCACTCTAGTCCTGTAATAGGACAGCAGGTAAAGGCACAGTCAGGAGTACTGACTATAAGAGCTCTGGGAAATCTGCATGCTTTCTTGCCTCATCAACCTGCAAACAACTGGATCACAATAAACACCCGAGACTGGCATGCATACTTGAAATAGCAGCAAATACTTCCATATTACCCTAAATGAAGCAGGAACACAGAGCTGCTGAAATGTATTTCAAAGCCAAAAGACTTAAGAATTATTTGCACCATCATTCTCTTATTATGGAAATCAGGGAATTGCTCACACACAAGGAAACTTAACATACTGAAGTCTAATATACATATGCGATTACTCTTTCTTTTAATAGCAATAAATACCACTAACTTTGAGATTTGGAAACTTATTAAGAATGTTTTCATATGACACAGAAATAAAAATATATTCCTTTTTATAAGTTAAGAAGATTAATTTCCCAGGAATGAGCTTTAAGGTTTACCAGTTGTGCTGAATAGACTAAATGTTGAAAGCATCTCACAGCTACTTTCATTTTAATGAGCAAGTACAGCTACAATATTCAATATTTCAAACTTCAAACTGCATTCTTTATCACTATTAGACTCAGAACTACATTGTTTTCCTGCAATTGTGGTTTATTGTAATCTTAATTCATTTTCTCAAAGACCATTCAACACATTTATACTATTCCAGTAATTACCATGCTACCCAGAAAAACAAGTGAACAGTTTTATTAAGAATTAAATGAGGGTATGGAATGTGATACAGTACAAGTAAGACACTGAAGATGGGTATAATAGTACTACTTGCACAAAAAGTTAAATTTCACTTCAAAAAAAAAAATCACAAGACAAAAGAAAAAGCAATTCCATCATTATAAAGTAAGCTATTTCATGCAACGTACTAATACTCCCCCTCCCCCCAAAACCCCAACTTCCCAACAAACAAAAAGCTATCTGAAAATGCTGCCATGCTAACATATGAACCACGGTATATTCATTCATGGAAAAACACACTCATTAAGCAATGGATTAGATAAAATAACACAGTTTGCAGTATTGTAAACTCATAGACCACAATGATTTCACATGAAAAGCAATTCCAGATTCACTCATAGGGTGAGTAATATGGGCTACATAGTTGAGAGATAATGTAAATATAAACCCCATTAATTCTCTCATTATCTTCTAATTATAAAACCTGGAAGCTTAGATAATCTGAAAAATTCATATAAAATTTGGCATACTCCACTTGTGTTCCAAGAAATGACTTTCGGATATTTGTAATTATTAGAGAGCTGTATAAAAAGCACTTCAAGATCAGGATTTGACTTCTTAAATAATGATCATAATTTACATCACAGAAACAACTCCAGAAATGCATTTACTCTGATTAACTCTTACTCAGGACAAGGAACATGATTTTCTAGCACTTTATGTACAAGTTACTGCAAAGGGCCAGTTAATTTACAGACTGAATAAAACGTAAAATAAAGGTGAACTGGTACAGACAGTGATGGGGAATGTCCTCATTAAGTGAGTAAAGATCTTTCCTCGACTTTGAAGGGAGCTAGAGTCAACAAATAAAAGAGATTGCCAAGCCATAATGGATGTATGTCTCTGTAACAAGATGCTTAAGCATGCTTCCTGGAAAAGAGTTTTATATTAGAAAATAGGAATGGCATTTTATGGGACAGCATTTCCTTCTATAGCTGCCAAACTGAGCACAGGCGTGGTCACCATATGGTGCACAAACTGACAGCATATTTCCAATTGGGCATAACATCATGGAGAGAAAACCCAGGAGCAAGAAGCACCTGTTTCACTGCACTTGCCCATTCAGGAGGCCTGGAGGGGACTGAGACAACTACATTTTATAGTTCTGGGTTAAGTTTACCCATGATGTATAGATTGGCTATAAATACAGCAATAAAACCAAGTAAAAAGAACAGGAAAAAATATACTTAGGATAAAAAACTACCCAGTCCTGTTTGTGATTTTTTTTTTCCCCTTTAGATTTAAGGTAATTAGAATAGATTGGGAAATGATTTAGGATTACCCTTCCCACCCTGGAAATGTAACATCCTACTTATGTTCCATGAAAAGAACACAATAATTGTTCAACAGCAAGATTTAGTTTCTCTAAAAAACAGGAGCACTTTGCTCTAATTTTCACAGAAGGACTGCAGAAAATTTTCCAACATGAAAGCTAGAAATTGAGGCCAGTAAAGAAGCTTCTTTAGTAATCAGGACCTATCATAGTTAGAGCTCTTTGGAATGTGTCTCATACATACAAAGGTATCACAAATTAAATCTTCAGCATATTCATAAGTTCTTAAATGAGAAAGATTTCTAATGACAGATAAAGGCTCCCATCGGCAAATTAAATCTGATAACTCAATCTTTCCCAACTAACAACTGAACATAGCCTCTGGAATCAAATGTAAAGATCACTCAATCATGACGATGTAAGATGAAGTATAGATGAACAATACATATGAAAAAATTTTGTAAACCGCTGCAGTTCTAAAACAGATTTATATTACAAAGCAATGTAAATAAATACTGGGCTAGTACAAAAGCTCTTATTTACAGTTTTACAAATGAAATTGTATTCAGTGTAAATGCTGTGTTTTAAAGAACACAGTATTGTATTAGTAAAATTAGTTCTGTTGAGGGCATTACAGTTTGTTAGAATCAATGCATAACATATAAAAGGTTCAAGTTAACTCTGTTTATAATTTAGTACAGACAACCCAGTTTAACCTGGAATGGCATCTGTTAAAGTGCTGAAAAAACAGGAAATATTTAGAAAACACTGTACATTATTAAAGCTTTATCAAGTCAGAATGTTAAACTTCGTTCACATTTTTATCCTTTTGCCACAGGCCTGTGGGCAAGATGATTTTTTTTCAGCAAAGGAGTAAAACGTAGAGGCCACTGCTGCTTTGATGATTTTAGGTTCAGTGGAATTAGTTTCTTAAAATAACTATTTATCCATCGACCATACCTTCAGGCCTCATAATCTGGTAAGTAATTAAATACTCAGGATAAGCCTGGAAGAGAAAGATAAATTCAAATAATGGTACAAAAATTTTCTTGAAAGATAAACAGACTTTCCGGAAGTATTCCTAATCTTAGGGAGGAGGTTCTAAATTACTGTTGTAGATCAGAATCATCTAGGGACATTTTCTCAAAACATCTTTACCCTGAGTACAGTTCTTCAGATTTTCAATCAGCAAGTCTAAGATGAATACTAAGTTCATAAGTATCAGATAAGACTAAAATCATGTCTGATTTTAGTAACTGCGGTGATTCCGATACCTACTCCCAGTTCACAACACTGCTCTAGAACTACTTTTGGCTCTCACTGAGAGCAAAACACAGTTATATACTTCTTTGCTATGGACAGGCTGTTAAATACAAGATTTCAATTATTTATAAGAGCTAAGAAAAATCCGGAACGACTGGCGAAATTTGAATAAAATCTTCTTGTTTTTAGGAAATTTACAATTGAAATAGTTAATGGTAAAGGGACATGCCCTGCAACTTACTCTCAAACAGTTCACAAAAAAATAGGTACACACACAAGGAAAGAAGGAGAGAATGGTAAGAGTAAAAAAGAGAACAAAATATTAACATTTAGGAAATCTAGGTAAAGGTTATAAGAAAATTCTCTTTACTATTTTTGTAACTTTCCAAATCTGAAATTATCTCCAAATAAAATTTTTAAAAAATCCAGTTAAGGCAATATGTCTTGTCAATTCAAGAGATTAATAAAAAGTTAAAGTATGCCTCCCTAGCATTTTTGAAGATGAACAAATAAAACTACATTACCTGTTCTCCTCTGTAAATAACATATTCAGCTAATGCTAGGCCATTTACACTGGGCCTACCAGTGACTGAGTGATGACCTGGAGGAGAATGTGCCATTTTCATTGCACTGAACTGCAGGAAAGACTTTCCCAAGGTTACCCGGCAAAAGAGCAGCTGCCTATAAAACGAAAAGGAAAAGATCACCCTGAAGTCAAATTTGATACATAAATATGACAATGTGTGGACACGGCATAAGTTTTAAAAAATTATTTATACATAAATACTTATAATTGTTTTTATCATTTCACCCCTAAAAGAACTTTTTAAGAATGTCTTCTATTACTCTTATTAATGAAATAATTTGTCAATTTAGTTAGTCCTTATTTTAACTATAAAATCTGAAAAATGTAATAACCTTATAGAGATACAGACTCTACCACCTTGTTTGTATCTCAGCAAAAAACAAAAGTCACTGGCCAAGTGGGAAGGAGAAGGTTTAGTGGACTTCCATTAAGTGGCTTGCAAAGTTGGACACATATCTAATTAACTCCAGTTGATTTTACCTTCAAAATATATTTGAAATCCATTTACTTTTCTTAATTCTACTGTCACTATTAAGTCAAATCACTGAAATATTCACCTGGACTATCACACAATGGCTTTCTAAACCAGTCTTCCTGTTTCTTCTGTAATTCCTGTCCAAACCTTTCCCATCCAACTAATTAAAACAAACAAAAATTAGATCAAGTCACTTTTCTGCTTAAAACCTTTTAGAGGCTGTCACTGTACTTGGGAGAAAATCCAAATTCTGTACAATGGCTCCAATTTCTTGAATCTCATTTTATGTTCATTATGCCCCATGCACATTAGTTTTCTTTTCTTCACAAAGGCCAAACTTGCTTTATTAATGGTCCCCATCCACAGAATTTTCTCCACCATTGGAATGTTATCTATTTTACCACTCTTCCACTGGCTGATACCCACTCAATTTTCAGACTTCAGCTGAAATGTTACTTCCTTAGATAGGAAGTAAACTGGTAGTCTCCCCTCACCACCAGTTTCAGTAGATTACCCTCTCACTCCTCTCAGGCATGTGACTAGCCTTTCTTAGTTTCAAACAACCTTTTAGTATTAACGTCATTGTTTCTTTTTAGAAGATAACAGGAGATTTCTGTAGACCAGTTGATGGTTCTATCTTCCAAAGAAGAGGGAGGTATTAGAATGCTGCTTATTACTAATAATCAGAACTATTTAGCCTTCAGACCATATATGACAAATAAAAACAGCAGTGTTCAATTTACAGGAAATTACATGCCTCCTAACCACTCCAATTTATGATCTAAAATAGAAGTGAGTGGGACGTCATACATAGGAGGGCCTACTGTGTACTACCTATGCAGGCCTAAATTTAGAGGGGTAACAGTAAGAACAAAACAAACACAAAGAAAGAACCTGTTTCCCTCCATGACTGCAATTCTTCAGCTCGGAAGCCCTTTGAAATCAACTGGGAAGCTTTTAAAAATTCTAATATCCAGATCATGCCCCAGACCAATTAAAAGAGATTCTGTGAGGGTGGGACACAGGCATTAATAGTTTTTTAATATTCCCTGGGTGATTCCAATGTGCTGCCAAAGTGCAAAGTACTGCTCTAGGGGTTTTTTTCTAGATCAGTGGTCAGAAATACAGTGTCACATCTGGGAACTTGGTAGAAACTCAAATTCTAGAGTCTCATCCCAGATCTACTAAATCAGCAACTGAGAAGGTGGAGCCTAAGAATCTGTGATTTAAACAAGCCATCTAGGTGACTCTAATGCATGCTAATGCTTGATAAACTACTGCTCTGTATATTCAATAAGCAGTGCCCTAACTGTCGAATAAATCTCAGGAATTAATCTTACTGGATTTTTCAAGTGGCATTACTTTTTGCCTATAAGGATTTTATAAGTTAGGGACAAGTTACTTAAATGATTTTTAACAAGTGAGTTAGAACAGGTAATTAAAAGTGGAAAAAAAAAGTGCAAAGTAGTTATTTGATTATTATTTCCTTTCAAAAAGGATCAATGTTTTAATTTCAAGTTCTTATAGTAATATTGCAAATTGAGGATTAGGATCGTATCACAGTGGAAGAGAGGCTCAGGCACTGCCATCAAATAATTAGATTTGACAAATAATGCCATTTTAGCATTTGAATACTAGATTTTTAGAGTCCACAGAGTCCTACAATACTCAAGGGCTACAATAAAGCCTCTTTCATGCCTAATGTTACTTTCTACTCAGTATGCTTTAAGGCACCAGATATTCTAATGATTAAATTAGCCAAACAGGTCAAGTGCTTAAATTATAATTGGCCCATACGGATCATTTAATAAATATTAGCTATTATTACAATTGGTGAGAGGGCCAAAAGCAATCTAAAACATGCCTAGCTTGCATTCCTAAGACTGTCCAACATAATGCTTTGCCCTCAAAAATGCAACTAGTTCTTATCTGATTACCACCAAAATAAATGAGAACAAGTGATCTCTTACCTGTGGCAAATGTAACAAGATCTGTCTTTGTGAACTGGACACCCAGTACCTCCTCCAATTCCATATACATATTGATTGCTTTTGGAAGAGTTTTCAGCAAAATAAATGCCAGCTCCAAACATACCACCTATGTACGCATGCCTTTCATCAAAGCCTTTGTGGATAATTGCATTCACAAAAGGAGACCCTGAAACACATATAGATGGGTAACAATAATTTAAAATTTATCTTAGAATAAAAAGTAAAAAACTAGTTTCTTAGAAACTGAATTCTTAAATATATAGCCCAACCATAATAAAGCCAAAACGAAAAAGGGTAACAAGTTAACTGTCAGCCAGCTATTTTAGAATAAAGAACTGCTAACATCAACTAATGTTTCTAACAGAGTGCTGGTTTATGTGCTAAAATAAGGACACAGATTGAACTAGAAAAACAGAGTACTTGAAATATCAGTGTAAGAGTTACCAAATGCCAGACTGCAAATCCATAAAAATCTAAAACCAAGAGGCTCATAATTCACTTTAGATAGCAAAGCTAAATGCAATTAGGTCTTAGAATGATGCCTATGCCTGTGTGCTTTTTTGAAGATACCAAGTGGCCCAAGTAGACTTTCACATTCTTTTTTTTTTTAAATTTTTTTGAGATGTAGTCTCGCTCTGTGGCCCAGGCTGGAGTGCAGTGGCATGATCTTGGCTCACTGCAACCTCTGCCTCCCGGGTTCAAGCAATTCTCCTGTCTCAGCCTCCTGAGTAGCTGGGACTATAGGTGCACACCACCATGCCTGGCTAACTTTTGTATTTTTAGTAGAGACAGGGTTTCAACATATTGGTCAGGCTGGTCTCAAACTCCTGACCTCAGGTGATCCACTCACCTTGGCCTCCCAAAGTGTTGGGATTACAGGCGTGAGCCACCGCACCCGGCCCAACTTTCACATTCTTATTCTCTTTCTTATACCTCTTCTCTTCTATCCTTCCACTTCTGCCTTTCATTAATTACGATACAAGATTCTATCTGCAAATGTGGTGCTTTCCCTCACCCCCTGCACATTGACTTCTCTCTCCTCTTTCCTTGGGAGTGGAGTAGAGTGGGGGATGGAAAAAGTCAAAAAACCACAGCTAATTCATTTATCAAGATCACATTCCCTTTCCACAGACAGACAGGAAAATATACTGAATTCTACTTTACAGAAATACAGATGAATAGAATCATTTTTTGAATTAACTTGGGAAAACCAAAATTATTTATATTACAAATTAGAAAAACCATATTATAACCATCAATTAACAGATAAATAAATATGCTCTGTGTCAAGAGATTATCATGATAATTATTTAGGGTTTTGGAATAAGGAGTGCAACATGTTTAGATTCTGCACATGAATCCATTCTGTTACAGCCATTCTCCCAGGGTATTATGAAATTTACTGTGTTTTAGAGAACTTTACAGGTCTCTAAAATTTTTCTGCAATCAAGGACAAATGAAGAAACAGACTGGAACTACTATGGGTAATGTACTTGAAGCCCTCATAAATACTACATTAATATGTTTAACTTTGCTAAAATTTGAAAGACTAATCAACACCTGCCAGCTTATAATACAAAAAAAGTAGAAAATTCCAAGAAGAATAAGTAATTGTGCTTTCAATTCAATTCTATGGTTTCAATTCTACAGTCATCAGAAACCTCTACAGGTTCAATAACAATGGCTCTTTTCAAATTGTGTGGGTTTGATACTTAGAATCAAAATCAGAATAGGATGTACACCTTCTTCTGAGGTGATTCCCAGGTCTTATTTTTAATTCAATCAACTAGTTAAATGGAAAACACAAAATTTCCTAGAGTGACCATAAGCAAAATTTACTATTTAAAGAAAAAAGGAAAAGATAGTCAACACTCTCATTTCTATTTTTATTGTGGTAATCTTATTTAAAAACAATCCATTATAAAATACACAAATTCAAAAGAAGTTGAAAATATAAATGTGAAAGTTACAGAAATAGTAGGTTTATCTTAAAATACTGACATAAAGAATATACAGGCTTATTATTATTTCATATCTGAACAAAAAAACTATCCTAATGTGGAAGACAGTGGTAGAGTTGGTGGGGAGGAATCTTACCATGAAATAGCATTCGTTCATTGGCATGGTTGTGGTTTTCTTCAGAAACTTCTTTTCTCCGGTGAGTGTATCTTTCCCATAGTTTCTTGTTACAAACCTTCTGAATCTATAAAAAATAAACCAGAAAAATCAAATCTTTAGGAATTACTTACTGACTTCTTCATCTAAACCAAACATGGGACATACATTTAGCTAGAAGGTAGGCAAAACTGTACTCTGAAATATAAAATGTGTTATTTTAATCAACTAAAAATACTTTGTCCCAACCATAAAATTGGAAGTATAGCTACATTTTGGAGATTAAAAAAATTCAAAGAAAAAAAGGCCATATGTGAAGGTCAGGAATACTGTTAATTTATTAAAACACTTCCATTCTCATTAACTTAAAACTATTACAAAAACACCTCCAAATCAGACATGCCGAGTTTTTTCTGTATAAAGTACTAGAAAGAGAAGAATATCCTTTTTCCCCAATGTATTTGTCTGAGTTCCATATTAATCTGTTTTAAATTAAGAATATTTGAAATAGCGTCCCCCACCCCTCAACACATACACAATTACTCCCTCGACCTTCTGATTCAGAAAATTTTTGTCCGCAGAAGATTTTAAGGTGGATATCAGTCTCATTAGGAGTATTTCTAGGAACAAAATTCACAATACTAGTGTTGTTTCTTAGCTGTGTTTAAAGGTGCTACAGCCCCCTGCTGGTTCCTAGAGCACACCTGGAAGCTGATGGTTTTAGTCTTGGCTCAAATAATGCAAAATATTGCCACAGATGTAATCAAGGATCGTAACTGTCACAAATAGATCTCATTTATGCATTAAAAAGGAACAACAACAACAAAAAAAACCCGTTTCATCACTGAAAAAATTTTTATTACACAACGCATGAAAATACCTTTATTAGAGGAAGAAAACTGTATCTTTCTCAAATCCAACTACTTTAGAAATCAAACACACAACCTCTCTCCTGCTCTCACTCCTAACAAAACTCCACACATTTTGTTAATGCTTGTAGACAAAGTGGACTTGACTGAAATGTACCTGTAGTAGGCATGTATTTGCCTGATTACATATTATACTCATAGTATGTTATGAAACAGTAATACAATACAGCTGAAAGATTTGATACTGTTCAGAGTTTAGCATTTGTGTATTAGAAAGGCATTTGTCACATATTAATTCTGTCTTATTTTTACAATTATTAGGAATATACTGCATCAATGTAGTTAATACGAATTCATTATGCATCAAGTATGGTGTGCAGTTTTGATTACTATAGTTCAAGAAAAACATAATGTTGAAAAAGTTCCTAAGAAGAGTAACTGAAATCAGTAAGACAGCAGTCACTAAATGACTCAAAACATTTTTAAAATATATTTTTCTGGAAAAGATGAAGAGAGTACTATTAAAGTTTATAAAAAGATAATATATTTGGGGACTTTCAGAAACCTGTAGTCAATCAGGATAAAAAAATAAGCATTGTATGACTATAAAGATGGTATCCGCCACAAAAAAAATTCAGCTTTGTTACAATAGAGTACTTTAACAGTACTTTATATAAAGTATTGAACCTATAGTATTTAGCATTACCCCAAGATAAAGCATAACCCATAAACTTGAATATGTTCAACAAGAATTGAATTATTATCCTTTATTAAAAATAGCACAGGGATTTGGAGAATATTAACCTTCCAAGGGTATCCTCTTTCCCAAAATAGTCTCTGATGCCAAGTCAAGGACTTACCAGGCTAGACAGATTAGATTCTTATGAAAGTTACTTATGGCTTCAGGCTTTGAAAACGACAGTCTCAGAAAACTTTACTTTCACTAATTTATTACCTTGAGAATATTGTATCTGTTGAAGATTCCACCTGCATGACCTCCATCTCTGTGCTCTCGAACTGTACTTTGCATCTGTCAGAAAAATGGTTTGAAATATATGTGCATTAGCATTTGTGTTATTTTCTGATTTGGGGAACATGGTTCTTGACTCGTCTGATTCTATTTTTGAGAATACAAAACAGGTTTTAATATTTTTGTTATTCAAAGAATATGAGGGCTGGGCATGGTGCCCCACTTTGGGAGGCCGAGGCAGGTGGACTGCCTGAGCTCAGGAGTTCAAGACCAGCCTGGGCAACATGGCGAAACCCCATCTCTACTAAAACAAAAACAAAAACAAAAACAAAAACAAACACAAAAAACAAAGAATATGAGTCTTATAAATTCATGAGTAATATTTTCTAGAGTAATATTACTCTAGTAATATTAGATAATCAGCTTGAAAACAGATTTTATAGGTGAAAATTATATAATGCAAACTAAAGGAAGAAAAAGAAACAAGAGGATACAAAGTGAACTAAATATATACGGCAAACCTACTATTGAAGTTATATGAACATACCTCTTCCTCCACAGACTGAAACTCTTTATCATCAGGAGACAGATCTATAAGAATTGTTCCACTACCAGAGGTGTTCAAAGTTAAATATGGGTTAAGACCTATGAAACAAAATTTGAAGGTAGAAAAATAAATTGCCAATAAACAATGAACATCAAAACCAAAAATAACCACCTAATTTTTCTGATTCTTACTACCAATTTTTTTTTTTAAACTTTTTTTTTTTTTTTTGAGACAGAGTTTCACTCTTGTTGCCCAGGCTAGGCTGGTGTGATCTTGGCTCACCACAACCTCCGCGTCCTGGGTTCAAGCGATTCTCCTGCCTTAGCATCCCGGGTACCTGAGATTACAGGCATTCGCTACCACGACTGGCTAATTTTGTATTTTTAGTAGAGACGGAGTTTCTCCATGTTGGTCAGGCTGGTCTCGAACTCCCGACCTCAGGTGATCCACCTGCCTTAGCCTCCCAAAGTGCTGGGATTACAGGTGTGAGCCACTGCACCTGGCCGCTTACTATCAATTTTAAAAACATTTCATAGTGTGATAATTTAGATATTTAGAAAGGATGAAAGTACAGAGTTCCTATGTACCCTTCACCCACTTTCCCCTAATGTTACCATTTTATATAACCATAGCACATTTGTCAAAACTTATTAACTAAATTATAGATGTCATTTTTTCACTAGTTTCCCCACTTATGTCCTTTTTTTTGTTCTAGGATCAAAACCAGTACACATACCACATTGCATTTAGACTATTACTTTTTGACCTGACAAGTTATAAGGGGTTTTATGGAAATATTTCAGAAAATCTTTCTCTTATCTCCTATTCTTAATGAGTTTGTAACACATTTTCTTCTTCAAATTACTTTCTTTACTAACTACGCAGCCCTTTCAACATTTAATCTCTTTCTTCTTTGTAAATATGAGGAAGAATTATGACAGAAACTTGCATAGCCTCAGGTAATTTTAAATCACCCTAGAATGAGAAATCCACAGTTTACCACCTATTGAATGTATATTCTGTCCCATAATAGATTGTTTACCTCAGCAATGAATTTGTGTGTTTTCCAAATGTCAATGATCAAGATAATCATATCTATTTTTCTATCTTTATTCTTATAAAAGCTTTTTAAATGGAATTTTAAACAGAATTTTCTAATTCCTTTGGTGTATTTGTAGCACAACTCTCTCCTTTAATCTCTACAACAATATCTCCAACACTGCTGTTTTCCCATGTAGGGGCCAAATCCTTTACTGCTGGGTTAGTGCATGGAAGTTTGTCTCTGGAGATGAAGAGCACTATTCTGGTTCAAAGCTATGGTCTGAAGAACAGGACTACTACCAACATGCCAATGCTAATAAACACTTACAGAAGTGGCTGAACTGCAATAATCTTTAAGGATTATGAAGAGCATATGGAGAGTGTTTTACAGAATAAAGACTGTGACAAATGCTTGACTGAGGCATCTGCAACATATACAAGATGATATTTATCAATACTGAAAGATCAGTATGGTACTAGTCATCTATTGACTTGATGCATTGAATGATAGGTAAGGCTGTTAAGTCAGCATGATAGATTGTTAGAAGATCATCACAGGCAGCTACCAGTTCCACTTTGCAAATCAGGTGTAAGTACAGAATCCCTGTTGGTTGACTAACATCAGGTTGGGGGAAAAAAAGAGTATTGGCTTTGAATGAACATAAAGAAGATGGTAACTTTATGTAGTAAAGTAACCCTGATATGCTAGATCAGACACAGCATTTTGTCTCATGACGTTTCTTCTTCATATAGGAATGAATGTTCCTATCCAAGTGGAGCTGGATGTATCAGAGTGACTACAGGACCAGAGGTGGCATGGAAGTACCTCTGCCATTTGGAGGCAATGTATCCATTTCTGTCATTGAGCCTTTCAGCTTTTCAGTGCAGTCCTAATAGCTATGATATGTTTAATACACAAATACTGCCTGCTTTCCTTTTCTACTCTGCCTCTTTCCTAAAAGACTCTTGTTATCCTGGTACTCCAACATAATTGTTATCATACCAGATCAGTATTATTCCAGTAGAGTTACAACGATGGTCTACAACTGAGGGTTCTAGTTTCTCATTTTTAGTGCTAATTATATTGTATACTAATATTTCAGGAAATCATGGACTTTCCCTCCTCTTTATCTTACAAAAATTTGTCCTCTATACTAGAAACAGCCAAGAGCATATTGCACTTTAAATTTCTTATCCTAGTCCTTATCAGGCAGTAAAATACATCTACCTTTAATTGAGCTTATTCTAAAATACCAGTTTAAAGTATTCCTTAGCTTGAATCATCTACATTTTTAGAGGTGCTCTTATTTCTTCAGAGGTGGACCCCATCCTGGCTAGCATACATTCTTCCCTGAAAATACCTTCATTTTTACTGATGGAGGTTTCTCTTTAACCCCAGGTGTACAGCCAGGACGTTCAATTATTGGATATTTTTGACCCCAAGATAAATCACTCCCTCAGTTGAACAATAAAGTTAAATGTGGTTTTGACACTTAAAACAATTCACCTTTTTATTTTTATTTTTTGAGACGGAGTCTCGCTCTGTCAACCAGGCTGCAGTGCAGTGGCGTGATCTCAACTCACTGCAAGTTCCGCCTCCCGGGTTCACGCCATTCTCCTGCCTCGGCCTCCCGAGTAAGTGGGACTACAGGTGCCCGCCACCACGCCTGGCTAATTTTTTTTTGTATTTTTAGTACAGATGGGGTTTCACCATGTTAGCCAGGATGTTCTCAATCTCCTGACCTCGTGATCTGCCCACCTCGGCCTCCCAAAGTGCTGGGATTACAGACATGAGCCACTGAGCCTAGCCAAAACAATTAACCTTTTTATTTTTTTATATTATTTATTTATTTTTTTTGAGATGGAGTCTCGCTCTGTCGCCCAGGCTGGAGTGCAGTGGTGTGATCTCCACTCACTGCAAGCTCCGCTTCCCGGGTTCACGCCATTCTCCTGCCTCAGCCTCCTGAATAGCTGGGACTACAGGTGCCCACCACCACGCCCGGCTAATTTTTTGTATTTTTAGTAGAGATGGGGTTTCACCATGTTAGCCAGGATGGTCTGGATCTCCTGACCTCGTGATCCACCTGCATCGGCCTCCCAAAGTGCTGGAATTACAGGCGTGAGCCACCGCGTTTGGCCACAATTCACCTTTTTATACCCAGACCTGGTATAAAGTGTTAACATCTGCTGAATAAATGCAATTTGCATTTTCCTTAAGCACCAACATTAAGGAGAAATAAAAATATTATTCAACTTTGTTTTGTTCAATTTCCTCAGTTGCAACATTATTGCTTTCCAGTATTTTCATCCCAAGCGCTTAAAATTTTATCTACATAAGAGATCTACTATAGTACTTTAAGGGTTAGCCTGAACACTTAGTTATTATCTATTATATTACCATAAGAAATGTGATACCTAAGTTTCAGACCTTTAAAATAATACAATTTAAGAGCTAGAATAACTTCAGAAAATAATCTCAAACTAACTTCCTTATTTTCAGGAGCTAAAACAATTCCCAAATTTCTGAATGGTCCAGAAATTTTACTTAGGTTCACATCGTTAACAGCAGCAGCTCAGTAAGTTTAAGTCAGTAGCACAGCTAAGACTTAATCCCAGTTTCCTGAATCCTAAATTAGTATTCTTCCTATTAAACAGATTCTCTCATATTTTTAAATTATAACTTAGTACACTGAGGGTTGCCTTTATGCAAACTGTTAAACTGACAACAGCAATTATTAAAATAAAATACCTTGTTGTCCGGAGATAAGTCTCTCGACTCCTTTAATTAGTTTGTGCCTATGTCCATAAGCATTGATTCCAATCTCCTTCAGCTCCTTGTGCCCCATCTCAACTAATACATCCAAAGTGATCTTACAAAAGAGGAGGAAACTACTTAGAATGCTTACTTATTTGGTGGACATTCATATATTGGTGTTTTCATAATATGTAAGATTCACACATTTACTCCAGATTATTTTAAACATTTCTAAAAATATTATTTCCATTTAGCATAAGAACCTGAGCAGAACTAAAACGCAAAACAAAAAGGCACTTTCAAATTAACCACATTCAGGTATTCTATTTTATCTTTTCCATAATACTTTTCTACCATCACTCTACATCCAACCCTATTTATATAATGTCTTTCAATGGTTCCTGCTGAGTCTGGACTATGCCAAGTGGTACTTCTGCATCACTGTTCAAAGTAACCCTTTTACCTTTAATACAGTAATACACTATGGCTTCATGAAATTGAAGCCATTCTTTAAAATCCTGTTTTACTTACACACGTTCCATGAAGCATTCCCTGATGAGCCTAGCTCACGGTAATCCTTTCCTTCTTCAAATTTCTGTTTTTTTATTTTTGAGACGGAGTTTCACTCTCGTTGCCAAGGCTGGAGTGCAAAAGTGCAATCTCAGCTCACTGCAACCTCTGCCTCCCGGGTTCAAGCGATTCTCCTGCCTCAGCCTCCTGAGTAGCTGGGATTACAGGTGCCCGCCACCACGCCCAGCTAATTTTTTGTATTTTTAGTAGGGAAGAGTTTCACTATATTGGCCAGGCTGGTCTTGAACTCCTGACCTCAGGTGATCCACCCGCCTCAGCCTCCCAAAGTGCTGGGATTACAGGCATGAGCCACCGTGCCTGGCTCCCTTCTACAAATTTCTAAAATCTATGCTAAAACTTGAATTTTCATATGTTCTTTTTTTTTTTTTTTTTGAGACCGAGTCTTGCTCTGTTGCCGAGGCTGGAGTGCAGTGGTGTGATCTTGGCTCACTGCAACCTCTGCTTCCCGGGTTCAAGCAATTCTTTGCCTCAGCCTCCCGAGTAGGTGGGATTATAGGTGCCTGCCACCATGCCTGGCTAATTTCTTTGTATTTTTAGTAGAGACGGGGGTTTCACCATCTTGGCCAGGCTGGTCTTGAACTCCTGACCTCAAGTGATCCACCCACCTCGGCCTCCCAAAGTGCTGGGATTACAGGCGTGAGCCACTGCACCCGGCCATATGTTCTTATTCTAATTCCATAACTACAATGAAAGTCCCTTAGAGTGCAAATCTACAGTAACATTATTTTCTGAACAACAACAAAAATCAGTAAATGTATTCTGACAGAGTACTTTAAACTGAGACTGCTTAGAAAAGCCCAGATATGGCTGGCATATTCATATACCTTCCCATAGCAGCTAGAAAAGTGTCAGGCTTGAGAGAGAACTGAATAGACAGTGCTCAAGGATAACTTACTTCAAGAACTGAATAAGCTAAACTTTCCATTCAAGAAAGCTACTTTACCATTACTACTCGAGTCAACTGTGTGCGAATAAACTAAATGGAAGTTTCAAGGTCAAGCCAAATTAGAAGGCTGACTGATGTCATTTCTTAAAAAACATTCTCCCCCAATAGCTTACATGGTTCAGCTCATTTCAAGTATGTTCCAAATTTTCCTTGAGTTTCCATAAAACACTAATCCAAACAATATGATTTATCTACTCACCTGTTCTCTCTCAAATATATCCATTAGGTGCTCAAGTCCAAGATTCCTTACGAATTGAGTTATGCTAAAATCTACTCCTGGAACTGGGAAATAAAAAAATCCAAAACAAATGGAATTTCACATCAGAATAATGTATTTCATCACTATAACAGTAAAGTCTTGTAATGTTACTATATATGAAGAAAATAATATTAATAGCCACTTAGGATATAATACTGAACAAGAGAAAGCTACAAAATTTCAACATTAGAAAAAAGCTAATCAATGGGGCAGTCTCAGTACTCTCATTTTTATTTTAAACTTTGTTTTTAATTGCATCTATATTTTTAAAACCAGTTTTCCTATCTTTCAGGATGTAAGCTACTTCACAAAAAAGTTTATGAAAACAAGCTCCACACTGTTGCATAAGGTGGGATGAATTTTAACAGAAAAGGTTTACATCTAAAGAGCAGATTAAGGGCGGGGGGCGGTGGCTCACGCCTATAATCCCAGCACTTTGGGAGGCCGAGGCGGGTGGATCACCTGAGGTCAGGAGTTCAAGACCAGTCTGGCCAAAATGGTGAAATCCCATCTCTACTAAAACTACAAAAATTAGCCGGGCATGGTGGTGGGTGCCTGCAATTTCAGCTACTCGGGAGGCTGAGGCAGGAGCATTGCTTAAACCCTTGAGGCAGAGGTTGCAGTGAGCCGAGATCGCGCCACTGCACTCCAGTCTGGGCGACAAAAGCAGAACTCCATCTCAAAAATAAATAAATAAATAGTAGGTTAGTAGCACAAGACTCTTCAACTGTCAACTTGGAAGGAAGAAAGTAATACAAGGTTAAACCTTTTTAAGGCTATGTTAACTAATTTTATACTAATACCTTGTATTTAAGGTTAAAAATGACTTTTTAGCATCCCAAATGACAAATACGGGGCTACAATACCAGTTAGAAAGTTATTTTTGTAGAACGTCTCACCCTCCTTTTTCTCCAAACTGGAAGCACCCTCTGTTCCACTTGAACTAACTACTGAAGACAGTTCTGAAAAACTCCCAGATAAGTTGTCAAGACTGCTGGCTGCAGAAAGGCTTGATGGGCTAGATGGACCTGAAGAGAGAGCATCTGCAGTGGCTCCTGGGCTTCTCACACCATTGAGCACTTGAGGCTTGTAACAAGAGGGCAGAGCAGATGGGGGCATGGCTGCTGTCAGAAGAGCGCTGACATCATCCGCCTAGGGTACGTGTCAGAGACAACATCTGCCATAAGCAAGTTTTAAAATGCTATTATACCTAATAAAATATATTTAAAAATATGAGAAAACCCAGCAATTTGTGCCAGTACTATCACAATGGAGGATTATTCATTTTAAAAAGTGAAGCAAACAGGTTAATACAGGTCAAACATCCCAAATCTGAAAATTTTAAAATGTTGACGTGAAGCTCAAAGGAAATGTTTATTGGAGCATTTTGGATTTCAGATTTGGGGATCGGGGATGCTCAACAGTAAGTATAATGCTTGAGTATAATATTTCAAAATCTGAAAAAAATATCCAAAAGCCGAAAACACATCTGGTTCTAAGCATTTCCGATAAGGGATATTCAACCTGTATCCAGCTAAACTGTTATTAAAATATAAGACATAACTGAGAACATCTCTTCCAAAACACATATTGTCAAAATATAATTTAAATATGGCAAAGCATGAACAAAACCCTAATTCTGATACTGTGACTGAGAAGCACAACGAATTACAGAAATATCAATTTTAAAAGGTAAGAGATTTTAGTCCTATTGTAGTTACTCTGAAAGAAGTAATTCAACCTACACAGAACTTTAGCAAACTGAATTGTTTGTATTTCCTGGAAAATATTCAGCAATGTATTTGTTCCTTAAAACTGAAAGTTTTTTGGAGAGGAGGTGGGTAGAAAAGATAATCATTTTAATCAAATCTGCTAGAATGGGGCCAGGTGCAGTGGCTTATGCCTGTAATCCCAGCACTTTGGGAGGCCGAGGTGGGTCGATCACTTGAGGTCAGCCTGGCCAACATGGTGAAACCCCATTTCTACTGAAAATACAAAAATTATTAGCTGGGTGTGGTGGCGCATGCCTGTAATTCCAGCTACTCGGGAGGCTGAGGCAGCAGAATCATTTGAACCTGGGAGGCGGAGGTTGCAGTGAGCCCAGATTGTGCCACTGCACTACAGTCTGGGTGACAGAGTGAGACTTCCATCTCAAAAAAATAATAATAAATAAAAATTAAAAAAAATCTGCTAGAATGGAAAAAAGTCCTCACATTTATTGGTACATTAATTTGTTTAATTTGTAATATGTACTCTTCTTTCACAACGTTCAACTAATGTTCAGCAAGGAATAAATTAGTACTTGTTTCATAGTCATTTGTTCTGACTATTCCAGTCATCACCTTTCTCTTCCCCCAGTCTATGCATTCCCATTGCACTCACAATTTGTAAATGACATTTGTTTATAATAATAGTACCATTTATTGAGTGCTTTTTATGTACCTGATACCATGCCAAAGACTTTAAGTAAATTACCCCATTTAATTCTCATACTAACCAGATATATTTTACCTCTATCTATAGATGAGGTAACTAAGGTTTAGAGGTTAGGCAGTTCATAAGATTGTACAACTTAAATCGTGCAGCTGGAATTCTAGGCCCAGTCTGTCTGACTCTAAAGCCCCTGTATGTTCTCTACAGCATTTTGCTTCATTGTAACTTAATTGTATCTGGTCAACTAACATATGGGTGGAATGAATTCCAAATGTTCACTTTTAAGGTAACTTGGAACTAGAAAGATATTTCCCTGAAGAGATAATGTTGTAAATATGGCTGGGTTGTTAGCTGACTGAGAAAAACCTACTTAAGCACCAATGCAGCTGAACTACCTCAGTTTCTTATTGTAATGTGGAACAATGTAATCTTTCTCAGTAGAAAGCAGTCTGCAGAAAAGATTCCCCTTCCTTCTCATCTCAAAAAGAATTCCTTCCTCCTTTCTTTCCACTGCTCTAGTCAATGTCCTCAGTGGTAGAGGCAAGAGAGGCATCTGCTTCAGTGCCCAAAGCAGAGGTGGAAGGTTCAGTGGAAGCTCCTACACCTGCTCCATGCTCTGGAGAGAGGGGAAGGAAAACAGGACCTCCACAGGAAAGTGGATAATAGACTTGTTTCATGAACAGTTAAGGTAGGGTGAGCAACAAGAACTCTGGGATGAGGCAGTGTGGGAGGAAAAGGAATCTCTACTGGCAGCAGGGTTTGTGGCTGCACCTTGGGGGGCAATGTTCCCAGTTGGGGCCGTGTGTAAGACCCATGGTCTGTACCATCTGCGCTGTATGCACTATAAGTAACAGCATTTTCTGAGGGCCTGGGTCTGTTTAGTTTCCTAACTAACGTAAGCAGTTATATCATGTACTTCTTTTTCCTATTTCCAAAATACTCAGTATATAATAACTGATTGATAATTCTATTCTACAGAAGGATAATTATATTACTTTATAATTCTATTATATTTTAATACTAAAGAACTCTTACATTAAAATCAGGCTAAAACCCAGATTTTGCCATTCACATTGACTATAAAGACATTTTATAATAACATCAAGTGAATTTTAACAAGTCAGAAAAGCACTGAGATTTTTCAAAAAGCCCATCACTTACTGAAACTAAATCTAAAGGTGTTTGTCCTTCCTGATTTTTAAGAGTCGGGTCAGCTCCATGGGCTAGCAACAAAGCACAAAGCTGTGTTCGTCCCTTTTGGGCTGCTTCGTGCAAAGGTGTGAAAGCCCATTTGTCCGTGGCATTGACACATGCATTATACTTTATTAGTAGAGCTGCTACATCTACATGCTGTAAAAGAAAATACCCGTTACAGTCTGAAATATTATTTTGTCACACTTTACTTTCTTAAAATGAAACTAGTTACGTACCTACTTCCACATTTTCAAACTTATTCTGGAAATGAAAAGAAAAACTCTTTCTCCCCAACATCACAACTTATGAGTAGCTGATTAAAAATTACAGTGGACATTTCAATAACTTGAGAAACTATCTAGAAAAGAGTTAAGAATTCTATTTAGCAGGAAACTAGACTAATATGACTTCAATAATTTCTAATTTATTCAAATGTTATAACTACTAAATGTCAATTTATAAAGCAGCAATCTTCCTCAATTATTCAAACTATACCATTGAAGATGGTCAATTTTGAATGTCACATTGGACTATGATAAGTCAGGAACAATGCATCTGAATCTGTACAGATTCCATCTACCCCGTTGGTGCCCCAGTGGATTTTCTGGGTACCAACAAATAAACACAATCACCAACATCTCACTGAAAATAAGAGACAGGTGTTAAGGCAGATAATAAAACAAACAACAATACACCGCATATCACACAGCAAGCTTAGAACAGATTCAGAACCGAAATTTGGAAGTTATTTAACTTCTTTAGCTCTGCCACTTACTTCTCTGTAAAATGAGAACATCAAACTACATTCCATTTGAGCTGCAATACTGACTTTCACTTTAAAATTCCACAAATTTTTAAAGGTAACACGGAAGAACTTACCCCGTAAGATGCTGCATTATGTAAAGGAATAAGTCCTCCTTTGTCTTGGGCATTCACATCAGCTCCGTGTTGTAACAAATACTCTGCAACTTCTAAATTATTATAACCAGCTAATTTAGAAAAGAAGTAAAATTACTTTACTTGTTTTTTCTTTTTTAGTCCTATGTCATAATACTTCCACTTGTTAACATAAAAAAGTCATTACATGTATACATATATATATGTATTTATAAGGCATAGACATTACTGAAAACATAAAAAAAGAGATTTTGTATAAATCTGAAATAGCTCATTGGACTCTATTAACAATTTACCTTCTGGAAAACATTTCCCCCTTGCCTCAAGTTGGAAGCTTTTTGTGTTATCAATTAGCTTTGTAGATTCCCAAAATTATATTGACTGATTTGCTTGTATCTTTCCTATGAAAACCTTCCTACCAAAGTCTCTGCCTTCATGGGTGTTACATACCACTTCTTGAACTCAGGTACATGGGTCTCAGAGGCTGCAAGTCAAAGGTCTGCAATCACATACAAGTCAAACCAGAGTGGGCCTCAGAGTCCTCTTCCCCAGAAGGCCACAAGAGCATGCTTTTTTGCTAGAGAGAACTCAGAGGTACACATCTCTGCAAGTCTAGTAGAGGAACTTAGGTGCTGTTAAAGCCATGAAATAAAACTTATTTCTATTATAGTTTTTATCCTTTTGCTAAAGGATTTAAAGCAAAAGAATTTAAAAAGATCAAGTAAAGAAGAATACAATTATAAAACTACCATAAAATATTACATTAATCTAAAAGTCTTTCTAGGTCTCAAGGTATGGTATTTAACGCTGCAGAAGTGGACAGAAATATTTTATGCATACAAATTATTTGTGACTTACAAAGACAACTTGGACACAGTAATGTTAAGTGTTCTAGATAGGCTACAAGAAAGATATAAAAGCTAACATAAATATGCACAGCACAACTTCCAATCAAAGGTCAAGTCATATTTTGTCTTGCATGGACTAGAAACTCCTGATAGCCAGTGGAAGTAAAGCTTTTTCTCACCATGTTAGCATTTGTGGCTTATCACTTCCAAAATACTTGAAAGACACATAGAGTAATTGGTTTCTTTGGACAGTGAGGTCTCAACTTACATGGAGTGAGAATTTAAAGGTAAAAATCATGTATAACACCAAGTTATAATACAAGACTGAAATGAACATCATACATTTCCATCTCCCACATTACACGAAATGGCAGAAATTTTGCATTATTTTTTCTTGCTTTTTATACCATGTTTAAATCATGTATATTTAGACAAACTTGTATGAGTCCGCTGTGTCTATGATGGAACTCCACTGAGGTATTAGCTATAGCTCAGTGATTTTAATGATTTCCTAACATCTGTAATGCAGCTGAAAAAGCTGTACTGAAACCACAATATATTGTATATTTGCACTGAAAACAAAGGTACACTGTGCCAGTTTTATGAGTGAAACCTTAAAACAAATGTCACGAAATGAATTGTACCCTGCAAAATTCTTATGTTGAAGCCCTAACCCCAGTACCTTAGAATATGACTCTATTTGGAGACAGAGCCTTTAAAGAGCTAAAAAAGTTAAAATGAGCCCATTAGGGTGGGCTCTAATCTAATTTGACTGGTTTCCTTAAAAGTAGAGACTAGGACATATAGAAAGAGACACCATGTTCCAATGGAGGACACACTGAGAAGGTAGACAGCTGCAAGCCAAGAGGGGGTTTCAGAAGAAACCAACTCTGCCAACACCTTGAACTTGGACTCCTAGCCTCCAGAACTGTGAGAAAACAAATTTCTGTTGTTTAAGCCACCTGGTCTTTGGTATTTTGTTATGAGAACTCTCACAAACCAAAACAACAGATAACTTTGGTGAGAGGCTTATGTAACTTCTGAGAGTTTTGAGATTTTTTTTTTTTCCTGCTTGTGCTTAGCAGCTACCATCAGGAAAAATAGAAAGCTTTAGCTTCCTATAAGGAAGGCTGGCTCAAGTAGGCATATTTTTCAAAACTTGTTTACCAAAGGTGATACCAATAAAATGATTACCTGGAATAATGATTCCCAAAGCACATGGGGACTGGCAGAGCCTACTTCAATTGTTCTTACTGAATGTAACATACTAGTAATAAAGTGAACTCGAACTCAGCTAATAGCTTCAAGTACGGTCGTCCTGTACAAATACACTGAAGAGTATAATGGTGGCATTAGAAGATACTTGATTTGAATTTTTATTTATTTTTTTTATTTTTTGAGACAGGGTCTCACTTTGTTTCTGGAGTACAGTGGCACAATCAAGGCTTATTGCATCCGTGACCTCCTGGGCTCAATCTTCCCACCTCAGCCTCCTGAATAGCTGGGACTACAGGTGCACACCACCACTCCTGGCTAATTTTTGTAATTTTTTATAGAGGTGTGGTTTTGCCATGTTGCCCAGGCTGCTCTCAAATTCCTGGGCTCAAGCAATCCTCCTGCCTTAGCCTCATAAAGTGTTGGGATTACAAGTGTGAGCCACCATGCTTGGCCTGATTTGAATTTTTAAAGTTTAGTTACAGAAAATATTTTACCTGGGTAAAATGAATCTCAGATATTACCAGCCTAAATCTGTGAAACTTCATTCACTTACCTGCTAAATGTAAAGGTGTTGAATGTCTGCCTTGGGTATCGCGGCAATTTACATTATCAGGAGAAGACAACTTCTTCACTCTGGCTAAACAACCCTTCTTGGCAGCATCTAGCAAAGCTGCATCTCCCCTAAGCAGATCTTGAATATCTGTATCTCCATCTTTAACAAGATCCAAAGGAGTATTTCCATCCCTGTTTTTTTTTGTAGGGTCTGCACCATGCTAGGCATGTGAAAAACAGAAAAAAAGGGGGAAATGGCTTAAATGTGCCTTTGGTCAATGAGAAAATAGTCAGTGTTAACTATACCAAAGAAAAACTAAATTTATATTGAGACTCTACTTTGAAGGTTAACATCACTGTTACTAATGTTTATACAAAGAATTATTATAAAAAGAATACAGAGGCAGTTAAATATTACTGGATTTTTTAATGCATTAATGTAGTCAAAATTTTAAACTACATTCAAAATAAAGTCATATTTCATTAAAAATTAACTTTCATGTTATACTATTTTTACTTTTCATGAACATTTAAATAAAGTATAAATCTCTGTATTCTTGTTATTGTAAAATATCCACTGGTATCTGTACTGAACCAGTATCATCCATTTTATCAATGCTAAATAAATCTGGCTTGTAAGTAAATAATTCATCAAATATTTTTATATTTGATGAATATAAAAGTACCAAAGAGAAAAACTAAAAATAATAAGAGAACTATCACATGATAGTTGGCTCTAGACAAAAATAACTCTAGGTGCTAGTAAACATACTTGTGGATTAAAATATAAAATGTTTATTATATTTATTCTAAAATCTAGGTACAGAATTAGGTAACATTGCTTCCCATTGCTTACTAGTTTAACTTTATACTAGAATTATTTAGAAAACCATAAACATATGCTATGTAATTCATACTCTTTACAGTTAAGTATTTAAATATACCTGGAGCAGAAGTTTGCAAATTTCATATTTTCCTTTTGCTGCTGCTTCATGTAAAGGTGTAAATTTCCATAAATCAGCTACATTAACTACTGCTCCATGTTTAACAAGAAGTTCTGCAACTTCATAATGTCCATAAGAACATGCATTGTGCAAAGGTACAAGGCCTCTGAAAAGTAATAAATGAACAATAATGCCACAGAAGAACATGTTTTAATTTAAATAATTACATATAACTGATGAAAGATAATTCTTGAACTACATAAGGAATTATACTGATTATACTTTGTAGAACCTAAATCTATTTAAGGCAGAAATAAGTTCTTTTTGGTGAGTCAGGGGAGAACATTTAAAAAATGTTTTAAATGCAGAGACTATAACATTCATCCATATATGCAACGTCTAGAATTGTATATTTTTAATAAAAAATAACTTCAAGATAAACTGGAAGAATTAAAAAACCCTCCATGGAAACTGAAAAATTTACTACATTAAAAGTCAATATCACACTAATGTTATAATCTCCTTGGCCATTATAAAATTCTCAGGCATTATGCCAATAAAGTCTTTATATGAATGCTAACCATATAAAATCTTAATTGAAATTAAGAAGCTCTATTTAATATTTAGGCCAATGTTAGGAAACAGGCTTTCTTGAAAAATAAAACATATTATATTTCCAGGTTTTCCTAAAAAGGTCAAGTAAAAGTAAGGAAGAGAGTCCATAACAATCATTGGCATTTACCCTTTATCTTTAGCATGCACATCAGCTCCATGCTGTAGCAGATATTCCACCACGGACACTCTGTTATACCCAGCTGCAAAATGAAGTGGTGTAGACTGACGCCCTTCAATGTCTCTGCAGTTGACACTCTGAACAGTACACAGTTTCTGAAGGACAAAACACAACATACATGATACTACATCTACATATTGTTATTTCTTGTTTCAAGTCATTTAGTAGGAATTTTCAAAGTGTCTGACTTATTTTCTTGTCTCATTAAATCAGTATTCTCAGAAACTATTTAGTATTCTTATTTCACCTTGTCATTTACTGGGAATCCCTCTGGTCCTCTCATCCATGCCCTTTTTTTTTGTCTTATTATTTTTTTGAGACAGAGTCTAGCTCTCTTACCCAGGCTGGGGTGCAGTGGCGCAATCTCAGTTCACTGCAACCTCTGTTTCCTGGGTTCAAGCAATTCTCCTGCCTCAGCCTCCCGAGCAGCAGGGACTACAGGCACATGCCAGGACACCTGGCTAATTTTTATATTTTTAGTAGAGGCGGGGTTTCACCATGTTGGCCAGGATGGTCTTGAACTCCTGGCCTCAAGGGATCCTCCCACCTTGGCCTTCCAAATGCTAGGATTACAAGTGTGAGCCACCGTGCCTGGTCTCACGTATGCCTTTATATTCTACTTTTTCTAACGCTCAAGGGTAAATTTTATCATTACCGCTACTATATATATATACAGGTAAACTAAGTGCCAATCATCAGCAAGTGTAACTTGCATTTTGTGGCAAATATACATAGAGGTACATGAGATTACGGTAGTACCAGCATTACCAAGGAGCTTATTAAGAATTCAGAATCTCAGATCTCTATCTACTGAGTCAGAATTTGCCCTTTAACAAGATCCCTAGGTAATATGGAAACACATTAAAGTTTGAAAAGTACTCCTTTAGAGCAGTGGTTCTCAAACTTTAATGTGCATTGGGTCCAACCCTCAAATTTTCAGTGTAACTGGTGTGGAGCCTAAAAATCTCCACTTCTAACAAGTTCTTGGGTGATGCTGATGCTGGTGGTTCAGTAACCATACCACTCCATGTGGAATGAAATAACTAATAGAATGCTGATGGTTAGGCTGAACGTGGTGGCTCATGCCTGTAATCACAGCACTTTGGGAGGCTGAGGCGGGCAGATCACTTGAGGTCAGGAGTTTGAGACCATCCTGGCCAACATGGCAAAACCCTGTCTCTACTACTTGGGAGGGTCAAGCAGGAGAATCGCTTGAACCTGGGAGGCAGACGTTGCAGTGAGTTGAGATCGTGCCATCACACTCCAGCGTGGGTGACCAACCCAGACTCCATCTCCAAAAAAGAAAAAAGGAAAAAAAAATGCTGATGGTTTATACAGTCCTGGGGAGAATTAAGAAAACAGTCAATTTTCTGTGCTCTTTGGTTCAGAGGAGGAAGTGTAGTTATGAAAAGTATGAAAGTTTGGGGAAGAAAAGCAACATAGATAATAAATCAGAGTGCTTAAAGAGTCAAAAGAATATATCTATCTTAGGCCGGGCACGGTGGCTCACGCCTGTAATCCCAGCACGTTGGGAGGCCAGGCGGGTGGATCACCTGAGGTCAGGAGTTCGAGACCAGCCTGGCCAACATGGTGAAACCGTCTCTACTAAAAATACAAAAAATTATCTGGGCGTGGTGGCGGGCGCCTGTAATGCCAGCTACTCGGGAGGCTGAGGAAAGAGAATTGCTTGAACCCGGGAGGTGGAGGTTGCTGTGAGCCGAGATCGTGCAATTGCACTCCAGCCTGGGCAACAAGAGTGAAACTCCATCTCAAACAAACAAACAAACAAAAAGAATATATCCATATTAGTAAAAACTCTTTCCCCCTTTTTACTAACCTACTCCCAAAACAGGGATAACCTAAGCTCAATAAAATAAAGGAGCCTACTATCAGTGGGTTTACCTCAAGGGGTTTAATCATTGTCCTGGTAAAAAGCTCTTCTGTGCTTCCCAAATAAGATCTGGCTAGATATACAGATTCAGGGCCCCATTCAAGAGATGGTATTTCAGTGGGTCTCAAGTCAGGTTCCTAGAAATGACTATTTTTAACACGTGTACCAGGTGCTGCTTGGTTTGGTAGTTATCACAGGCCATTCTACTCTTTACCTGTCAGTTTAATTTTGTCCACTCTGAGATAGGTTTTCTAATAGCATGTGTCGAATAAAGTATCCAGCCTGGTGGATTATCAGTGAACAAACACAACTGAGCACAATAGTTAAGTGTTCATTAGGTAATACGCAGATGTTCTTGTCCCAGTGATTCGTACAGAGCCATCTGTCTGGAGGTAGATAAGAAGAATGGCTGATGGAGATAAATGTCCATCAAGTGATTTTAAAAGCAGAGGGGAGGGAAGAAAGCCTGATGCCTAGCACAGGTTTTCCTGAATCCAATGGCATTACTGTGTTCCCTAAGTCCATTTCCTGCCCCCCAACTTCATCTCCTCTTTATCTATCCCCTCCTCTGGACTCCCTCTATCTTTATAAAAACAAAGTTTAGTCTTTAACATGTTTACTAAATATAGTTTTATGTTCTTTAATATATGTAAGAGAATGAGCATTTACAATTCTGTATCTCTCCCTTCCCACAAACAGCAAAAAAAAAAAAAAAAAAAAAAAAAAAATCAGCTAATTGCTTTCAACTCAATTTTCATGTTTCCTGAAAAAAAAATCAGTTCACAACCTTTTAACTGAAGTAATTTGTATTTCCACAAGTCAGTAGTAATAGAAACAAAATCCTCCTTTCGATATCCTATTAGCCTCCTACTTAAGGGAATGAGAATAATGAGGATCAAAATAAAAACATGTCAAATAATAAAACTGCATGATAGTTGCATTTTTCTGTGAGAAATGAATTTAGAAAACAAATCTGAAGTTATCTGAGATGTCTATACTGTCTCAGCCTCCCAAGTACCTGGGATTACAGGTGCATCCCACTACGCCCAGCTAATTTTTGTGTCTTTAGTAGAGACGGGGTTTCGCCATGTTGGCCAGGCTGGTCTGAAACTCCTAACCTCAGGTGATCCACCCGCCTCAGCCTCACGAAGTGCTGGGATTACCGACAGGTGTGAGCCACTGGGCCCAGTTTTACATACATATTTCTACAGCAAGAGTCAAAACAGTAAGAAGGGTTACTCTGGGGAAGACTCTTGTCGGAGAAACAGGTAAGACCTGAAGTTGCAAGCCCTGGGAAAGAGAAGTGGCAACATTGTATTTATTATTATACTAAGCCCTGGATCCCTAGAGGTAGATGGGGTGAAGAAATGAAGAAATCAGAAGAAATCTATAGACAGAAGTGATACACTGTTTTTCCCCTTTCTTGTTTTATGTGTCATACGTAAACAGTAATATAAAATAATTTGATAAACTTTATTCTGTTAAAGGGACAAATGAATAGGTTCTTCAAGCAAAACCCATTTGGTATTACCCGAATTTATTTATATTTGTGAATGTAATATTCACTGGGATGCAGGTGAAAGTGAAGTCTTTCTCTTTCATTACTTAAAGCTACTCATTTGTAGAGAACAATTAAGATTGTATTATTGACCTTTTAAGGCAAGGCCCATACAAATAAACCAGGCTCTTCATTGTAACAGTACAGATTAAATAACAATGTCAAAATAAAAACCCAAAGTTAACAGAAACGTAACACTGTATCTTACTTTTACAGTTTCGACATCTCCAGCCTTTGCAGCTTCCAGCAATTGTCTGTCTGCCTCTGAATTACCTAATGAGATACCCTCTAAAAAAGAGAGAGAGAGAGAAGAGTGACTAACCTCTATTTGGAAGATGGAACCAAGCTTTATGGAAGGCATCTCATCAGAAAGCAAAGTTCTTTTACAATTTGGTAGATTATGTACGAGATCTCCATGGTAGTAAGGGGGGTGAGGGTTGGGGAGTGAAAAATAAGATTCTCTTAAAACTCTTTGAAATACAACACATATAAGCAAAATATGTAAATGTGTATAATGATTATAAAATGTGATGTAAGCAATATAAAGGAACATAAAGGAGATGACTAAAGATGGCCTGCTCTATAAGCAAGCCATTGGAATGGTGCAAAAGTATTAAATTAAGAGAGCAAACAGAAATCTAACTGTGGTTCTGTCATTAATTAGCTATCTGAACTGGAACAAGTCACTGGAACTTCCTGGTTCTCAGATTTTTTCAGTTCTAAAGACATAAGGTAGACTAGTAGAAATGTAACATCATTTCCAGGTCTGAAATTCTAAGTTTACAGCTCATTTAAAGTGTCAGAAAAGGAAAACATCTACCTTGCACCTTAGAACAAAGTAAACTCCAGATGGATTAAAGATGTAAGTATGAAAAATTAAACCCTAAAAATACTAGAAGAAAACGGGGGAATATTTTCATAACATGGAATAAAAAAGCTTCTTTGAACAGTACATCAAAAGCAGCATCAAAAAAAGAAAATTGGCATTTGGAAAAATATGTCAGGTAATAACAGCATTAAACAAGAACAAAATGGGAAAAAACCAAACTGTAACATGCATCTTTTAAGAGAATATATTTGAGGCTACAGTGAGCCAAGATAACGCCATTGCACCCTAGCCTGGGCAACAAGAGTGAAACTTCGTCTCAAAAAAAAAAAAAAAAAAAAAAAAATTACACACACACACACACACACACACACACACACGGTATTCTTATGAAAGGAGTACTTTGAAACACTTCAACAAATGAGCTAAAGACATGAACAAGAAATTCACACATACAAAAAAGAGACATGGTTGGCTGGGCGTGGTGGCTCATGCCTGTAATCCCAGCACTTTGGGAGGCCGAGGCAGACAGATTACTTGAGGTCAGGAGTTGGAGACCAGACTCGGCAACATGGTAAAACCCCGTAACTACTAAAAATACAAAAGTTAGGCGCACTCTCAGCTACTCAGGAGGGTGAGGCACGAGAATCACTTGAACCTGGGAGGCAGAGGTTGCAGTGAGCCAAGATCGCAGCACTGTACTCCAGCCTGGGTGACAAGAGTGAAACTCCATCTCAAAAATAAATAAATAAAATAAAAGAAAAATTAAAAAAAAAAAAAAAAAAAAAGAAAGGCCGGGCATGGTGGCTCATGCCTGTAATCCCAGCACTTTGGGAGGCCAAGGCAGGGGGATCACAAGGTCAGGAGTTTGAGACCAGTCTGGCCAACATAGTGAAACTCTGTCTCTACTAAAAATACAGAAAGTTAGCCGGGTGTGGTGGTGTGCACCTGTAATCCCAGCTACTTGGGAGGCTGAGGCAGGAGAACCATGTGAACCCAGGAGGCAGAGGTTGCAGTGAGCTGAGATTGCACCATTGCACTCCAGCCCGGGCGACAGTGCGAGACCCTGCTTGGAAAAAAAAAGAAAAAAAAAAAGAAAAAAAAGAGAAATGGGCAATAAACACATTAAAATTATGTTCAAACTTACTCATAATCAGAAATGCAGATTAAATATCATTTTTTTTCCATCTGCTAGTAGGCAGAGAGGAAATGGAGAGCTACACTGATGAGACTTTTATAGTTAGCATTAAAATCTATTACTTCTGTAATTCACACATGCATATTCACTCAAGGAAAATATTAAGAATTGTAACATCTAGTGCTGACAGAAAACAGGTGCTTTCATATATTCTGACTGTAAAATGCTAAATACCAGCTTTCTATTAACAGAAGATAATTTGACAATTATATGCTACCCTTTGACCTGGAAATTCCACTTCAATAATTTATTGTAAGAAACTAGTTGGAAAGGCAAGTAAAAAGCTATATGTAATGGTACTTAGCATAAAACTGACAAGACTTTACATTCTATCACTAGCCAACTGAATAGGACCAGTGTTATTATCCCAAAAACTGACAATGAAATGAATGTGTGATGTATGGGGGAAGTAATGGGGATCTTCAAAACAGTCTTGTAAGTTCACAGTTTTGGTAGATTCCAGGAGGTTGTATCAATCTGCTTTCATCTGTTCAAGCAGTGTTTCTCAAAACGTGGTTCCCAGAACAAAGGCATAAAGATCATCAAGGATTTACTGTTAAAGACAGAAAAGCTTAATCTATTACATTTTTCTCATCTGAGCTTTCAGATGTCAAAGCTACTGCATCAAATTCTAATAAAAGTAGAGATGTAGACAAAAATACTTTAAAATTTATGGGACCAGATATCTGGGCTGAGATGTTTCATCTATGCCAAGTGTGTAGATATTTGATCTAAATCTTTTAAGACGTAATGAATATGAGTGTATTCAGTTGCTAAATGTTTCAATAAGCCAAATAGTTGGCTACCTTATACAAATTCTACCTGCCTTGAATATGTAGGATCTAAAAATTCCTTTCTTTAAAAATAAATAGCAACCATTTTATCTTACTCTCAAAACTTTCTCGATAAAAACTTGAAAGCCATCTATTTAACTTAAGAAACTGGGCAGAAAATGCTACTGGAACAAAAATCATAATTATCACTTAATGACATTTGGGAACTGAGGATATTCAGCTGATTAAAAGTATAATAACCTAAGAAGAAATAAACAAAAATTCTCAATTTTTCTTATTACCAACTCCTACCTATAATACCTGATATGTGAAAAATTTTTAAAGGTTAATTTAAAAAAATCAATTTCATTGAAGCATGTAATACCTTGGAGGAGTTGCTGTACATTTTCATTTCCCATCTGTAAAGCAGTAAAGCCCTGAAGGGATATAATGTTAGGATCACACCCATAGCTCAGGAGTAGGCGGCAGGTTTGTAGATGACCACAATATGCAGCTCTGTGTAGAGAAGTCTGACCAAGATTATCCAGAGCATTAACCTTAACAAAGCAGAAAAAATTGAAATTAGCCCGCAATGCAAAATTTAAAACCATACAATCATGTATTTAACACTTTTTACTACTTTTAAGTCTCAATTCTTTTATGAGGCCTATTATCCAATGCCAAAGCAAGTATTTTTGCTCAAATCTAGAGAATAAATTTACCAAGTCATGAAGGCTACCATCAGAAGGAAGACTCAATTTTGGGTTAAATGCGAGATGCTGAATAGTAATTGTGTTTATCATTAAAGCATTCACAGATATTTAGAGCTAGACACTGCCTAAGAAAGTTGAACTCATCTATTTTTATGGATCTCTAAAGTGTAGAAATGTAAAGCTTAACCCCGAGATAGACAATAGTAACAAAGCCAGAGATAAATTAGCATTAAAATGCTTATTTCTATAGGCTTAATCTTCTCCCTTATTTATTACCTAAAATATATAGATACACATACTATGGAATAGTCACATAGTGGAATACTCAGCAATAAAAAGGAACAAACTACTGATACATGGATGAATCTCTAAAACATTATACAATGTGGGAAAAGCCTTACACAAAAGCGTACATTTTGTATGATTCCATGTATGTCAAGGCCTAGAACGCACTTTTATGTCAGAAAAAATAAAATGGTTATCTGTCAAAGTGGAGACGGCCTGGGACTGTGCACTACTTCTGCCATGAGATAATGTTCTATATCTCTACAGGAGTTTTGGTTACATAGGTGTATATACTAGTCAAAATTCAGCAAATATCCATTTAAGATCTCTGCATTTCACTGCACATTTTACATCTAAAGAAAAACTGTAAACAAAGATTAAACTCTAGTTGATGTGCATGTGGAAGTATTTAGGAGGAATAGTCTGCAGATTACTTTGAAATGTGTGAAAAAATAAGATATATTGGTGGATGGAGGAAAAAATGGAAAGATATGTAATAAAACACTAGAGTAAAATGTTAGTAATAGTATCTAAGTGGTAGGCAGGTATTTTCTGCAAAATTCTTTCTACTTGGTTATATCTTTGAAATTTTTCACAATAAAAAAAAAATCACCTGTAAGACTCCACCAACGTTATCCCTACCTCCCTGCTATGGAAATAATTATTCAACATAGCTAAGAAATTAAGTTCCTCAGTAATCAATCCTGCGGACACTAGTGTGTTTTGAGACACTGACCAATTCATATTCATGGAATCGGATAATATGTGAATGTGAATATAATCAAGACCTCAATGAACCTAAAACTAGAGTATGAATAGCTAGTCTCCATGCTTACAGGGCCTGAAAAATGGATTTAAAATGCTTAGGACAATCAAACTATTTATTCACATACCCTAACTCGCTGAAATGTGAAAAATACCCACTTAAAAAAAAAAAAACTATTTGGGTACCACTTTGTGTTAGGATTAGGGTGACCACTTGTTCTGGTTTGCCTAGGACTTTCCTGGTTTTAGCACTGAAAGTCCTGTGTTCCCAAAAAACGTGAAGTCCTGGACAAAACTGAATGGTTGGTCACCCTAGTCAAGATTGTTTCATTGAGTGTCACAACTCTAATTCAATATGTATCCAGATATTCTTCAAGTAATGTACCACAAGTATGAAAACAGCAATCAACAAACAGATATAGAACAGAGAGACAAGATATGCCAAGCAGTCAAGCAGAAATAAACTTTATTTTATTCAATAATTTACAATAGGAAAGATCAAGATTATACATTATCAAGAATTCCCCCAAATCAAAGAGAAATTAAGACACAGAGAGGCAACACAAAAAGAAATTGGAGAACTCTAAATCGTTCCTTGAATGAATGGAAACTCAAGAAAGGATAGGTAAGAATAAACTATTCTGCAAATTTCATTTATGGAAGCGTTTCAGGGGCCATCCAAGGAGAAGAGCGTCTATTCCTCTCCCTTCATCTACAGCACATCTATTCTTTCTCTGTTATAGAGTATACTGAATTTCAACTAAAGATTTTGTTTGAAGGAGGCAAGGATCTGTGGCTAAAAACTGTAAAAACTGCTGAATTAGGTGACTACTGTCATCTCTTCCAATCTGAGATGCTATGTATATCTTTTACTGAGTAGTACTTTTAAAAGTTTCTGGGTAAGAGATGATTTCTAGCCTTGATGAAAGCATATTTGGTGAATAAAATGCTTTGTGCACAAATGCCAACTAAAGAACAGTAACTTACCAACATGGGGAGCTATTATGTTTTTAGTCAAATTATTTAAATAATATATTTCCTTCCGTTCAAGTCCTTTGGCTTAGTTACAGAAATAAGAGGGTAAAACAGAAACAAAAACGGTGGTTGGGGTAAATAACAGAAGTTATCATGACAACCAAGAATTAGAAGATATGGGTGAGAAAAGACGATTAGAAAAGATGATAGGTCAGAAAAGTCCTTAAGAATAACTTTAACCTGTGGGCTGTGGTTAAAAGGAATGGAGGAGGGAGGACATACAGGAATGTGTATCTGAATAAACCCATAGATGTTCTAGCAAAAATTAGATATAGAAAAGGTTACCTGCAGGACAATTCTTAAGCATAGATTATAAGGAAAAAAAAGTAATACTTATGAGAAAGTAAATAGTTTAGGAAGTCAGGCATTTCACCTGCTAAATAAAAAATAACTCATTGGATTACCAAAGATTACCAAAAAGGAAGTATACCTTTGCTTCATGTTTCACCACTACTTCAACAACATCATTATGAGCTTTCTCAGATGCCACGTGCAGAGGAGTCAAGAATCTTAGAGAGAAAAAATCAGCCAGACAGTGAATATATTTTCCAAAAGAGTAAAATCTCAATGATATTTAATCATTAAATGTATACTTACTCTTTAGTCTTTTCATTGATGTTTGCTCCTTTTCTTAGCAACAGTTCACATATTTGCTTTCTTTTGGGATATGGAGATGCAGCAGCACAATGCTAAATAATTTAAATTGCAGCATTAATCAAGGACTATACATAACTGATTTTAAGAACATTCGTGTTTCCAATCAAGAACAATCAAGTAGTTATTTAATCTTTTTGTTTTACTTTTGACGCAACTTTGCTCTTGACTTTTGATTGAATTACAACAATTACCAAATTCTGACAGAACCTGAAAATCCTACCTATCAGATAATATCTATTATTACATATTCCAATCAAACTTTACAGTTGTCCTGTATCTTTGAAAAAGCTAGCACTGGTGTGATGAAAACCTTAATGTGACCAATATCCTTTTCAAAACTGTTTCCAAGTAGCATTGTGTTCATGCAATATTTTAAAGGTTAAGAAAACACCCTTGCAAAGGTTGAGGTTTCTTTACATGAAGAAATAACAGAATATAGCCGGGCACAGTGGCTCAGGCCTGTAATCCCAGCACTTTGGGAGGCCGAGGCAGGCGGGTCACCTGAGGTCAGGAGTTCAAGACCAGCCTGGCCAACATGGTGAAACCCCCTCTCTAATAAAAATACAAAAATTAGCCAGTCGTGGTGGCACGTGCCTGTAATCCCAGCTACTCGGGAGGCTGAGACAGGAGAATCACTTGAACCTGGGAGGTGGAGGTTGCAGTGAGCTGAGATCATGCCACTGCACTCTAGCGTGGGCGACAGAGCAAGACTCCATCTCAAAAAACAAAAAAAGGGAAATAACAGAACACTCATCAGCTCTGGATTCTGTTTGGTAATAGCACTGATACAGCTGATCAGCTGAGCAGTATTTATATCTCTCTCAACTAGTTGCTTCGGCAGAATAAGGAGCATGCATTACCTCTGCAAAATCAGTGGTGGAAAATGATATAATCTGGAGTTTCAGGCTGCAGCATCTCTATCTATGATGTATCCAGGAGGAAAGGAGACAGGAAGTAGAGATTTGCCAGTTATAAGCCTAAGCCTAATATCTGCACAATAGGTGTTCAATAATGTCTGAATGATACATGACTAAATCAATGTATATATGTTAAATTAAAACTGAAACCTGAAAACCTATAGAATAAAAGTTCTGGGTAATTTTTCAGCTAAGTTGCTCTATACATCTAAAAACACAGTACACATGAAATCTGTTCTTTGATTTTAACCTGTTGTTAATCAATCATAAAGCTTATCAGATCCTCATGACTTTGCTGCAGATCCATTCTTTGATGTTGCTGTCACCAAAATCATTCCTTTACTCTAAATAAAACCAATTCTAATTGGAGAACATAGTTCCTTTGGTAGGTTAAGGGTAATCATCCCAGGACACCTATCATGAGAGCGCAGAGACCAGACATGGTTTTTTAAAGACTTTTTTTAAAAATCACATCCACCTCAAATTACACCCTACTCCTCTGCACCATCTTGGAGCAGGGCCTGTAAATCTCTGGGAACCTGTAAGAAACTGCTACTGCACCATAACTACTCACCAACACAACTCCTAGTGTGTTTTAAGGTTAATTACAAAAACGAGTTGCTTCACAGTAGTTATGACCAGAATTTTCCATGTCAGTCTTTCCATGTTTCTTTGTACAGTTTTAATGCTGTTGTGGTTTTAATTTTGTACTAGCATTTCTTATTAGTCTACAGCTTTGCTATTTTTTTTTTTTAAATTTAGAAGTTTCTTACAAGCAGTAAAAAGGTCCAAAATGCTTTATAGGTAGGTTTCTACATAAATTTCATAGTTTACATTATGGCATAAGGCAAAAAACTTCTCATAAAAGATATTAGGTAAGTAAGGCTACCATCAGTTAAATCTGCTTCTACACACATTAACTTACTTATCTTCTCTCACCTGAAGCACATTCTGCAACTCACGCAACAGGATTTACTTTCTTCCTTTTAAATTTCTACCTTTAAGTTTCTTTTTTTCTACCTTTCAATTTTAAGGTAGCCCCTGATTTTACCATTCCCTCTCTTATCTTTTATCATGTATCCCTATTAGCTTCCATTCTTTTCTGTTTTTCGTTAGACTTCTCTACTCACATCTACTTTGTCATAGTTCCACAGTTATTATTACCCCTATCAGGGAAGTAACCTCTAAAATACTTTATTCACATTCTAGATCTAATTTTGAAGAAGGAAGGGACTACACCAAGTGTTTTCATCTGGATGGTGGTATTTATTTTATTTTTCATTATTTTCATTGGGTTCCAAATTTTCTAACCTAAGCATTCATTTTTATAACCCCTAAAAAGGCAAACTATATGTATCACTTATGATAATAAAAGCATTACATATAATACATGTCAGAATATGAATAATTTTTTTTTTCTGAGGATTCTCGAACTGATAATAGCATTGGCTTCTGCAGGGTGAGGTTGTCTATTTTTTGGTACTGTTTAAATTTTTAAAAAATATTTGCATAGGCAGTAATTTTTTAAAACTATAGACTCAAAAAAATGCTAGTTCTAAAAGTAGGATATTATGATTAGTTTAGCACGTTCTTCGTTATTGTATTTTAAAAACTTAAATCTGAAACATTACCAATGCTGTTTCATGTGTTTGAGGATGCTTGAAATTCACCATTTCCAGAGAGAGATGTTTTTTGATTCGAGTAACATCAGCTTCTCGTGCAGCTTGCAGCAACGAGTGGCCTTTAAATTCATCTAGATGAAGAAAAAGCATTTACATGTATAACGAGTTCAAATTGAAAAGCCTTATCTAAAAGACATCTAGTATTTTCCTTGAAATTATTTTCAAAATAATCTTCCAAAATAGCCAGATTGAGGCTCTAAAGATATTCTCCAAATTTAACCCCTGAAAACAGACAGTGGTACTCCAGTTCCCCTAAGTTACGGTGCAACTGTATAGACATATGGCCTCAAGAGTATACACAGGTTTAGCCCACGGCAGATTCATGGTCTGTTTTAATTCGTAATTCATTTTGGGATATCTGGAGTACTACAATATCTTCCTAGACTGGAGAGGTTTTAGAATATTTCAAGCACAAAAATTTTTCTCTGTAAAGAAATAGTGATCTCTACACTGACATCATGGCTATAGCAGACAGCTTTGCTCAAACCATCAGGGAACTGGGAACTAGACAAGTTGGATATTTGCAAAAGCCACCTATGATGATGAAAAAATAAAAGAGGTTTTCCTTAAGATTCTCTTTTACTCATCAGACTTGTGGAACTACCAATCATTCTTTATTATTCCAGGATAATATAAATCCAATATAAGTTGCTTACTTGTATGCACTAATACCATATCCAAACTAGGTGGTTATTTCTCACTACATCTACTTCAGCTATAGACAGAAAACCGAACTTGGCCCAGGTGCCAACAATATCAGATGTTAAGATCTGGAGACTGTTTACAAGATGGCAATCTTATGAAGCTTTAACTTCACAAATTCATAAGCTTCATAGATTAAACAGAAAAATCATATCAAAGATGAAAGCAAAACAAATGCTTTCATTTCAAAGGCATACCATCTAATAAGTCTAATACAGCACATATAAAAAGCATATAACTTGACTTGAAAAAATTAATACAAACATATTTTCTTTTCATAGCATCTTAAGTAGAAACTTCCAAATTATTAAATATGCTAAACAACAGTGGATGCCCATGGCTAAGAAAAATATTCTATTATTTAAACATTTCTAAAAACAAACAGGAAAGAAAAAATGTTCAGTTTATTGATATAATATCCTACCTGAACATTCATAATTTTATACTCACATGCTAATCTTTCTTTTAACTGTGGTGTGGGAGCCAAGTCTATAGCACTTTTATTGTGACAATTGAGCAGTGTTGGGTCTGCACCATAACTTAAGAGAAGAGAACATACTTCAACCCTGTTCTTAGAAGCTGCCTCATGAAGAGGAGTGAATTGCCACAAGTCCATTGCATTTACACAGGCACCATGCTGGAGAGCAAAAAGCATATATTTAATGTTCAATTTTTAAAAGAATTCAGAATTATTCGTACTGTGTAATTTAACATCATACAGGCTAAAACAGGTTATGTTCCCAAAGTTCACTTTTTGAGCCAATTATTTCAGAATGAGTATACATTTTTCCCAATGGAAAAAACAGTAGCTGATTGCTAGCCCTACCAACAAGGGTCTACTTAACTTTTCTACTTTTAAGAACAGTTAAGAACGAAGCTTTAGATTTAACCTGCATCTCTTCCAAGAATGAATGCTCCTCTTGCGGTATAGCTGACATACAGTGAAACATACAACTTTGATGAATTCTGACAAATGTATATATCTGTGATACCATCACCCAAATCAAGATACAAGACACTTTCATTACCCCAGAATGTTTCCTCATGCTCCTTTTATAGACAATTCCTGCCCCGATTCTGGCCACATATTAGATATATCTGTTCTTCAATTTCATAAAAATAGAAGAATATAAATTTCTAACGTATGTACTTCGTCTAGATTCTTTCATACATATAATGTTGCTGAGATTCATTCATGTTGTTGCACAAGTAGTTCATTTTCATTGTTGAGGAGTATTTCACAGTATACATATATCATAATTTGCTTATTTATCATCCTGTTAATGCAGATTTGGACTGTTTCTAGTTGGCTGGTTGAGTATCTCTCATCTGAAAACCTGAAATGCAAAATACTCCAAAATCCAAAACTTTTGAATACCGACATGACGACACAAGTGGAAAATTCCACACCTAACCTTATGCACACAAACTTAATTCGTGCACAAAATTATTAAAAATGTTATATAAAATTATCTTCAGGCTATGTGTATAAGGTGTATATGAAACGTAAGTGAATTTCATGTGCAGACTTGGGTTCCATCCTCAAGATTTCTCATTATGTAGTATATATGCAAATATTCTCAAATCCAAAAAATATCTGAAATCTAAAACACTTCTGGTCCCAAGCATTTCAGATAATGGATACTCAACCTGTGTTACAAATCAGCTATCATAAACATTTCTTTATGCACATATGCTGTCATGGTAGATATATGTTTAACTTTATTAGAAAATGTCAAAGAGTCTTCTAATGTGGCTATCGCACTTTATGCAGCCAGCCACCAGCAACATTTGAGTTCCACTGCTACGTGGCAACGTTTGAGTTCCAGTTGCTACATATCCTTGCTAACACTTTGTATTGTTAGGCTTTTTAATTTTAGCCATTTCCAAGTACTGGAGTTGGCTAAGTATGGACCACTGAAGTCAAACTAGTTTAACCAATCAAACACAAATTTCCTTCTACAGCATTCAACTAAGGTGAACCAGCTTCTTACTCTTTCAGTATTTTTGACAATGGGGAGCTAATTTGCAGTAACATGGCTTTTTATAATTACTAGAGAACTTCTGTTGTTACAAAGCTTTCTTCTATATTAAGTTAAAATATGCACTTTTAACTTTCATCTATTTGCCTTTGGAGCAAAAGACATCATAAAGGGCACTCATCTTTCATATCAGATGGTTTCCACTTATTATCATGGTGGCCCTCAACTAAATATACTTTAGTTTAAAAAATTCATTAAAAAATAATTGAGGCCAGAGGCAGTGGCTTATGCCTATAATTCCAGCACTTTGGGAGGCTGAGGTGGGTGGATCGCTTGAGCTTAGGAGTTCAAGACCAAACTGGGCAACATGGTGAAACCCTATCTCTACAAAAAATAAAAAGATTAACATGTGTGGTGGCACCACACCTGTAATTTTAGCTACTTGGGAGGCTGAGGTGGGAGGATCACCTGAGCCCGGGAAGGTTGCGGCTGCAATGAGCCATGATTGTGCCACTGCACTCCAACCTGGGTGGCAGAGTGAGACCCTCTCCCCTCGACCAAAACAAAACAAAACAAAAAAAACCAAACCAAACCAAACCAAACCGAGAGCCTAAAATCACAGATTCCAGTGTGGTTTGGGTGTGCAGAGTACAGTGCATCCATGATTATATTGCTTGCAATACTATTCTACTATTGGCCCAAAATTATGACAGCTTAAGTTGTCACATTATAATTTATACTTAAAATTGAGTTAATGGGTCATTTAAAAACTCTGTATTATTGTTTAAACAAGAAGTAAACACCAAAGTATTTTCTCCTCTCCCATCTTTTTCTTGTGCGACTTATTTCGTGAACTTAAGTGTCCTTGCTGAGCCCCATTAATCTTACTGGCTTCACCCAGAGCTTAGAGCCTGGTGAGATGGTTTTGAGCCTTGATTCTATCAACTTGAATATTAGTTATCCTTCCCAGCTTCATGTTAATCTGCAAACTGGATAAGCATTCCTTCTAATTTTTTATCAAGTCAACCATAGAAGTGTGCACCACAATAAAGATAAAGATAGAAACTTCAGGCCCTACTGGAGGTTCCAACAGTCCCTTCCAAGCAAAGAAATATCAGTCAACACTCTGCACAGTGGTTCAATTAATTATGAATCTATCTGACATAATTTTTCCCTCCATTCTAGCCAGATCTGTCTACTTGCTTCCTAGTATTCAGAGATTATGAGGAAGAATGTTAAGAGAATTCCCTGTTATTCTTGTGCCTGTTAGAGCCAGACCTTCATTATTTGAATGCTTTGTCCAGGGATCGTGTCTTAGTGCCTTCCATGGCTAGCAAATGCCCTGGTCATGGAAAGCAGTCACTGGGTGTTTGCTGTTAAATGCCAGCTTCTGGTAGCCAAACTATTTAGGCAAGTGTTGCCAATTGACTCAGCACTGCTCAGAATCTGCATTCTCAATCCCTATCTACTTGCTTTCTCCTGACTTTGCTTAACTTTACTATCCTGGTAACTACTTACACCCTCACATTAGCTAACTCCCTCTGTAGGTATGACCTCTAGTCAGCCTTTCATTCTTATTTAGTAAAATACTAGGTCTTAGGAAAGTACCACTCAGTTGTCTTTAAGTCCAAGTGCAATCTGTTTGATGTTTCATTCTTATCCATAGCAACTTTCAAATGTTCTGCTGGAGTCAAGATTCAGTTTTACAAGAAGCAAAAGCATTACTGTTACAAATGTATAACATTACAGCCACATTATAAGTTTAATATGCTACTCAGAGTATCTAATTATTATTATAAAGTTGTTTCTATGGGAAAACGTATTTCATAAGACTCAGGCCCGAAAGGAACCAAAGAGGCACTGGAAACAAGTGTCCTCTTTCTCTTCCCGTAACAGCTGCTGAAAGTGGGGAAAAGTGCTGAAGGAGTAGAATGGGTGCAGGGTAACAGAAGTTAAAAGGTATAGGTAACATCCTGGGATCCACTTCCAAAGATAATATATATCTTCTACTCTCATCTAAAAGGGATCAAAATGGGAAGTTTTGGACTGGGTGTGGTGGCTCACGTCTGTTAATCTCAGCACTTTGGGAGGCTGAGGCAGGCAGATCACTTGAGGTCTGGAGTTCAAGACCAGCCTGGCCAACATGGTGAAACTCTGTATCTACTAAAAATAGAAAATTAGCTGGGCATGGTGGCACATACCTGTAATCCCAGGTACTTGGGAGGCTGAGGCAGGAGAATCGCTTGAACCCAGGAGGCGGAGCTTGCAGTGAGCCGAGATTGCGCCACTGCACTCCAGCCTGGGCGACAGAGCGAGACTCCGTCTCAAAAAAAAAAAAAAAAAAAAAAAAACCAAAAAACCAAAAAAACAACAAAAAAAGTTTCTTGCTAGTCTTGGGAACCTGTTTGTTAAACAGCTGTTGAGCATACTGGAAGAAGTGAACCTTACCAAATCGGCCAGCTCCAACTCGAAGTACAACTGGCAAATCTTGCTATTATATCTGGTGGTTTTAACAAAATATGATTCACTAAAAACTGCTTCTTAGAGTTTTGAAACTTCACCTTTAGCTATAAATTATGGAATCACTTTATCTGCTATTCTACATTATTTTTTTTTTTTTTGAGACAAGGTCTCACTCTTGCCTGCGCTGGAGTGCAGTGGTGCAATCTTGGCTCACTGTAACCTCCATCTCCAGGGTTCAAACGATTCTCCTGCCACAGCCTCCTGAGTAGATGGGATTTCAGATGATGCGTCACAAGATGATGTGTAGCAAGATGACAGTGCTACTTTATATTTAAAAACATATGGTATCCAGGCTGGGCATGGTGGCTCATGGCTGTAATCCCAGCACTTTGGGAGGCCGAGGCAGGTGGATCACTTGAGGTCAGGAGTTCAAGACCAGCCTGGCCAACATGGTGAAACTCCATCTCTAACAAAACTTAGCTGGGCGTGATGGCGCCTGTCTGAAATCCCATCTACTCAGGAGGCTGTGGCAGGAGAATCCTTTGAACCCTGGAGGTGGAGGGTGCAGTGAGCCAAGATTGCACCACTGCACTCCGGCCTGGGCAAGAGTGAGACCTTGTCTCAAAAAAACAAAACAAAACAAAACAAAACATATGGTATCTCAAAAATCTCAAAGCAGTCAAATGCTGAGCTATCAGTCACCTATATTTTATAATGCTTATAAATACTTCTACTTTTTTAAGCACTAAGAACACAGAAAATAAAAAGAAACCCAGACATACTAATGTATTTCAAGTTATTTTATATAACTCTAGAAAGTAATTAGGAGAGTACAAGAGCACTAACCTTGACCAAAAGTTCAGTTACTTCATAATGACCATAAGAACAGGCATTGTGTAATGGTACCAGATCACTACAATGAGAAGGGGGGGAAAATCCTGTTTCAGTATAGATTTCTTAGGCCTAGGGAAATTTATAAATTAAAATTTATTTAATTACTTATACTTAAATAGCAAATGGATTATGTGATGTTCTAATAAAAATGTTCAAAATTTAGTAACATCCATTTGAACCCTAAGTCCTAAGAATTTGAACTCCCAAGTCTCTTTCAAATCCATGTTCCTTTATACTTCACTGCTACTGCCACTGCCTTAGTTTGGGTCTATGTTATTTCTCCCCTGCATTATTGAAATAGCTCCCACCCCACTTTATGCTCCAAGCTGAGGCAGATTTTTCTAAAAGGTAAGTCTAAAAGGCAGATTTTTCTAAAAGGTAAGTTTCACCATTAACTCTGTGCTTTCAAGAGATGGTTCCAACTTATTAACGTGGCACACGCAATTATCTGGCTCCCTCTCTAGGCTTACCCTTCAATAATGGTATATTAAACTTATAATTCCCTGTATGCCTCTACACATACTGTTCCCTGGGTATAGATTTCCCTCCCTCCTTTGTTCTGGCTCATTTCTACATGTCTTTTCCAGACTTAGCTCAAATACTGGCTCATTTTTAAAACTTTTTTGAGATCCTTAATAAGCTGAAACCCAATTCTTCCATGATGGGAATGGAGGAAGAACTTTCTCTATGGGAAGATACGGTGAAACTTTAAAATCTTGACTTCTATCTTGAAGCTTTTCCTTCTCGTTTGGGATCACTCACTAATATGCTGCCATAGCCACCATCATGCCAAACTCTGGTAAGGGATGGTCACCTGTGATTTAGTCTTTAGTTCTATGAGTCCTCTCTTTAAAGGTTCATGGCTTTCCTTACTATTTTTGAATATATGATTCTTCACTTGCCTGAGCACCAATTTTGTTCCTAACTACCTACTAGATGCTACCACTATGTTCCTGTATCACCCCATTAAACTGAGAGTTCTAGGCCAGGCGTGGTGGCTCATGCCTGTAATCTGAGCACTTTGGGAGGCCGAGCCAGGTGATCACCTGAGGTCAGGAGTTTGAGCCTGGCCAACACGGCAAAACCTTGTCTCTACTAAAAATATGAAAATTAGCCAGGCGTGGTGGTGTGCACCTGTAATCCCAGCTACTCAGAAGCCTGAGGCAGGAGAATCACTTGAACCCGGGAGGTGGAGGTTGCAGTGAACCACGATCGCGCCACTGCACTCCAGCCTGGGCGACAGAGCAAGACTCCGTCTAAAAAAAATAAAATAAAATAAAAAATACAACAAACAAATAAAAAAACTAAGAGTTCTAGAAGTCAATTCAACATTTTCCCTCCAAACAATTTTGCCTCCTGTATTTCGTATGTGTATCACTGGATCTAACTCATTCAGAACTTGAAATGTAGTTTTCCTTTTATTCCTCGCTCATTGTATCCATTCAACAAATCTTACCCATTCTTACACTGCAATATCTCTTGCATCTATGCCTTCATTTTCATTTCTTCTGCCACCATTATTATGGATCCTGATTATGCTTAAACCTCTAGAATGCTCACTTTCCTAATTGCTGCTTTTGCTTCTAGTCTCCTCTCTCTCCAATTTAGCCAACACATTGCTTTCAAACGCACCTCCTAAAACTTCTTTTAGAATAATCATCCCCTTTGTTTCAGATCACAGGGTGAACTTTGAATTACTTAGGCTAAATACCCAGTCCTCCAAAACCTGGTTCTTACCTATTTCTCTAATCCTAAACTTCATTTGTCTCCTGTGTGAATCATCTGCTCCAGCAAAGCTAGTCTAGTCACTGTTTTTTAAATGTGCTTTAACGTTTGCTGTAGCAGCCCCCACTTATCCCAATTGTCTTACAGACTAATGTCCCGCAAACTCTGCTTTCTTGAATTGAGACTTGACTTTACAGTCCAGGTCAAGTCACACCTCATTCTGAGGGATTTCCCAACCACTCCAGTCAACCATCACTGAGAGTTCCTTCCTGGGAACTCCTGCAGTGCTATCCCTCTCTATGACTCAACACTTGGTAGAGACCTCATTGTATTCTTAGGTATCTTTTCATGCCCTCTGAAGTGTAATGTAAACCTTCTATGAGCTGTGGGCTTAAGGTTTTATAATTTCCTGCGCCCTCAGAGCAACCTGTACATTGTAAAAGCTCAATATATATTAATGTTATTTAGTAAAAAATATTATTTTTCTAAGGTTACAAAGATTGTTTTAAGAAGAGGGTAACATTTAAAAAGTCCTTGTTTTTGTTCAAATGCTTACCCTTTATCTTTAGCATGGACATCAGCTCCATGTTGCAGTAACAGCTGTACAATCTTTACTCTGTTATATCCTGCTGCCAAATGTAATGGAGTTGACTGAAATATTAATCAAATATATTAATGAAATTCAAATAATGGTTGAATAAAATGTGTGAGAGGGAAAAAACCCAAATATAAAACCAGAAAATCCAATTATAACTTCGCTAAGTAGTTATCAATTTGGTTTTACAAAATCCAACATACATATTGAAGGCATAGTATACAAGTTTATAAATTCACTATTGCATATAGGAAGCAAATAACTGTTTATCATCAATAAAGTTTTACTAGGCTTAAGAATTTGAAATACTGAAAATACTGAAACACTTAAAACATCAGCACTCTCTTCAAATATGTTTCAATTTATCATAAGATAAACACATCTTTATCTTCATGTTACCAGGAGATAAGCACAAACTCAGTTGCAAAAGGAAGTACCTTTCTGCCATCACTTGCGTGGCAGTTGACATTTAATGGTGTGAGTAGAGCCATCATTTTTTCTTCATTGCCACTCCTAGAATACAAAAAAAGTATTAGTAATTTGCATTCTTCATCAGATGTTCCTCAAGATAAGTACTGTAACCATTAAAAAAAAATTCTTTTTAAAGTTTGCTTACTGTAAAAAAAAAAAAAAAGAAAAAGTTAATGGTGAAGTATTCCTGTCACATATTTATAACATTAGTACGTACCTGGCACTTTCTAAGAGTTCATCTTTCTTATATTCACCTGTGAATTAGAAAAAAAAAAAAGTATAGAAATTAAAAAGAAAAATTAATGAGTTTTATGCAAAAAGATGCCCAATGAATTATAAAGTAGATAAATTTGGAAACAAATTTCCAATAAATGGAAAATAGTTCATTAACAGAATATTGTGTAGTTTAAAAATATTTGCATGAAGAGCAAACATGAAATACCTTTGCTATGGGATTAAAAAAAAAGATTCTATTTTATATAATGAAAGGCAACCTCAACTATATAAAATCAATATGCTCAGGAAAAGGAAAGCCCAAAAGAAAATATACCAAAATATTAACAAAGTTTATCTTGGGTCATAGGTTATTGGTGACCTTTCCCTTTTTCCCTTCAAATTTCCTAAAATGAGTATGTTATTTTTATAACAGAGAAACAAAATGTATCTACAACTTTGTTCCAAACCTAAAAATGTCCGGGTGTATTGGCTCATGTCTGTAATCCCAGCACTTTGGGAGGCTGAGGTGGGTGGATCGCTTGAGCCCAAGAGTTAGAGACTAGCCTGGGGAACATGGTGAAACCCTCTCTCTACAAAAAATACAAAAATTGGCTGGGTGTGGTGAGGCACGCCTGCAATCCCAGCTACTTAGGAGACTGAGGTTGGAGGATCACCTGAGCCTGGATAGGTTGAGGCTGCAGTAAGCTGTGACTGTGCCACTGCACTCCAGCCTGGGCGACAGAGTGAGGCCTTGATACACACACATGCACACACATACACACCCCAAAAGCAAACTCCTAAACAAAACAAACAAAACTCAATATACCAACATTATAGAAATGACAAAAGAATCTATAGCATCACTGATTAAACATAATCATTAACATCTTTATGAACCTAGATTTTTTGACACTAATATCATGTTTATTTAATGCTACTTTAAATATATACAAATATAAAAAAGGATTAACTATGAACTCTTTTATTTCTTTTCTTTATTAAAGGCTTTACTTTTACAAATGAATACAAACAAAACTATAAAACCAACAAAATTTAAATTAATATGATTTGCTGAATGACATCCAAACCCACAATGTGAACTGCATACTGACTGCCAAGGCAATGCTTCTTTTGAGGCCCAAGATTTAAAAAACAAAAATAAAAGCATGGAATAACATGGACTAGTGAAGGAGAAAATGAACACTGATTGATAGTCACAATAACAGTGCACACTTCTAGAAGTCTTTTCATGAAGAAGTCTTCTCATGAAGAAGTCTAAATTTTCTCAGCAATGGTAGAAGAAATATCACAAAATCCAGGCACAAAGCTCACAGCAAAGCCCCTTTGGCTCTTGACTTTAGATTAGGTATGATTCTAGTCATCACAAGGTAGGTAAGAATCTGGTAAACAACATGGCTGAGTTGCTAAGAGGAAAGCACATTAACAAGGGAGATAATATGTGAAGTGGATACAACTCAGGAAAGCTTGTCAATCTAAACTATAGCCTTATGCATAGCAATAGGTTCCAAGGACATAAATATGTTACAGCAGAGTACAACTAGCATGGTACTGAAATGAGTGTGCCTAGAATCCTCTTCTGAAAAGTTAACGGAATGGCCAGTGTTTTTTGAAAGCATTCCATCAAAATTAAAATACATTAAAAAAAATAGTACAGCTTGAATATCCCTTATCTGAAATGCTTAAGACCAGAAGTGTTTTGAAGTTTGGGTTAGAAATACTCAACCTGCATGTAAAGGGCAGGCATAAGTTATCTGAAAAACTCAGGGGTATTTAAAAAATGTCCTGAATATACTAAAGCAACATACAATTATCTATCACCCTCACCCCCAATAAGGCAACAATGACATACTTAAACAGCAATTAGAAAATAAAAAGAAAGCTTTATTTTTCTTAGAGGAGAATAAAATGTCAGCTATCTAGACGTAGAAAAGGATAGCTACTGAACTGACACTATTTTAAAAATCTAGCTGAAGTCATTAATCATAGGAGGCAAATTTCCTACCTGGCAAGGTTGTTCTTTACAGGCTTCCTGGAATAACCAGAGTATACAGACTTACCAGTAAGCACTGCTTTGGCAGATGGATCTGCTAAATCCAATGCTGTCCTTCCATCTGTATTTCGGATGGTTGGCTCAGCTCCATGCTGTAACAGCACTGCAAAATAGCAACACTATTTTGAAGTTCAATGGTAATCTTAACAACTTGATTTTAGTAAATCATTTTCTCAAGAAGTCTGGTCCAGCAAAGTCTCAAAGTTGTTTAAAGACCTTTCATATCTTGTCAGAATGGGAATGTTACATTTTAAATATAAAAATAATACATAAAGTATTCTATTACTTAATGCATTAAAGACACATTAAATAAGTTCCCCCTCAGTTCAATGCAGATTTTCCTTTGCTATTTATATAGCTGGTGACAAGTGACTAAGGATAGATAAGAGTGTGTAAGGGAAAAGGCAAGTGTGCTTAAAAGCTTGTTTTCTCATTCCAAAAGAACACTGCTTATGCTAGAAAGACTGTTCATCATGACAGAAATAAAATGTCTAAAGCTATAGATAGCCTGGGAACAGAGATATGTAGGATTTTTAAGAAAAAAAAAAAAGAAAATCACACAGGTAAATTCTTTTTTAAAAAACACAAAAAACTGAATAGCTTCCTTATGCTTTCAATAAATTCTGTAAGGTCATCAGTCATTATCTTTCTATTCTTCAGGAAAGCTGAATAATTAACAGGAGCCTGCTTGTATTTGTCCACTATTGATACCATAATACAATGCACTTGTAAGGTGCAAGGTAAAGAGTCTAAGGAGTGGAGTAGGTACATTGAAACCGAGGTGCAAATTACTCCTTACAAGGACAATTTTTCTTTGGAAAAATCTTAACTGAGGGATATATAAATAAGGGTTGCTAGCTGAGTAGTTAGGTTTTTCAGGTTAATTACACGGAATTTTAAGTTAAAATCCAAATACCCTTAGTAGGGCCAACCTACCCCAAATCAAAACTACTACATTATAATTCAAGGCACATAAAAAGGGAAGTCTTGGCTGGGTGTGGTGGCTCACGCCTGTAATCTCAGCACTTTGGGAGGCCGAGGCGGGCAGATCATGAGGTCAGGAGATCGAGACCATCCTGGCTAACATGGTGAAACCCCCTCTCTACTAAAAATACAAAAAACTAGCTGGGCATGGTGGCGGGCGCCTGTAGTCCTAGCTACTCGAGAGGCTGAGGCAGTAGAATGGCGTGAACCCGGGAGGCGGAGCTTGCAGTGAGCGGAGATCACGCCACTGCACTCCAGCCTAGGCGACAGTGCAAGACTCCGTCTCAAAAAAAAAAAAAAAAAAGAGAAAGTCTTGTGTTTTGCTCTGTGCTGTATTATTATTTGTATTATTATGAAGCTATTCCAGTATACTCTCTAAATAAGGAGCTGGAGGAAGACAGGCAAATATGTGCAGAAAGGAAGCTCAGCTCCTGTTCTTTGATAGGGTGAATTTCCATTCTGCTCTACTCCTATATATACCAGTGCTGTTCAACAGAAATAAAATGTGAGCCACATAAATAATTTAACATTTTCTAGTAACTACATGAAAAAAAGAAACAGTTCAAATTAATTTGAACAGATTTCACCTAATACATCCAAAAATTCAATATTTACATTTATATTATAATCAATATAAAATTAGATATTTTACATTTTTTTTTGTACTAAGTCTCTGAAATGTGGCATGCTTTTTCCCCTTAGAGTACCTCTCAATTCAGACATTGCAAGCCCTTAGCTACCATATTGGATAGTGCAGATTATAACTGGAAAACTCTACATTATTAAAACTAATTAATTATATGTCTAAGATTCTGAGGTACCAGAGTTGGGTTATGTGGTAAAAATGATGTATTTGAATGTAGGGCAGGAACAATTTAAGACAACATACAGAAAAGGAGAATTGGGCAGAGGTAACTAGGAAATCCATTTCACATCTTTATAAATGACCTCATTTCAACTAAGCTGGTGAAGTTGACATAAATAGTGATTTGGGATGCTGGGGACCATGAGGTCCAACTTAAGTCTAGCATAGAACACCTGGACTTTCTCTAGTGCACTGAACTGGCTTTCTATCTGTTAAGGATTTCAACTGTCCCTGTTTTACATCAGGAAATAATGGAGTTAAGGTGGCAATGAGTCCAAAATCCTTGAATCTGTCTCACAAAAGTAAATACCAGGTTAATACAAATTCTCAAAAAGCCTTCTCACATACTGTATATTTTTCTTACTTATCCTGCCATTTCTCTCCTATAACCCTATAATTCAGTAGCATCATTTCTCACCTGGGTTACTTTACAGTTTCCTAACTGGTATCCTTGATGCCATCCATCCTACCCAGTCCCCTACCAGATTACTCTTCATAAAATACAGTCATGTGTCACTTAATGACAGGGATATACTCTGAGAAATGCATTGGTAGGTGAGTCCGTCATTGTGCCAACACCAGAGTATGCTTACACAAACCTAGCTGGTACAGTCTACCAAACACCTAGGCTACATGGTATAGCCTACTCCTCCTAGGCTACAAACCTGAACAGCATGTTACTGTACCGAATACTGCAGGCAACTGTAATACAATGGTAAGTACATCTGTAACTAAGTATGTCTAAATATAGTATAAAAGATAAGAAATGGTATATCTGTATAGGACATTTACCATGAATGGAGCTTGCAGGATTGGAAGTTTCCCTGAGTGAGTCAGTGAGTGAGTGATGAGTGAATGTGAAGGCCTAGTATATTATAATACATTACTGTAGACTCTACATAAACACTGCACACTTAGCTATGTAAGTTTATTTTTAAAATATTTTTCTTTCTTCAATAATTAACTTTAGCTTACTGTAACCTTTTCACATTAGAAATTTTTAAATTTTTAAAGGCTTTTTGACTTTTGTAATAACAGCTTAAAACACAAACACTATGTACAGCTATACAAAAATATTTTATGTCTTTATTCTATAAGCTTTTCTCTATTCAAAAAAATTTTTTTTTACAACTTTTCTGTTAAAAACTAAGATATAGACACACATATTAGCTAGGCCTACATAGGCTCAAGATCATCAATATCACTGTCTTCCACCTCCATATCTTCTCCCACTGGAAGGTCTTTAGGGGCAATAACATACAGGGAGCTGTCATCTCCTATAATAATGTCTTCTTCTGGAACACGTCCTAAAGAACCTGCCTGAGGCTGTTTTACAGTTAACTTTTTTTTTTAATTGCTGAGTATACTCTAAAATCACAATAAAAAGTATAGTAAATATATAAACCAGTAACAAAGTTGGTTATTATCAAGTATCATGTAGTGTACATAATTTTATATGCTATACGTTTATATGACTGGCAGTACACTAGGTTAACCCAGCATCACCATAAACACCTGAGTAATGCCTCGTGCTATGAAGTTAGGACTGCTACAAAGTCAGTAGGTGACAGGAATTTTTCAGCTCCATTATCATCTTATGGACCACCCTTATGTATGTCATCCATTTTGAAATGGAGTTACGTGGAGCATGACTGCATACTATGTACTCTTATCACAGTGTTCCCTTCCTCAAAAAATATTAAATATTCTACACTGCCTGCACGTACTAATATTAAGCTCCTTAACCTGGTATTTAAAGCTTTTTATAGAGAAATCCCCACCTACCTTTTTAACCCTTTCCCCACTGGAAAGACTTTCCCTTTCTCACGGAAAGACTCCAGGAAGTAGGGCCTTGACTTGATCCTGCCAAGTCACTGTGCTCATTATCCTCTTAACACTCTCTGTTCCCTTCCACCATGCCTTTATCTGGCTCTTTGTATATTTTCTCTCCCAAGAGAATGCAAGTATAATAGGCACTTTGTAGTCCATTCTCCAAAGAAATTTAGGCTCAGTACTACACACAAAAAGACACTCAGTAAATAGTAGTTAGATTAAATCATGGGATGTTCTTAAATATTTAAATTCAGCTTGACATAATTTGATGATATGAACAGATTAATTCAGTTCAGATTCAGAATAGTTACAACATTAGTAAAAGTCGGAAAAGTAAACAGTCTTACCAATGCAAACATCAATCTTTCCTTTAATTGCAGCTTCATGGAGAGGAGTATAATTCCAATTATCTCGAGCATTGGGGTCTGCACCATGTCGCAAAAGGAGATTGACTACTTCAGCATGACCAAAAGAGCATGCATTATGAAGAGGAATAAGGCCCCCATCATCACGTGCTTGGACATTTGCACCATTCTGAAGCAAATATTCAACTACGTCTTTCCGCCCAAAACCTAGATGAAAACAAATTGTCCACACGTAAGTTCAACAAGGAAAAGATATCAAATTAGATAAGTACCATCCATACTAAAATGTTTCAGGTTGAAAATTAATAACAGACTCAACAATTCAAGAACTAATTAATGGAAAGGTGATCAGAAATATATCAATAACTAACCTTAATGATAAAGCCAGAGGGACTCTCCACTAAGCAGCAGTGGTACCTAAGCAGTGCCTTGGGTGGTACTACTACTGCTAACCTCAAAGAAAGAATACAAAATAAGTGACTGAAAGCTCAAAGTTCAAATGTTTCTCACTCTACAATAGAGTTCTGCGTATTTAGTATGTATACATTTTCAGATGTTCAAAGTATAAAACTTAAATATGTAAATCACAACCTTATGATACAGTGACAAAACTCTTGCTAGAATTCCTTTCCCACATCTATCTCACAGAATGTTTCTGCTAAACTGGGGGACTACAAGAAGCAACAAAAAAAGATCTGCTCACAGCTAATATTTGTCTATGTAGTGAGACACAGAGAGATAACCCCAGGCAAAAGTATGAAATCCAGTGTCTTCAAAGGAGTCCCTACTTTGCCACTTGCAAAACGCATATATAACTTCTTTCCATGTAGGAGGCCTCCTTTAGGTACCAACATTCCACAGTTCTGCTCAACTGCCCCCAAATCAAATAAAACAAAAAAAGTCTGGTAATTTATTTATACTGGTTTACAGATCTAGCACCAATGAGTTTCAATCTCTTATCATTCCCATATATTAGTACTTAAAACCTTTTTACACCTAGCTTTGAAATGATAAGGCTTTCAGGCATATGTTAAAGCAGATGGAGTGGTCTACAATGTGTTTGGGTAGAGAGAAAGGAACTGCTCACTCTTCTGAAATTTTCTCCGTTCTATTCTTTTTTTTTTTTTTTTTGAGACGGAGTGTCGCTCTGTCGCCCAGGCTGGAGTGCGTGGCACGATCTCGGCTCACTGCAAGCTCCGCCTCCCGGGTTCATGCCATTCTCCTGCCTCAGCCTCCAGAGTAGCTGGGACTACAGGCACCCGCCACCATGCTTGGCTAATTTTTTGTATTTTTTAGTAGAGATGGGATTTCACCATGTTAGCCAGGATGGTCTCGATCTCCTGACCTCATGATCCACCCGCCTTGGTCTCCCAAAGTGCTGGGATTACAGGCGTGAGCCACTGCGCCCAGCCCTCCATTCTATTCTTAAAGCCACCAAGTCTGACTGTAGTTCTTCCAAGATGACCAGCAATGAGAACAGATAAGAAAGTAATGGTACAGTCTTTCTAAGGTCGATGCCTGGGGTTGGCCTGGTTGCAGCTGATGGAAGAGCTAAAGATAGTTGAAAAGATTAACTGTTTTTGTTTTGTTTTAACATTGCTGGGCTCTGTGGTCACAAAGATGAGTATCTTTGTATCTTTGATTCTTCCTCCTCTCAAAGAGCTCATAATTTAAGATATGAAGATTTTAAATTTCAATACAATATAATTGCTATGTATATATAAAGTGCTACTAGAGCTCAAAGAAGGGAACTCCTAAACTAGGGGAAAGCAGAGAACGGAAAAGACTTACCTAAGGCAATTCCAGTGATGACACCTGAGCTGAAAGCATACAGAAAAATAAGGGATGATTAGGAAAATGAGGAGGGAGAGGTGAGGGAAAGGAGATGAGCAAGGAAGGGTCCTGCAGTCCAAGCAGAAGAAACAAAACGTACACAGACATGGAGGTATGAAAGAATAAATGCTTGGGCTGGGCGCAGTGGCTCACGCCAGTAATCCCAGCACTTTGGGAGGCCCAGGTGGGCAGATCACGAGGTCAGGAGTTCGAGACCAGCCTGGCCAGCATGGTGAAACCCAGTCTCTACTAAAAATACAAAAAATTAGCTGGGCGTGGTGGCGCGTGCCTGTAATCCCAGCTACATGGGAAGCTGAGACAGAATTGCTTGAACCCGGCAGGTATAGGTTGCAGTGAGCCGAGATCACGTCACTGCACTCCAGCCTGGGGGTGACAGAGTGAGACTCCATCTCAAAAAAAAAAAAAAAAAAAAAAAGAAAAGAAAAGAGAGAAAGAAAAGAAAAAAGAAAAGAATAAACAAATGCTCCATAACAGCCAGGACACAGAATGCCAAAGTGGGCAGATGCTAGATCAGGAGTATGTCAGGCTGGCTGGGTGCGGTGGCTCATGCCTGTAATCCCAGCACTTTGGGAGGCCGAGGCGGGTGGATCACGAGGTCAGGAGATTGAGACCATCCTGGCTGACATGGTGAAACCCTGTCTCTACTAAAAATACAAAAAAAAAAAATTAGCTGGGCGTTGTGGCAGGTGCCTGTAGTCCCAGCTACTTGGGTGGTTGAGGCAGGAGAATGGCATGAACCTGGGAGGCAGAGCTTGCACTGAGCCAAGACCGGGCCACTGCACTCCAGCCTGGGAGACAGAGTGAGACTCCGTCTCAAAAAAACAAAACAAAACAAAACAACAACAATGAAAGGAGTATGTTAGGCTAAGGCAGCACCTGGCCTTTGTCCCATAAATTAGTGTTTTTCAAACTGTTTTCAGATAGCAGGGTTTTTTTTGTTGTTGTTGTTTTGTTTTTTGAGACAGAGTCTCACTCTGTCACCCAGGCTGGAGTGCAATGGCGTGATCTCGGCTCACTGCAACCTCTGCCTCCCAGGCTTAAGCGATTCTCCTGCCTTAGCTTCCTGAGTAGCTGGGACTACAGGTGTGCACCACCATGCCTGGCTAATTTTTTTGTATTTTTAGTAGACATGGGGTATTGCCATGTTGGCCAGGCTGGTCTCGAACTTCTGACCTCAAGTAATCCTCAGCCTCCCAAAGTGTGGGGATTACAGGCACAAGCCACCGCACTGGGCCCAGTCAGATTTCAATTAGATCTTATTTAAGATTATAATAAGTGCAGGTCATGTTTACTGCTAAATACCCAATGCCTAGTACATAGTTGGCATTCATAGAACTGCAAATTAATTGAATAAAATAAAAACTATTCTGGTTGAATCCTCCTTCTTCCCCTCACAAAGACCCAAAAGAAAATATTCCTGTATCCCTGAGCACCTCTTAGAAACAGTTTGAAAAATACTGCTACAACACATCATTAGTTACAGAATGATGTGTTTAGGGCAGTGACTATTTGCCTTTTTTTTTCTTTAAAGAAAGATCACCTTGGCAATTGCGTGAATAAATGAATCAAATGCA